>NC_000010.11:104537034-104840064 GCF_000001405.40 Homo sapiens | reverse complement strand
CAATGGTTACAAGCAACAGGAATACTAGGCAGACACATTCCTGGGTGACAGGACTCCTTGATGGGTGACATTGATGCTAAGATCTCCTAACAGCCTTGCTGAACTTTCCACAGAACCTCACTACAGTCTGAGATGCTCCCAGCCAGCCTACCTGCCTGTCTTCCTTCCTTACCCATCTCCTTCACCGGGGGGTCAGATGTCCATCTTAGCCCAGCAGTTGTCCCAATCTGCTCTGGCTCCTTTCCCACTTTCTCTCACGGGCATTTTTCCTGATAAGTTTCTCAGAGATCTCATTTCATCTTTACGTCTGCTTCTTGGAGAATCCAGACTCACATATCCTTCCACACTTCTGTGAATATTACTTCTGCCTTCATGGTAGATGGTTTCAATTTTACCTCTTAATTCATGCACTTCCTTGATCAGAAACCTTTACTGGCTTCCTCCGCCAATGGATGAAATTCATACTCCTTAGACTGGCACACTTAGACTCCACAATCTGGCCCATGCATACTCTTCCAACCATTTTTTCTAGCTTGCAAAAACCTGTCCTCTGTTTTAAACAATCTAAGTTTTTCAAGGTACCTCAGGTAAGACAAACACATCCTCACATCTCTGCTTTCTTTCATGCTCTATCATTGTATCACTGCCTGTGCCCCATCCTTTCATTATCCCCTGTACTTGCCTGCCTGATGTTGGAGCAACAGTCAAAAGCCCACCCCTTTCAGGTGGCCTCCCAGGATTATCCCAGACATCAAAAATGTTCTCTCCTGTGAAGTCCTATTTTGCTTAAAATTGAGTCATGCAATTTATCACAAACACTATATTGATAGTTTCTGAACGTTACATGAGTGGCCTTCTCAACTAAAGTCTAAACAACTTAAGGTAGGGATTGTGTTTAGTACTTCTGTCTCCTTCACAGGCTCAGCATATTGAAGGTTCTTATACAATAATCGCTTTTGAGTAAATGAAAGATATTGATATTGTGTTGGTAAATCACAGACTTCAGCAGGAGATGCTATTAAGCCAGTCTATTGCTCTCATTTTATAGATGAAAAAATGGAGCCCCAGAAAGGGGAACATGACTCAAGGTTAAGCCTTGGCAATGTCTGACCTTGACCAAGTACCCCCAAGGTAGTGCTCCTCCCATTCCATGAATAAAGCCGGAGCCTAAGAGCCACTGGGGAGCCTGTTAAATGCTGATTCCATGGCCCACCCCCAGTAAGTCTGACTCGATGGACCCTGAGTAGGATTCGAAAATCTTCTGTGGCAACCAGAGGACCACATTTCCAGAAAGGCTCCATCACATCATGGTTCCTTTCCCACCTCTATGCTACAGTGACACTACCCACCCCACCACGGTGAGATTCTAATCTAGCAAAACACTGCTTCCTTTACATTGAATTTAACCTTACAAATAAAGCAGGGAGTGGGACACGTATGAGGAGGATACCTCAGCGTGGTCACACCAGCATTCCCCAGAGGAAAAGTCAAAACACTGAGAATTATAGGATGGAAACTCCTTTTCCCCTGGAGCCCAGCCCAGAAGGATATTAATAGAGCCATGAAGAGATGATAATGTAACCTTCAGGCTTAAGACATTCTATGCCAAGCAAACAAAACCAAGAGCAAGAGAAAGCCTGCCCACCCCGACCTCTCCCACCACTCACAGCCTTCCAAACGCCACTGGGGAGGAGTGAATTTCCAGGGAAGAACATTGAAAGTAGATGCAATAAACCCACCTAACAAGCTCGGGGCTGTTAGGCAAGTACTCGGACCAGAAAGAGATGAGAGTGTGGCTCCGGAAACCCAGTCGGTGGATATGGCAGGCAGGATGGTGGAGGGGGTAGTTCCGGATCTACAGCAAAACCTGACTTGAATCCCCTCCAGCTGATGGCCCCAGAATGAGAATGGGACTCAAACTCAAGGAAGCATAAGCAGGAGCTAACATTAATTGCACTCCTACTATGTGCTAAGTACTACACTGGGCAATTCTCAATCTTCACAAAAAACCTTTGAAACAGAGCAGGTATTATATAATATCGCCCATTTTACAGATAAAGAAACAGAGTCCCAAGGGTTAAGCAAATTGCCCCCACAGCACACAACCAGCAAGAGACAGAACCAGCATTTCTGCTCATGCCTGTCTGACTCAACCATGCTTGTTCTGCTCTAACGTGATGCTCCTCTACTCAGTAAGTGTTTATGTGGGCTTCCGTGCAAGGCAATGAATAGGAATGCAGAGAAGAGAAAAACGTACCCTTGCCCTCAAGGAGTTTATCATTCATTCATGAATTCCACAAATATTTACCGAGTACCTCTTATGTGAACTAGAAATACACCTGCTAAACTCTGCAAATCAGGGAGAGAGATCTAGAGCTCAAGGCCCAGGGGTAAAGATAACTTTTGTTTTCTTTGTTCTTGGAGAGAAAAATAGGAAACAGAGATGTGTAATGAGAAAAGAACTAGGCAAATTGTTGGGAGAGCCAGGTTTACCAAATAAGCTTTGTCAAATAAGTACCTTTTTGACCTAACTGGCTATAATCCTGGGGGGATTTTAGACAGCAGGAGAAATGAAAATAAATTGGAATAATTCATGAGTAATAGCACTTCTCTCTTCTTACAAGCTATATACAGACATACACACAGAGAGAATAGCAGAGAAGTCTGTCTCTATATGTGTGTGTGTATAGCTGGAAAATTACATTTATGGAAGTACATATAGGTACATATAACTATTTTAAATTGGCATCTGACATCTTATTTGAAATAACACTGTTCATACATCTCTTATAGCTTCTGTCATACTGGGATAATATGATTTCTCTGTATGTCTGTCTTCCCTGTTAGACTGTGACCTCCTTGAGGTCAGAAATCAGGTCTCATTTAGCTCTGTATTCCCACCACCAAGCACAACGGCTGACACATGGCAGGTACTATACAAGGTCCTTTGGATGAATTATAAATATATGGCAGTAAAAGAAGGGATGAGATGATAAATGTAGGAGAGAGGTATGGAAAATGTGCTATAAGATTTGAGAAGAGGAAGCAATTAAGTCCAGAAAATGTGATTAACAAAGTCTTCATGAAGGAGGGGTTATATGAGCTGGGTCTTAGAGCATGGTAGGAATTTCTATACACTGAAATGGAGCTTGTCTGCTTTATTTCTTTTTTTTCTTTTTAAATTGGACAGGGGTAGATAGAAAAGAGCAGGAGGTAGGGGCAGCATTCTAGTTATGAGAAAAGCAGCATGGAGATGGAGCAGTATGGGCTGTGTTGAGTGCACCATGATATACGCAGGATCCACTCAGAGACACGGCAAGGCTGTGCCAAGGTGGGAAACAAGGCACAAAGGACAAGGGAAGGGTGCAAGAAGGAGAGTGGGATTGCACTTGGTGTAGTCAGTAATGATTTGATTAAAAGCTCTACAAGAGTGAAGAGGGCGGTGACAATAGAAGATTATAATAATTTATGTCACCATAAATAAGGTGACAATAAGGGACATAGCTGACTTCTTATAAAATCAGTTGGAGCTGTCTTTGTAGAGTATCCACCTCCAATTTTCTTGTCCCCAAGCAGCTAGTATCTTCTGCTGTCCCCAAATGCTCAAGCCAGCTTCAGACACACGCAACACCAGCAACTAATGCCTTTATTCCTCACTTCTTTCATTCATCTATTCCTGCCCAATGCCAAGCACAGTATAAGAATTTTGATAGTAAAGTGATTTTTTTAATGGTTGCTGTGGTCTTTAAATGTGTAGCCCTCCTTAACCTGCTGCCTTCCAAGATTATCCGTATTGGAACTAACAAGTCCAAGTCCCTGACAGGGTTGGGGAGAGTGATATTTGGTGTGACTCTACACATCCCATTTTCTATGTGAGAGGAAGTGCCCACACTCTAAAGTTTCAGTCCCTATTCCACCCAAAAATCCTAAATATCTCCTGGTCTAAATTCACTTGCCCAATTGGATCCAGCCCTCTGCCTCCTGGATGGAGCTTGCAAGGCCACATGGAAAGAATGCAGCACCTGAAACCAGAGGGCTGAACTCAAGACCCAGCCTTGACGCACACTCCTGCATGTGCCCGAACAACTCAGGTATGTTTGCGGAGTTGGCTGTGTTTTACTAAAATGGGGTAATGGTACACTTTCCCTGCCACGCTCACAGGGTTGCTGATTCAAATCAAATAAGGGATGCCAGCTTGCTTTATAAGCTGTACTGTGCAAACATGAGTTATAAGTGTGACAATTATTCTTCAGAAGACAAGAGCTTCTAGTTACTCATATTTGGTGGAAAGGTTTCAGATTCTAGAGTTGCTGAGCTCCTTCTAAAAAAATGCTCATCCATTCTAGACCCTAACTGCAATGCAGGAGGCCGCAAATCAGAGCCAGTGTTCTCTCACCTGGCACCTCCACTCAGCTTTGGAAGCCAGGCAGAAAGCCCCAGGGGATTCCTGTTCTCAGAAAGGAAATGTGTAATCTGCAAATTCATAAATCACTAGGACGCTCTGGCCTGTGAGCACATTCAGTGAAGTGAGGACCTTTAATGCCTGTAAAATTTTACTCTGAAGGAAAATTACTTTAGTTCATTAAACCTTCCTAAAATCTTGGTGCCTTTAAATCCATGGGGCTCTCTGCACATCCACCTCTAGGTCCCCTCACTCTTATGACCTCACTCCTGCCTAGACCTGATAATTCTTTGCTTTCAGCCAAGTGGAATAGGACTCACTGACTTTCTTTACCAGGAGTGGTAGACAATGGTAACATAAGAAAGTTGCTAAAACATACACTTCGGGGACTGCCTGCAGGAGTGTATTTTAAGTCTCAGCATAGTCTTGTGAGTCTTGGCATCTTCCTCCCACCTAGAGGAGCCTCCCCTGCAGGGAGTAGAAATTAAACATCTAGAGTCCAGAACCCAACTGACCCACAGTACGAGAATGTCTGGACACCAACTGGGTGTCCAGAATAAGACAAACAGTGCCCATTGCACAGCATGAGTTTACAATCTAGTTGGGAAGACAAGGAATTATTAATAGTACAAGAGACACCAACTTGTCAGTGACTGATGCAAGAAATTTTACAAAACTGTTAACCCCTTTCTCTGTTTTTTTTTTAAGGGAGCATTACCAACTCTGTGGCTCAGCATGATTCCTTTCTCATCTTGCCCATAGCAAGCAAACACCGAGTCTCCTGAAATGTGTTGGGGTGTACTACATTGACCAATTTCAGGTCCTTATAATTTTTCCATTCATTCACCAAACTAATATGTATAGCATGCTTCCTTTTTGCCAAGTGCTGAATCAGCAGTAAAGAAAACAAACCAGCCTCTTTGCCCCCTCTAAGATAATATCCTAGCAGAGGAAAAAAAAAAAATAGGTAACAAATGCAGTAGTCAAATGGCAGTGAGTACTGTGGGGAAAAAATAAGCAGGAAATAAGAAATAAGAGAAATACATTAAAAAGTGCAAACACACAGGGGTGGTTCCAGGGTGGGCTGGGGGGGTGGCAGGTGGGGAATGAAGGTTGCAAAAGTAAATAAGGAGTTCAGAAGAGGCCTCTATGAGAAACTGACACTTAAAATCCTGAATGAGGTGAAGGAAGAAGTCACATGGTGCTCTTGGTAATAAACATGTCAGGCAGAAGCAGCAGCAGATGCAAAGATCCAAAGGCAGGAATGTGCCCAGCGTAACCAAGGAACAACAAGTTAATGAAGCTGGAGGGGAGGTGAGGGAGATATTGGGAGGCTGAGATCTCACTGGGCCTTGAGAAGCACTGTAAGAATCTTGGTACTTACTCCGAGTGAGATGGGAAACCACCAGAGGATTTACATGGAGGACTTAGGTTTTAACAAGATCACTCTGGTTGCTGTGTTTAGAAAGGCAGTGAGGGGACGAGAGTGGATGAGGAGCCTACTGTAATCATCCAGGGGAAATGCAGTGTAGACTGGACCAGAGTAACAGCAGTGGACTGGGGAGACAGGTGAAGAGGGGCAGGATCTAAATATATTTTAAAGATAGAGCCAAGGAGATTTGCTGACAAATTAGATACGAGGTGTGAACAAAAGAGAATAGTCAAGGACAACCCTCAGCATTTGAGCCTAAGTGACTGGAAGCATGAAATTGCTGTCTTATGAGACGAGGACTGTGAGAGAAGAAGGTTTGGAGGAAAGATTAAAAGTTGAGCTTTAGACATTAATTTCGAAATGCCTAAGAGACATTCAAATGGAGAAGTCAAACACTGAGCTGGATAAATGAGTCTGGGGTTCAGAGAAGAGAGTTTAGGCTACAAATATCAATTTGGGAGCTGTCAGTGATTGGATGGACTTGTAAGACATGAGTCTAGGTCTAGTCACTAAGAGACCAAGTGTGGATTGACTAAAGCTATAAGGATTGACAGCTGGGGCATGTCAGCATTTAGAGATCAGTGAAACGAGGCAGAAAAACCAGTTTGTTTGGACCTCTCGAAATTGGCACAGGGGATATTTGTGTCCTGTATGAATGCTCACCACGTGGTGTTTACTATAGAGACTTTCAAGCATCAGATGGACAGGATGGTGTCTTCTGTTGAGATCAATGAGCCTCTTCCCCAGTTACCCCTGTGTCTGCTCTGTGGGCTCCTGTATAGAATGGCCATTGTGGCAGAGATTGAGGCTTCCCCTAGGCTCACCATGGAATCTCCCCCACCAAGGCTGATGTGGAAATAATCACTGCTGAGTTCCCAATCTACCAACATAAGAAACCAATGCTGAGTCTCAACATCGTGCATGGTGGCAGGTTGATTGCACAGCACCCCTCTCATCTCAGAGAAGGCAATTTCTTCTCACTGGAATTGCTTTCCTTTCCTGTAGTGATCATGCTAGAATCAAACATTTCAATTTCAGATTGCGCTAGTCACCGTCATGGTGTCCCATACAACATGACTTCTAACAAAGGAACTCATTTCACAGCAAATGAAATACAGTCATGGGCATGTCTGTGGAATTCACTGGTCTTATCATAAACATGATCACCCAGAGCACCTGGACTGATACAATGCTTGAGTGGACTTGTGAAAACTCAATGACCACCATCTGGGAGCTGACACCCATGTGAGGCTGTGGTGCTTATCCTCTAGGATGTGGGTCCCACCAAAATATGGTCCAAATACCAAGGTCTGAACATCAACAATGAAAAGTGTGAGTGATGTCTCTCCTTATCATATCCAGGAGGACACCACAGAATATTTAAATCATGTCCCCACAACTTGGGGCTCTGTTAGCAGAGAAGTATTGCTTCCCAAGGAGGGAACTGTCACCAAGAGGCAAAACACCTGTTCGTTCGTTCATTTATTTATTTATTTATTTATTTATTTATTTGAGATGGAGTTTCACTCTCGTTGCCGAGGCTGGAGGGCAATGGCCCTGTCTTGGCTCACTGCAACCTCTGCCTCCTGGGTTCAAACGATTCTCCTGCCTCAGCCTCCTGAGTAGCTGGAATTACGAGCACGTGTCACCATGCCTGGGTAATTTTTGTATTTTTAGTAGAGACAGGGTATCACCATGTTGGCAAGGCTGGTCTCAAACTCTTAACCACAGGCAGTCCGCCCACCTTGGCCTCCCAAAGTGCTGGGATTACAGGTGTGTGCCACTGTGCCCGGTCACACCTGTTCTATTGAACTGGAAGCTGAAAGGAATATCCATCTGTGTTGAGCTTCTCATGCTACCACTGAACAAACAGGTAATGAAGGGGTTACTTACCAGCTGGGATGATTTGTTCCTATTGTCAAGGAGAAACAGAGATGATGTTTTATAATGAGGACAAAGAGAATGATGTCTGAAACCTATTATTATTATTATGCCTCTTATTAATTTCAAGTGCCCCTATTGTCTTCAAGTCCTGAAGTACAAGTTAACGGAAGACTACAGTGGTAAAGGCAGAACTATTAAGGACTAAGATTCTTCAGAAATGACGGTTTGAATTATTCTATCACACTATGAGGTAGAAATCCTTAACCCTCTGAGGTATTTGCTAAGGGCAAAAGAAATACAAAATGGGTAGCTGAAAAAGACATGGCCTATCAACTATGCCTCAGGACTAGTAACAGAAATGAATATAATAGCAATTACGCATATTTCTCCTTGCCTGCTTTATGTGCACATACACAGAGATGAGAGAAGGCTCAGAATGTGTGTGCACAGAGATGAGTGAGAATGCAGGATTCCCTATTCCACACCCCCCTCCCCCATCACCTACTTGCTTTCTGTGTTCTGAGTGAAAAATCAGAGTGCTTGACTGTTCTGTGACCCAGCAAGGTGCAGGTTTTCCCCAGCAGGCTTGAACCTACACTGGTCTTTTGAACATTCCCAGGAACTGTTAAAGGTATCTAGGTTGTTGCCCAAAACACTGAAAGAAAGAGGTCCTGGCCCTGAGCTAAATGCCTTAAACCGTCTCATAAACTCCTTTCCCTGACCACGTTGCTTGGACAGATCTAGGTAGATCACCCCTTTTCTCTTGCTGTCTGTCATGAGGATTGCTGCAGCACTATACTAAGTTCCCCTAATAAATGCTTTGCACTGATCACCCTGGCATTTAGTGCTTCTTTCTTTGGAATCGCAACTGGCCCTATCTTGGTACCGTTTGGGGCACTCCCTTGTGGGAACTTCCCTTCCATCACTTTTGGGGTAATTCCAGCCACAGGTTCAGCAGGGCAAAACAGATAAATAGATGGTGCCCATAAGTTACTCTCTTTTCTCCTACTCTCTCTCTGTTTCTTTTCTTTTATACAAAGAACGTTAGTGTTGGTTAGCTTCACAACTACTTTGGGTTATAAGATATCCACACAGGATTGTAATAGGTCTACAAAGCAATTAACATTACCCAGAGAAGGTTTAGCAACTAATGGAACTTCATGAATCTCTTTCTTGATAGAGAGTGACAGTATCCTCATGGTATAATTTGTCGTGGCTTGGTGCAGTGGCTCATGCCTATAATCTATAATCCCAACACTTTAGGAGGCCGAGGTGAGAGTGTCATTTGAGCCTAGGAGTTCACGACCAGCCTGGGCAACATGGCAAGACCTTGCCTCTACCAAAAAAAATAATAATAATTAAAAAAAATTAGCTGGGCATGGTGGCACACATCTGTGGTCCCAACTACTCGGGAGGCTGAGGCAGGAGGAACACTTGAGCCCAGGAGGTCAAGGCTGTAGTGAGCTGCATTCGCACCACTGCACTCCAGCCTGGGTGACAGAGAAAGACCTTGCCTCAAAAGAAAAAAAAGAAGTTATTGCATTATATTAGGCAGAATCACAAGGTTAAATACAAACAGGAGGGTGGAAAAGAACACTCACAATAGCCAAAGAAGTAGGCTGTGCTGTTTACTCTCACCCCACAATCCTGCCTATGTATGGCAGGTAACCAGGGCTCTGCAAATTACATTTCTAAAACTCTCCTGTGAGCTCTCTTCAAGATTAGTTCAGCCAATGGAAAGCATGAGTGGGGACTGGCGGAGGAGGGAGAAGCAGCCCTCTCCACATATCTGGCTTCTGATGTGACAACACATCAGCAGCAACAGAGGTGGTGGAAGCAATGGGGATGGGTCTCAGTAACCAGCAGCACAGGCTCCTGGGTTCTTCTGATGCACCTCAGCACACACAGCAGGAACCTAGGTGGGAGAGACCCTTGACCTCTAGTACTGCTTCCTCTCCTCCTAGGCAGTCACGTGATGGTTCCTGCAGTGACCGATCTTTGAGCAGCCTTGCCTTTCCTCTTTCTTGCTCTTCCAGCCTTTCCAGCACTCTTGTATTCAATTCCTGTATTCAATCTCTTCTTTTAGAAATACTATGCAGCCGTAAAAAAGAATGAGATCATGTCCTTTGCAGGGACATGGATGAAGCTGGAAGCCATCATCCTCAGCAAAATAACACAGGAAGAGAAAACCAAACACTGCATGTTCTCACTCATAAGTGGGAGATGAACAATGAGAACACATGGACACAAGTAGAGGAACAACACACACCAGGGCCTGTCGGGGGTTGGGGGGCTAGGCAAAGGAGAACATTAGGACGAATACCTAATACATGTGGGGCTTAAAACCTAGATGATGGGTTGACAGGTGCAGCAAACCACCATGGCACATGTATACCTATGTAACAAGTCTTCATGTTCTGCACATGTAACCCAGAACTTAAAATAAAATTAAAATCAAAAAATATCTCGAGTTAGAGGCCCTGGCTGACACAGAACAGGCTGGGAGATACAAGGATATCAAGGAGAACATGGGTTCTGGAAACCGAGTGAGGAAAGCATTTCAAGGAAGAGGGTGACCAGATCCCTGTAAAGTGAAATACTGCTGACAGTTTATTTACAAGAAAGATCAAAAATCAACCATTGGATTTGGCTACTAGATGGCCTCAAAGGCCTTTGAACTAACTCATTTACTTAATTTCTTACAAAAATTCTCTAGTGGCTTCTCACTGCCTTTAGAATCAATCCAGATTCCTCATGGCATAAAAGGTCTTTCTCAACCTGGCCCCAAATGGCAGTTTAAACCTCTTCTAGAGCCACTTTCCCAAATGACCACTGAATTTTAGCCATACTAGAATACCCCTTCTCCTATTCAACTTTCCCGTACCTTTCCATTATGCTCTTCTCCCTCCTCTGAAAGCCCTTCTCCTGTTCTCTACCTGATGCTCTCCTTCCTTCTCATGCTTCCAGATTCAGCTCAAATATCAACACTCTGATGTCTCAGCTGTTCTCAAAGACAGAACTGATTTTCCCTTAATCTATGTTCCCCTAACTTGTTGTACATACCTCCAATTTTGCTACTCACCAGACTATAATTTTCTATCTGCACATGCATCTCTGACTCTAGGTTACATGCTTCCTCAGGACAGGAACCCTGATTTTCTCATCATTGTACTATGAAAGTATTATTAAATGTTTCTTTGATATGGCATCTATTAATCAACAGAGATATAACACACTTCTTGAGTTTAAAGTATTACCAGAGGTGTTCAAAGGAGGAGACGATGAATCTGAGCTGAGGTGGTCAGGACATCCTCACAGTGGATGAGAGGCTTTGATGAGATCATAAGAGATGGAAAAAGTTTAAACTCTCAGCCCTCTCCTTTCTGGGAGCAATGTCTTTCAAGGATTTCTTTTCCTTAGATAAGTTAGTCTGCCAAGCCTCTCCAGAAGGGAGAGCTCAAGGTGGCTTTGAAATAACTTTGAGAATGTCCACAACAGGGTAAGGAGAAAGGGACACAGGAGCAGGGTGGGAAGATAATGAAAGCAATCTCCCGAAATCAGACCATATTAAGTTTTAAAGAGTTATCATTCTCTAAGGGCCACTAGAGAAGACAAAGGTACCTTGTTTTACTGTGTTTCACTTGATTGCACTTCACAGATACTGTGGTTTTCTTTTTAATTTTTCCAAATGGAAGGCTTGTGGCAACCCCATGTCGAGCAAGCCTGTTGGAACCATGTTTCCAACAGCATGTGCCCACCTTGTGTCCCTGCGTCACATTTTGGAAATTCTCACAACATTTCAAGCTTTTTTGTTATTATTATATCTGTTATGATGACCTGTGATGAGTGATCTTTGATGTTACTTTGTAATTGTTTTTTGGGCACCATGAACCATGCCCATATAAAACAGTGAACTTAATTGACAAATGTGCAAGTTTTGACTGCTCCACTGATCGGCTGTTCCCCATCTCTCTCCTTCTCCTCAGCCCACATGCCCCCATTCTCTGAGACACAACAATACTGAATTTAGGCCAAATATCAACCCTACAATGGCCTCTAAGTGTTTGAGTAAAAGGAAGAGTCACACATCTCACACTTTAAATTAAAAGTAAAAATGGTTAAGCTTAGCAAAGAAGGCCCATTAAAAGCCAAAATAGACTGAAAGCTAGGTCTCTTGTGCCAGAGTTTGCCAAACTCTGAATGCAAAGGAAAAGTCCTTGAAGGAAATTTTAAACACTATTCCAGTGAACATACACGTGAAAAGAAAAACAGCCTTATTGCTGATAGGGAAAAAGGTTTAGTGACAGAAGATCAAACCAGCCACAACACTCATTTAAGCCAAAGCCTAATCCAGAGCAAGGCCCTAACGCTCTTCAGTTCCATGAAGTCTAAGAGAGGTAAGCTTCAGAAGAAAAGTTTGAAGCTAGCAGAGGTTGGTTCATGAAGTTTAAGAAAAGAAGGGATGTCCATAACATACAAGTACAAAGTGAAGCAGCAAGTTCTGATGGAGAAGCTGCAGCAAGTTTTCAGAAGATCTACCTTGCATCATTAATGAAGGTGGCTACACTATATAATCGATTTTCAATGTAAACCAACAGCCTTCTGTTGGAAGAAGATGCCATCTGGGACTTTCATAGTTAGAGAGGAGAACTCAATGCCTGGCTTCAAAGCTTCAAAAGACAGGATAACTCATCTAGGCTAAAGCCAGTGCTCACTTACCATTCCAAAAATCCTAGGGCCCTTAAGAATTATGCTCAATCTCCTCTGCTTGTGTTCTATAAATGGAATAACAAAGCTTGGATGACAGCACATCTTTTTACAGCACAGTTTACTGAAAATTTTAAGCCCACTGTTGAGACCTACTGCTCCAATAAAAATATTTCTTTCAAAATATTACTGCTTACTGACAATGCACCTGGTCTCCCAAGATCTACGATGGAGATGTACAAAGATATTAATGTTGTTTTTATGCCTGCTATCACAACATCCATCATGTACCCGTGAGTCAAGGAGTAATTTCACTTCCAAGACTTATTTTTTTAAAAAAATACATTTCATAAAACTATGTTGCCATAAACAGTGATTCCTCTGATGAATCTCAGCAAAGTAAATTGAAAACCGCCTGGAAAGGATTCACTATTCCATATGTCATGAAGAACATTTATGATTCATGGGAGGAGATCAAAATATCAACATGAATAGGAGTCTGGAATAGATTGATTTCAACTCTCATAGATAAGTTTGAGGGGTTTAAGACTTCAGTGGACAAAGTAACTGCAGATATGGTCGAAATAGCAAGAGAACTAGAATTACAAGTGGATCCTGAAGATGTGTCTGAATTTCTGCAATCTCATGATTAAACTTAAACAGATGAGAAAAGAAAGCAGTTTCTTGAGATGGAATCTATTCCTGGTGAAAATGCTGCAAACATTATTGAAATGACAACAGAAGATTTAGACTATTCCATAAACTGAGTGGATAAAGCAGTGGCAGGGCTTGAGAAGATTGACTTCAATTCTGAAAGAAGTTTACTGTGGGTAAAATGCTATCAGACAGCATCACATTCTACAGAGAAATCTTTCATGAAAGAAGAGTCAACCAATGCAGCAAACTTCATTGTGGTCTCATTTTCTGAAATTGCCACAGCCATCCCAATCTTCACCAACCACAAACCTGATCAGTCAGCAGCCATTGACATTGAGGCAAGACCCTCTACCAGCAAAAAAGATGATTTCTCACTAAAGGCTCGGGTAATCATTAGTATTTTTAGCAATAAAATATTTTTACTTGAAGTATGCATTTTTTTAGACATGATGCTACTTAACACTTAATAGATGACAGTATAATGTAATCATAACATTTATGTGCATGGGGCAACCAAAAAACTTGTGTGACTTGCTTTATTGTGATATTCACCTTATTGTGGTGGACTGTAACACACAATATCTCTGAGGTATATGTGTGTATACTCCTGTACCTAATGGGGTGTAGATGAAAGAAAACACTAAATTTCCAGACAAAATCACAACTTAATTAAACTACGGTAGTTTATACAAGAGAGGAACAAATACAGGAAGGGCCAAGGTGAGCATGCTAACATTTACTGAGGACCTACTAAGTGCCAACCACTGTACTTGATGCTTGATGTGTATTACACAGATAATGAGCATAACTATGACAAAAGGGAGATAGCATTATCCCCATTGCCTAGATAAGGAAACTGTCCCGCTCATGCAAGTAGGAAGAGGCAGGAGTCAGCACCCAAACACAGGGTTCTCTATTCCAAGGGGATCCAAGGGAGAGATAAGATATATAGAAATTAACAAGCAGTAGTTATCCTGACTTAAAAATGGGCCATTGTTAAGAAAGTACTTTGCAGAATTTGGTAACTGAATAAGGCAAGTGACAAATCAAGGAAATGAAAACGCAATGCTGTTGAAACAAGGAGACTGTGAAAAATGGCTGTTGAATAGTGGGGGGTTGTTCTGGTTTTGTGTAACGAGCCATTAAAAATGAATTAAAAATCCATTCACTCTCATTCCCTAAGGGACTTTGAAAATGAGATGGCCATTCTTGGAAATGATTTAGGTAGCATGCAGCGCAGCAACAGGGGTGGGGCTAAATGACCACACAATTCCTTGCCAATTTCTATATCCCATAATAACATCTCACCAGACCACGGCTTAATTCTCTCCAAAGGTGTACCATTAGGTAGGAGTCTGAGCTCATACCTTTCTGCCTGTCCATTACTCCATCCATCCAACCACCATCAAAACCACCCTGAGAAGGCAGCCAAGGGCAGAAACGGATGTGAGCTGATGGAAGAGGAAACTGGCTGCAATGCCACTAATGTGAAACCTCCAGAGATGATCATTAACACAAATGAAAATATTAATATAAGTGATCTGTTTCTTTGAGAAAAAGTGAAAGCATTAAACCAGAAAGTTTTAGTGTAGAATCCAGGGTCTGCCACTTATTTTGTGTGACCTTAGGAAAGGGGCTTACCCTATTGAGCCTCAGTGTCCTCATACTAAAGTTAGCCAAGATCACGCCCTTCATTCAGTTGTTGTGAGGATCAGCTAAAGGGTATTGTACTGCCAGGCACACAGTAAGCCGTCAGCATGCATTAGGTTCCTTCCTTTTTCCCTGTCTCTGAGCAAACCAGGTCATTTGCCATTTGAGTGAGGAAATGCCATGTCCTCAAGAAGGGGCATGTCACTTTAGTGGTGACAACTTGAAGCTCACAAAATAAAGAGCAACCTCATCAGGCCTCTCACTGACACAGAGATAAAAGCCTGGAACTCCCTGCATGCCAATGCTTGCTTTGTGTGGACACGCACTGACAGCCTCCGCGATGGGAAGATCACAGGTCCATCCAAGTTCATTTTGCCTGGTGTGTGATCCAACCCTCTTGTCTCTTTTCATTTCAGGGGCTGTCTCTGCTGATCCTGCCTGCAGGCACACACACTTCCCTTTCTTCTGGAGCTTCTGTCAGGGGCAGTGCTCCCTCTTGGGTCTCAGGAGCTAAAAGAGCTCCCAGCCAAACAATTTCAGCTGCTGACTCCAGTGAATTTCCTGGGGATCAGCATCTCTCCAGACTGGAAGCAGCCACTAGCCTCAGCTGCTTCGGATGAGGGCAAAGGCAGGAGCTTGGCTAGACTGTAAGATGCTTCAGTATCAACACATCTGTTTTATTTGCAGTTATATCTCCAGCACCTGGGACAGCGCTCAGCACCTCCAGCACCCGGGACAGCGTTCAGCACCACTGCTGTAAATAACAGTGAAGTGAATACCCTATCACCAACTCATGATTGGGCATTCATCACAACCCACCTCCTATTCAATCCTACAAATTACAACAGAGTCTCTCTTACAGGCAACACATCATGCTTGGTACTAAGGGGATGTAGGGATGAGAGACACAAAGTTCCTGACCTAAGGCACTTTCAGTGCAAGAAGGGAGATACATGCTTATACAACTTCCTGCAAAAAAAATTTGAAACTGGTCTGACTTACACTAGGTTGGAGACACTCTACCCATTGTCTTCTGAGGCTAGAGCTTCACATACATAGAGAAGAAGATGGAGATATCTACTGGGGCCAAATAACAGTGGTTTTAAATACCAGGTGTGTAAATTTTCTATTGCTGTTGTAACAGATTACCACGAATTTAAAATAACACAAATGTATCATTTCACAGTTATGGGGGCCAGAAGTCCAAAATGGGTTTTACTGGCTATAATCAAGGTATTGGTAGGGTTGTGTTCTACATTCCTTGTGGGGGCTCTAGGGGAAAATCTGTTGTTTTTCTTTTCCCAGCTTCTACAGTTTTCTTTTCCCCCATTCCTTGACTCATGGTCCCCTTCAGTCTTCAAAGCCAACAATGGCTGGTCAGGTCTTTCTCATATGGCATCACTCTGAAAACTGACTTTTCTTCCTCCCTCTTCCCCATTTAAGGACCCTCATGATTACATTGTACCCAGCCAAATAATTCAAGACAATCGCTTTATCTTAAACTCAGCTGACTGCTACCTTATTTCCACCTACTGTCTTAATTTCCCTTTGTCATGTGACCTAACACATCCACAGGTTCTAGAGATCAGGACATGGGTATCTTTGGGAGGCCACTATTCTGCCAACTACACCAAGTTAAAGAGTTTTGACTTGACTCATTAAATACCATGAAGATGTCTAATGAGCTTGAATAAGTCAGTGACCTTTTAGGACCTGCACTTTGGAAATGAAATGGCCAGGAGTATGAAGGGTGGATCAGTGAAGATGAAAAGCAGAAAGCCTAGTGAGAAGGATACTGCAATGGTCCAAACATAAGAGGTAGGAAATCTGAACTGAGGCAATGGCAGTGGGAAAGGAGAGAAGGGAGGTGGGAGGGAATCCCTTATGAAAAAGTTGTCGCTAAAAACTGCAAATGGAACAGAATAGGAAAAAAAAGGTGTCTCAGAGATATCCAAGAAGTTAGTATAATTCATTTTAATCACAAGTCTAGGTTTGAGATCCAGCTCCAATCCAACACATAGGGGAGGACCATCTAAGTGTTCCCATGGCCTAAACCTCATTTCATGCTCCAGGTTGGTTGCGGTGGTTTCCAACTTATTTCCCCAAACTTGTGCATCCTCCCTGTCTTGGAAACCTGCTCATGGCCTAGGTTCTCCCTGTGCCCTATTTTGTCGTTACTCATCTGCCTATTGGCCCTGCAGGCATGTTTGTTACTGCCTGTCCAGTGCCTTTGGAGAGGCTCCTTTCCTAGATTACTATCTCCTAGCCTCACCCCCATGTCTCGTCACCTCTTTAGCTCCTTTTACAAACTGCTTACCTGGATCTCACCTTGCCCAGAATGCATGTACTTCCTGAGTTGGCCTTGGTCTAGGTCCTAGCCCAGAATGGCAGATAACAGGGCCATGGCAGCCACATCCCAAGATATAAGAGATAAAGAGCCACCTCATTTATATGGTGGGAAGTTGGGGTAGGTGTAGATTTTAATCTGTCCAAGCTCTTAGTCACATACTTGATTAAAATCGCCAGAGATTGGTCCCATATATCACAGCAGAATGACCATTCATTCAAGCAGGAAAGTGCTGATAAATCCCAGGGACATTAGAGGTAGAAAAACTTAGAGCGTATTGAGGGCCATGCCAGACTCTGAGAGGAATTGCTCTCCTCCAGTCTTTTGCAGAGGCTAGCATTCCTTTAGCAGCCTCACCAATATTCCCACCAGAAAGTGATCTGGGTTGCCTAAAATAACATATGCCTGGGTTTGTCTCCACATAACTCCTGAGAAAGGAGCAGAACCTCCAGCGGCTGATGGTGGATGATTAAGAGCCCTCTCTCATGTAGCCTAGGACATAATAACAAAGAACACATAATTTATTTGTATTGATTCACCAGCACACATTTGATCGTATCTCCTTGTCCTTCCTTTTGCTAAGAATCCATGGCCACAGTCCTGAGAAATTTATCTTTGGCAAAATATCTCTGTAAAAGTAAGTTCCTCACATATCTTAGTTACAGCAAGAGTTCATGCCAGGAAAACTTGCCAAGGAAAAGGGTAAAGGGACACGGCAGTCCTTCTTGTGTGTTGACTCTGGTCTAAACAATCTCCCTCCATGATAAGAAACAGACAACGTGTGCTTGGGAATTAAGGCCTCAGTTCTGAGACCTGACTGTCAGATACAGATACAGAAACTGAGGACAGATCAGATTCCTGATCTAGAGAAATAAGAATCACAGAGGAGCTGGTCAGACTCCAGGACTAAGAGAAGGAATAAAAAATAAGGGGTGGAAACAAATGTGGACCTTGCAGTAGGCTGAGATGGTATGAAAGTGCCCAGGTGTGTTGAACACTGCTGTCATTCAACCTTGAAGTTTCATTCAAGGTTATTTTATTCCAATAACCTTGTACACAGCACCTACTATGTACCTGGCTCTGCTTCAGAATCTGGAATGTGTTAGACACAGTTTCTTCCCTCCCAAGACTCTCAGCATAATGGGGGACAGACAGGCAAGTAAGCACATAACTGATTTAATGTGATTTCTGTGCTAACAAGGGTACTTATTGTGCCAACTCAAAGACATTGGTGAGTCTTCCAATCCCATGGTACAGAGGCTCCTCGTACCCCAGAATAGAAGAGAAAACAAAGGGAGAAGTCAGGAGAAATGGCTTTGCATTTTATCAAGCCTGATCAACTTACTGGGCACAGGGGACTTTAAACCTGAGGTTGAATATGTAAGACACCAAAAAGGAGCCATGTGCTTTGAAATTGCTGAATGCTTTGGTCTTCTACAGATAGATGGTAGCAACAGACTCCATTTTTAGCCTATTTAGTTGCTCTGGGCAGTAAGGAGGCATCTAGAAGACCCAAAAAGGAACACAAACCCTCACCGGTGTCCCCAGGAATGTGCACATGTTCTCTTCCTGCCCTTCTCTGCCTGCCAGCTTCCAGCTATCCACTCTTTAAGCATCAGCTCAAGCCCTGTCCCCAGCAGGGAGTTATCCCTCATGACCACAGTCCACACTCATCTCTCCATCTGTGGCCCATTATATTTTCTGGTATCTCCCATTCCACATGCTTACCTTACAATGTGACCCTGATGCACCCTCTGTTGAGAAGTGGGGTCTATGTTCCTCCCTTCAAAATGTTGTGACTGCTTCAACCAACAGAGTATAGAGAATGCCTGAAGTTGCTGAAGGTACACAGTGTGGAACCCGAAGATGCAGCCAAGAATGCACAAGCCGGAGTACAAATACTAAGAAAATCTAAGTCTTTGACGACATCATCATTTGAGCTGTTGGATCAAGCCTGCCATGAAGCCATAAACATCTAGTCCTTTCTGTTCAATCAGTCAATCAATCTTTCTTCTGTTTCAACCCATTTGTGTTCCTGTTGTGCTTAAAATACTTCTCCCACCATTTAAGCCTCAGATCAAAATCACTTCTCCAAGGCCTATCATGACTTCTCAAGACAGATTCTGTTGCTCCTTCTTTTATATATATGACTGTTGATGCATCCTAACATTACAGCAACTTCTTATTGTATTGTAATACTAATATTTTATCTTCTCTCACTACACTGTGAGATATTTAAGAGCAAGTGTTGAGTCTCTTTATTTTAGGGGGAGTCAAAAATAGTTCACATTTAATTTTGATGCAAATATTCTAAATAAAATATTGACAAACTCAATCCTTTACAATTAAAAGAGTAATTAGGCATGACCAAACAGAACACAGGGCTGCAGAAAAGCAGAGCATTTTGTTCACAGTAGGTGCTTCAAACACCTAATCCACAGTAGGTGTTCAAAAAGTATCTTCAGAATGAATGACCTACTGTTTTTTCTTGCCTCTTGATCTTTGTTATGAATTGGTAAACCCATAAATAAATAAAACCCTACTTGATACATAGTAGATGTTTATAAACATCTGTTAATAAGTAAATATTTATAGGATAAATGTTAGCCAGTTGATAAATTCCAGTTAATGACAATAATGCAAGTAGTACCAGAAGTCAATATTTACATCTATTTTCTCATTTAACCCTTGCAACAATCCTATGATTACTATTGTTCCCATTTTATTCAAGGATGAAATAGACTTAGATTAGGTAACCAAGCAAAATCCCACGACACGTAAATGGCAGCACCTAATATATTCTTACCCTAAAAAATCTGTTCCCTCCTAATGTTTCAAATTCCACCTCCTTACTGATTAGAGGGTGTCAATTAAGGCAGCAATTTTGGCACCCCTGAAGTTACCATGACAGCTTGGTGCATATGAGAACCTCCACTAGAATCTCCTTAAGACTAAGTTTAAAGTAAACCCAACATCCTCAAGATAAGATCAGAGACTCAACCTCAAGCCAACTTTCCATTCTAAACCCAGTGGTTAAGGAAAACACAATAAACGGCAGGTTTGATTTCATAGCTGCATGAGCAATCTTGGCTCTGGAAGTGAAGGCCACGTCACTGCCTTCTGCATTTCCCTCCTGCCTCTCCACCCTCCTAAAACCTGAGTTCCACATCTCAGCTGTTGAGCTACTCTCCAGCCCTCAACTTCTCTTCCTCCAGGCCATGCACCTGGCAAGGCTTAGATGTCAGGCCCTAGTTTTCTTCTAAAATTAGAATTTTGACTCAAATGAGTAGGTTGCATGTGAGTAGGAGGTAGATCTGGGGAAAGGGAAAGGGCGCACCTGCCTCCCACTGCCCAGCACATGGAAGGGTCCAAGTGGATAGTATTGGGTGTGGCCCCGCTCCAAGGAAAAGTTCATCCCAGAATAACAGCTGAGGAATAATAGAACCAGCAAGCATTTACCTGGCACATGAAATGTGCAAAGGATTTATCGGGTATTGTGGGCATATGAGAGGAGGAGATGTGAGGAGCTTACTGAAAGAGTGGATATGTGTGTGGGTGGGAGAGTGAGAGAGAGAGAAAGAGATGAAGATACATGGGAACCTATAGACAGACAAACAGATACAGATCAATGTAATATACAACAGGTAAGAATCTGTCAAAGTGTGACTCACAGACCCCTTGAGCCAGACTCATCTGAGAAACTTACTTAAAAACACAGACCCTGGTCCCTATCTTTCATGCATTATGTACACTCTGGGAACAGGGCCTGGAAATCTGCATTTTATAGGCTATCCAGGTGAATCTTGTACACACTGACGTGCACCCCCTCAGAGTTCTCAAGTGACATTGAGATTCCTGCAAATCCACAAAACCTCAAATACAAAAAAAGTATGTCACCCCCCTGGCCTTTTCTCCAATCACATTTCCATCAAGAAACATGACCTAGTTATTTAACCTTTTCCATTTTCCCTCATTTTATCTCCAGCTTGGATGGATATTATTAAGTCTGAATTTAGTTTTGTTTCACTTCATTTTGTTTTTATCATAAGGCAAAAAGCTACCATGTAAAAAAATAGCAGAAAAAACAAAAAGTCCCACACGGTCATGCATGCCGTACTTAGCTAGGCCCACTGAGAAGTGCACTCATCCCTACACACCAGCTTAGAAGCAGGCATGGTTCAAGTTCACACCTCTGCAAATTTCCCAACTGGAACCCATGATTACTCTTCAGGTAGGTTGATAATAATCAGAAAATCCCACATTCAGCTGGCAGAACCCAGGGCAACAGGGGTTGGAATCTTTCTGAAGACAAGCAAGGGGCCCTGTGGAACTGACATAAGCTCAGAGTACAGGGAGGCACAGAAAAGCAGGGGATCCTGTAGTAGCCAAGGACAGGGCTGCAGCTGTGACTCAGGAAAGGACTAATGCAGGACTGGGAGCCTACGGGACCCTCTTCATATCTCTTCTTTTGAAGGGAGGCTCCATCCACCTCTCCCCGAGTCTACCTGGCACCCCTTGGGCCCTCCCCACCTCTTAAGATTCACATGCTAGAGGACCAGCTCCAAAAAAAAAAGAGAGAAAGAAGGAAGGAAGGAAGGAAGGAAGGAAGGAAGGAAGGAAGGAAGAAAGGAGAAGAAAGAAAGAGAAGAAAAATTGTGCTCTCTCTTGTTCCTAACCTCCAATTCCTAGGAAGGGATTCCAATTGGCTTAACTTGGGTCAGACACACACTCCTGGAGACATGCACTTTTGTCAAGAGGTTGGGTCACATTTACAAACAACTGCCACCAGCTCAGCACATGAATTACAGAAAGAAGTGAGGGGAGGTGAGCCAGTAGGAAAGTTTCCTGGAGCAGAACACACAGCAGTGTCCTGACTAACCAAGTGTGCACAGGTGTGTGTGTATACAGACCTACGTAGATAGGGCAACCTGCAGGCCAAACATGTTTAATCATTCAAGGCATTAAATGAGAAGTGTTCAATTGGTGACATGATTGGTAAATCTCAAAGAAAGATGGACGCGAAGGAAGGTAATGTGTGGTAGAAAGCTCAGGGAAAGCTTCTAAGAGGTGGAAAGGGATAATCTCAGGGCCAGCATGCTTGGCAGAAAGCACGTGGACTTTGAGTTCAGACAGATTTCAGTTCAAATCTTAGCTCTGTACTTCCTATTGTGGGACCACGAGCAAAAACACTGATCCCCCCTGACTGATTTCTTCATCTGCCCACCCCCTTACTCACTTGCCTGCCAACAAAAAAGGGGAAGAGGAGGAGGGGAGGGAAAATAAGAGGGAAAAAAGGGAAAAGAAAGGGGAAGAGGGGGAGGGGGGAGGGGAGAGAAGGAGGAGGTGGAGGGGAGAAAAGGAGGGAGAGGAGGAAGAAGGGAAGGGGATAGGAGGAGGGGGAGGGGGGAGGGGAGAAGGGAGAGGAGGGGGGAGGGGGAAAGAAGAGGAGGAGGGGGAAGCGGAAGAGGAGGGGGAGGGGGAGGGAGAAGCGAGAGGAGGGAGAAGGAGAGGAGGAAGAAGGAGAGGAGGAAGAAGGAGAAGGGGGAGGAGGAAGAGGAGGAGGAGGGGGAAGGGGGAGGAGGAGGGGGAAGGAGGAGGAGGAGGGGGAGGAAGGGGAGAAGGGTGGAAGAGGGGGGAGGAGGGAGGCAGGGAAGGGAGGAGAAAAGGAAAAAAACAGTGACTCCTATGATTGCCAATTGAAAATTGAGATAATGTGTCAGCAGCCCTTATTAGGTACTAAATAAGGGGTAGTTTCCCTTAATTTCCTGGAAAGGAAATCCATGGGCCCTATCTTCCTCCTTGGCCAGGTCTCTCATGAAATGTGCTCATAAGTAGTGTGGGCCCCTTCAAGATGACTGTAGATCCACCGCTTCCAAGTTGGTGAAAGTACTGAGGCTGTCTGGGTGTTGGAAACAACAAACTTCCTTTGGGCTTGAGGGGAACAGACACTGTGGTGCCCCAGAAGCCAGGAAGCTGGGTCCACGAAGGTGGATACAGGCTCTGGGCATGGTGAATTCTTGGGTGCCCGGGCTGAAGGCTTGGCCTCCCTCCAAACTCTAGCAGCTGTATTCCCTGTTGGTCTTAAAGAGAGAGGAGAGAAGGATGGAACAAGTAGAAGGAAGTGAAAGTAAGGAGAGACCACTCTAAGCAGCACCAACTTATGTTCCAAATGATTCTGCAAGCTAGGTTTTGTTTCCAATGATTCAGCTGAGGAAGCTCAGGCTCAAAGAGGCTAAGGAACCTCCCCAGTCACACAGCAGCAGAGCTGGGACCTCCAAGCCCTCCCTCTTTCCTCACCACAAAGTGGTTTTTAAAAGTCTGATGAGTCTGGAAGGTGCGCTGAACAGACGCCAGCCCCTGACTGGCTCCATGGGAATAGCTACTAATTCACTAAAACCACAAACTTCCTGCACTTGGGTGTACCTCTGATAGGTGTAATTTGTGTAATGTGAAAATATGCTGCAGGACAAAGAAAAATAATTAGCAAAGTGATAAGGCACATTCTATTTTTCCTTATATCAGAAAGGATAACCATTAACAAATGGTTAGTCTAAGACCCACCAAAGCAGGATGATCTCTGAAATACAAGGACAGGTAGTTTATACATGAAGAAAAGTAGAGAGTGAACCAATGCTGAAAAAAGGCCTGGCATCTTGCTTTCAGCAGATTAAAGAAAAGCAAATTAACTCATTTCTGAAATGCCAAAATGCCATTTGAATTAGTGAAAATTCATTTCAAAGTTATGAAATTTAAGGATATTATAAAGAAACAGATATTCCCATATCCTCCTGCGAATACTGTATGCTGGCCCAGACCTGCCAGGGAGCATTCTGGCAGAATGACAAAGCTATTTATGCCCATTAACCTGCTAAGTCCACTTTAGGTAATATACTCTTATATTCCATGGAAATAATTCAAAAGCGAAAAAGAAAAAAAGCTATTTGTATGGAAATATTTATAACAGTGCTATCCCTCACAGGGAGAAAAAGCAATTAAGCAACCTAAATAACCAATAGCAGGGACATATTCAAGCAATTAATAGCATATTCTATGATAGATTCTATATCATTACTACAAATTGAAAACTGGAACTACATGGTCTTATGGGGAAAAAACGTATGAATATACAGAAGTTATTAATTACAGCAAAAAGTATGCTCATTCTTATTACAGCTATATAGAAATAATACATATGTGTCCACTGATAAACTGGCACTTGGTATTAATGAGATTATATCTTATAAAGTTAAATGCATCATGAAAAACTGTTTTTGTTTTATGTATTGATTTTGCCTGAAGCCTACCTTAAAAAAAAGTGTGTCTATTTAGTATGTCATTGTGGAAATGCACATGGGTGCATTTCCCATGTGCACAAAAGTATATGGGTGACAATCAAGATAGAATAATATTTTTGAATAATTAGGAGTGTGGTGAATTTGTATCTCAATGTCAAATCTTTATTTATATTTAAATGTGCCCGATAATGTTATGCTCCAAGATACCCAGTGGGTGACTTTTTTTTTTTTTTTTTTTTTTTGAGACAGGGTCTGGCTCTGTCACCTAGCCTGGAGTGCAGTGGTGTGATCTCGGCTCACTGCCACCTTCGTCTCCTGGGCTCAAGTGATCCCACCTCCTCAGCCTTCCTAGTAGCTGGAACTACAGGCGTGTGCCACCACTTTTGTATTTTCAGTAGAGACAGGGTTTCACCATGTTGCCCAGGCTGGTCTGAAACTTCTGGGCTCAAGGGATCCACTGGCCTCGGTCTCCTGAAGTACTGGGATTAGAGGCATCAGCCACCGCACCTGGCCCTGACTTTCACATTGTTCTTTACAGTGGTGATAACTGACTGTAAATCTCTGGGGTTTCACTGACAGAACAGCAGTAATCACGCACAGGTGTCCTCCTTCCATCAGTGCTGTTTGTCTTTTCTCCTCCTTCAGACTGCAAGCTTCTTGAGAACAGGGATTGTGTCTTCCCTCTTCCTCCACTTCTATCCACAGAGAGCATCTTTGAGGCTCTCATTCACACACTGGGGCTCAGTTAGGACTTGACAATAAAGATAAACAGAAAGGAAGGATCCTAACTACCAATTATATTTGTAATATATAATAATGTGAGAAGACTTAAAAATGGGAGCTGAAGTACAAATAATTAGCTTGCTGTGTTTTATTTTGGCATAGGTCTTGAAGCAAATAAAATGCTCTCCACATCCATTAATTAATAAGTGGTATCTACTATGTCCTAATGATGCAAATGATAAATTTGACCCAGTCCTGCCCAACCTCCAGAGTATTTCACATTTAGTCAGTTAGATGTGTAAACATATTATGACAATATAATGAGAGTGTCTGGGAAAGCGTGAGGTACTGTCAGTGAACAGAATTTGACAATCAGGGCAGGCTTCCAGGAGGAGAAATTGATGTCCAAGTTGAGTTCTAGAGGATGAATAGGGGTCTGACACATAGAGACATGCATTGGCGGGAGATAGGAATGGAGCAAAATTCCAGGGAAAGGGGACAACGTCTATGAAGGCACAGAGGCATGCTGATCAGGAATGACAAAGACAGTTGAAACATGGAGTCTTAGTTCAGGGTTGCTGAGGGTGAGTCAGTGTAAAAGCTGGGCTTTGGAGGAGGGTCTAGTTCAAATATTTTGCATGGCATGTGCCTTTGGAGTGGGAAAGAAGAGCAGGAAGATCGGAGGGAAAGAATATAGAAAAGGCTAGTAATACTACTCACTGCAGGTAGGAAGAGAGAGAGGAAACAGAAGGCAGGTCACTGAACCCCATTTTCCACAAAAAGGAAAGCTGATTTAACTCCCCCCTTGTGTCTTGAGACTCCAAACACTGCCCATTCCACTGCTGTGAGTGACTAGCCCCTTAGAAGCTATTCAGGTAAGAGATATTCTAGAAGAGCCTGTGCATGATTAAGAGATGAGAGAACATATACGAATTTCTACTTAAGTTGCAAAGTGACTCTGGAATAGGGGGAAAAAAACATAAGTCTTCCTAAACTATTCTTAAAGACCACACCCCCTGGCAAAAAAAAAAAAAAAAAGAAAGAAAAGAAAACTCCCTTAAATATACTTCATCAGTGAGATAAATTTTTTCTTTGCCCAGAGAAACAGATTTTAGAATTTCCAAAATGATCACGACAATGGTGGAAGAAATTTTTTTTTTCTCAAACCCATGAAAACATTATCGTCCTGGTTACTATTTTCATTTCATGGAAGAGATAGATTATTTTTCTTTAAAGTGATTCTTGCCAGCCCCTGGAGCATCTTCAGTGGGATCTTCTCATTTGGCGCCATCAGCTCCAACCAACCCATGAAGAGAGGCTAAGGGGTGTGGGACAGGCCATTAGACCCAACGCTGTAGAGCAGAGAGCCACCCTGTTCTGTCCTATACATGCACCCAGCACACTGGAAATGAGTTGCTAAGGCTACGGTAAGGAAATGACCCAGGTTCAATCCTTCCACAAATGTTACTGAAGCCCCTTCTGTGATCCCATCACTGAACTGAGTATGTAGATTAGTATATTAGTACATAAAACAGGCCAGCCCTAAATTCATGGAGCATAAAATCTAGTCGTAGGGGTGACTGAGTCTTGTAAACTAAACAAAAAAATAAATATATAATCTCTAATTGCAATGAAGTTTCCTGAATTAGAGAATAATAAAGTGAGGATACCTTTCACAATGTGAAGTCACAAACACCCTTAGCAGATGATGAACGGGTCGTGGGAACTGTCTGGTCACTTGAGGAAGAGCAAAAGGAAAGGCACTGTGCTCACAGGGAATAGCAGCAGTGAAGGCCCTGAAGCTGAAAATACTTTGGCACATTTAAGAGACCAAAGGAAAGTCAGGGAGCCTGGAGGGTGGTGGATAAATCTGAGATGAAGTTGAAAAAATGGTGAAGCAGGCCAGGGCCCAGTAGGCCATGGAGTAAGAAAACTATCCTAAGATGATTTTGGAACTAAAGACCAAGGCCCTGTGTTTTGAAGTTAGAGCTGGGGGCAAATTGCAGTGCCACAGAAAAGAAATAGGTGGGCTCTACATTCTGATTCTTAAAGACTTAAAATCCATATACCCATGATCCACCCACAGCATCCCCTTCAAGAAGGACATGGGGATGAAACTGGTGCATACTTCCTCCAAATACTGCTCTGGTTACCCTTTGAGAGCTTTTGAGCTCTACTGGCTCTGGATGTTTACCTTTCCAAGCTAGACTCCACAGCACTGCCTTGCTGTCTACTCATCCAGCCCCTGCTTATAGCCCACACTTAGGGCCCAAGCTCCACCCAGGCCCTTAAGAGTAAAACCTGGTTCCAATGGGAAAGGCCCATTAGGGGCTGGAGTTTTCAGGTTAAAGTCGCCCCCATCCCTGTGTGTGACTACCAATGTATGACTCACTGGAATATTCCAACATTGTGCATTGTTATTATTTGAGGAAACAAAGCTTTTTATTTTTGGAATCGCCAGCTGGAAGTAGAGGTAGAAAAGGCAAAGGAAATAATATTTGAGTAGAAGAGGTTTTGTTTATTTGCTTTAACTGAAATAATACAACAAAAGCTAGGTCTCAGTTTGTCTACTATTTTGACAGGATTCATAAAGGAAACAAAATCTTGGAAATAACTAAGGATGGACCTAACTAGTGAGGAAGTGATCACTGGGCTAAGGTGTACTGCGTCCTTACTCTGACATTTTAGATACGCAACTGCTGGAATAAGGAAACAAAATCTTGGGAATAACTAAGGATGGGGCCTAGCTAGTGGGGAAGTGATCACTGGACTAAGATGCACTGTGTCCTTACTCTGACATTCTAGGTGCGCTACCACTGAACAGGAGAGTTCTCCAAGAGAGATGGAAATCTCTGTCTACCCTTCATCTGGATCCTTTCAGGGTGCTACTACCAAGTTATTTTTTTTCTCTTTGGCATTTCCATTTATTCATTCCTCTTTGTTTTTTCTAGGTTGTCAATTCCTTTTATTTTTGTTTATATAAATGTATGGGGCACACGTATAATTTCATTAGATGCATAGATTGCATAATAGTCAAGCAGGGCTTTCAGGGTATCCATCACCCAAATAACATATATTGAGACCAGATTGATGTTTTCTGATGCACATCTCTTGGCAGGCCATTCCTTTGTTCTCAAAACATCAATCATTTCCCTGCCTGCAAAAGTCCATAGCCTTCAGCCGAGAATGTAAGGCTGTCTGCTATCTGGCTGCCACCATCATCTGCCCTGCACCGCTCCGCTAAATGAGCCTCTGGTCTCTGACCTGACTCCCTGCGTATGAACCTCTCCCCATGAGATGCTGCTCTTGGCTTACTCCAGAGCTACTTCCTCCCCATCCTGCAATGCTTATCCTAAATTCCAGTCCCTTTCTAGGGATCTAGTGACTAGGACAGAAAGCACATATCTAGGCAAAATTTGTGGCTCTGCCACTTTTCAGCTGTGTGACCTTCGGCAAGACACTTCACTTAAGCTCTATAGCTTCCATTTCCTCCTGTGTAAAATAAGTGTGAAAGCTCTGCCTCACCAGGCAACTGTGAGGAGTAAATGAGGCAAAGCACTGTGTTCCTTCATGTCTCCTGGCAAGTTCCCTCTCTTCTCAGAAACCAGCCTCAACTCCCTCAGGCAAGTTCTGTTCTCTTGCATGTGCAACTTAGAGTAATTATCCTGGTGGTGGTTGATTGTTTGCAGGTCCCACTCCCATGAAGCTGGGACCTCTTTGAGAACAGGCACTCAGGTTTTTCATCTTTGTATTGCCAGGAAATGAACAAATGAATGAATGTGTAAAATATCTGGTCCAGTTCCTGGCACACGAAATGTACCAGTAAATATTTTCCCTTCCTATATGGTACTTTTAATATGTTGTTTTGTGTTATAATTATTACGTGCATGTCTTATCTCTTTCCCTGGATTTTAAGTTCCTTGAAGCAATGGGCTTTTCTTAATCATTTTTAGAATTTTGTTTTTTAAATTTACATACAGTACAATTCACTCTTTGTGGTATACATCTCTATGAGTTTTGAAAAATGCATGATATTGTGTAACCATCTGTCTCAGACATTTTTATTTCTCCCTAGGCACTATCGCTCTATAAATGTTTACTGAATAAATGAATAAGTGAATGAAGGAAACAATAAATAAACAAATATTTGCTAGGAAAGTTTCCACAATAGCCACCCAGATAGTTCTCAAGGCAAAGAAAATCAGATGACAAGTATGTAACTGCTATACCACCTTTCAGCAAAGTAAATTCCCAATATCTATCGGAAATCTTTTAAAAACACTTATACCCTCTGGCCCAGTATTTCCACTTCTAAGACTATGTACAGCAGAAATAATCAGATGCCCACATGATTTAGGTTTCAGGAAGGTCATAAAGCATTATTTATAATAGCACATTATCAGAAACAACATAAACAGCCAAATAATCATATAATTAAACTGTACTACTTAATATGATGAGACTGAAATTATATTTCTACATTTTACTTTACAATATTGAAATGTCTACTTGTATAATGTTAAGTGTAAAATGCAATCCATAAAACAGTACATATACCATTAACAAGTGTTTAAAAAATATACACACTATATGATGACAATGTTAAATATAAATCTTTATATAAAGTGTTCATCTAATTTTACAAAATAAATGTACACGTATGTTAACATAATCTCCAGTGCGTGACAGGCCATTTCTGTTTCCCTCACTATATGTTTTCAGATTTTCTAATTTCTTACAACAGATACTCCTATTTCTTTTATATTCAGAAAAAAACTATTATAAAAATAGAGGTGAAAATCCTTTATTTCTGCTTTTAAAATCTCATAACCTTTATTTCATCTCTAGATGACTCAGTGGTGGCTAAATTTTAACATTCAAGATGTGGCATATGGCTCTGCTTAAACAAGAACATGCTTTCTGTCGGAAGCATGTTCAGAAATAGTCCAACCCACTGGTGGGTGACACATTTCATGCAAAGCTCCAGGAAGCAGCCCCTATCCCAGGGGGCTGAGGCTTCAACATGGTTACATCAGGAGAACATCAAATAAAGGACACTGTGTACAGTCTGTGGCTCGATGAGCAACTTCACTTTCACCACTAACAGGCTACATGACCATCCTTAACCTCATATGCTGGGAGTACGTTTTATTCATTTCTGTATCCCCAAGCAACTAGTAGAGTAGCTATCCCACACAACAGACGACAAAATAATGCTCATTAAATGAGGATGGAGACATCATGAGTAAGAGCTGGAAGGTGGTACAAGATGTGCTCTAAACTATAAAGCAGTCCCGCTTGGAGAACAGGTGTGGCCAACTGCAGCAGTGGCCATGATGTCACACATTCCTGCAACCACACTCATTTCCTGTTGTAACTTGAGCTTCAATCAAGAGTCAATCACCCCAGGCTTTAAATATAGGTTGGCGTTTTACTTGTTTTGCCCAAAACAATATGACAGAAACAATGGTGTTACAGTTCTGAGTCCAGGTCTCCAGAGACATTGCATGTTTCTACTTGCTCTTTGAGAACCATGCCTAGCCACAAGAACAAGCCTGGGCTAGCCTGCTGGAGGATGAGACACATGTCTGGCTTCCCTAGCACCCCAGCTGACAGCCAGCCAACCCCCAGGAGCAGGGCCAGTTAGCTGGCATGGGCATGACTACAAATGTATGAGGAATCCCAACCAAGACCAGAACAACTGATCAGCTGAGCCCAGCCAAAATTGCCAACTCACAGAACGCTTAGGCAACTAATTAAGACACTAAGTCTTGGGAGATGAATGACAAATAGGCTATTTCAGCTTTTAAATCCTATTTGTATATCCTAAAGGTATCTAAAACTCAAGACATTTGAAACTGAACCCATGTTCTACCTCCCAAAACCTCTACTGTTCTGTGAATGGCGTAACTATCCTTCCCATTTTATATGACAAAAAATGAAAAATCATTCTTAAATCTTTCCTTGCTTTCTCCCTCATTTTACTATAGCCAACGCAATCAATGGGTTGATTTTGCCGTCGAAATATTTCTCAAATCCATTTACTTCTATTTCTATCACCAGCACGTCTTCAAGTTACCAGCAGTCCATTTCTGCTGTGTGACTTTTGACAGGTTACTTCATTCTCTGTTCTCTGAGCCTCCACTCCCTTAACTGTAAAATGGGATAATTCTAGTATCTGCTTCATAGGATTGTGCACATCAAAGTATTCAGTAGAATAACTGATGTAAATACTCAGTAGATGTTAGTTAATTTACCTTCATAAGATGGCTGATAGAGCTTCTTCATGATGGGCTCCAGTCTCCTTATCTACTGATGGTTTCCACCATCTCATTTACATGGAAACAACTGCAAATTGCCTTTACTCAATGCCTCATTCTCTTTTTTGATTCCAGGCCTTCACACATGTTTTTCCCTCCATCTGAATGTCCTTCCCATCATCCATTACAGGTGAATGCCTATCCTTCAAAACCCAAATCATACATTTACCTCCATATTTTCATTGTTCCCTGTTGCCCCCATTTAGAGTCAGCCATTCCTTTTCATGCTATCTCTGTGCTCTATGCATGCTTCTCCTGTATTACACATTATACTAATTTATTTATTTCTATCCACTATTTTCTTGTTTACTATTTGAAGCAAAAGCCCTGTCTTTACATCCTCAGCCCCTAGTGTCCAGAATATAGTACTTGCTAAATAAATCCTTGGTAAATGGATAAATGAAGATCCACTCTGATGTCCTTCACCAACTCACAAAAGCAGAACGTATCCTGCTTCTTCTGCTTCAGAAGTCCTAGTTCTGTTGGTGCCAAAGCAACTGGCAACCATTTGGAAAATATTTGCTCTCACTCCCCCCACCCAGATTCCAAATTCCAGTTCAAAGCCAAGTGCCTGTCTTCCCGCCAGGGCAGCCCACAGCTTTACTGCAAATGTTTCCCTCAGCTCTCCCCTGTGCATAACCTTAGCTATATTATTTACGACTGTGAACACCATAATATACATTTAAATATGCTGTAAAGGTCAGACAACTGAGCCATACCCCTTCCTGGGAATCCATTTCATATCATGGCAGAGGCAGGCCTTCCAGCCCTCACTCAAAACCAGATTTGAAAGTAAATTACGAAGCCTTTTTTTCTGGTGTGAGGACAACTCCCTCATGCATCACATTCTATGGAATCATCGCTATAAATCCATCTGTTACAAGCTGGGAGAGCAGCAAGTGTTGGAAGCCACAGAATGATTTTAGCTTTTGAGCTGTCACCCTCATATTCAAGAAGTTCAACTACAAAAATCAGCCTCACGTTTCAAAAAAATAAAGAGAAAAGAGGTGAAGAAAGCACTTGGAGAATGGATGCTGCTCCACCCTCCCCCACAACCTGAGACGCTCTAAACGTAGGATTCTTAGACTTCTAGAAAGCCACTCATCTCTTTTCTTCTTCCAATGTCCTCCAGTTTAGTAACCTCTATTTTTTACCTTGCCCTGATAGTTCATGTTTGTCTTAAATTTAGAGGTTTTAAGAACTCTTAAAGGAAATGATTAAATGGTAGATACTCTCTCCAAAGAAATATATAATGTATTCACATAAAAATTTCCACTTCATATCTGGGTGTTCATGAATTCCTCAAGACCTCTCCATGGGCCAAGGAATCCCCAAACAGAATGTACCATATTGTCACTCAGCTGAAAATGGAATAAAAAGTGGTATGTTTTTGTACAAAATGCATGTGCATGCGCACGCATGCATGCACACACACGCACACACACACATGCGCACACACACACAGAGAGCAAGGAGCTTAGTGAAGAGATTATAAAGAGCAGACCATTTCTTAAAAGCAACAGTCCACAAGGGTCTGAAAATGCTTCCTGGGAATCCACATCCTAGATTTTCCCAGAGGCATTCTGAATGCAAGAAGAAAACATTTGGGCTACATTAGGATGTACTCTAAAGAATCTGGTTCTTCCCAAAAATTCCCCAAGGTCCAGAAAGTTTTCCAGAATGTGTCATCATCCAAAATGGAAAGGGAGATCTCAACAGCTCAGACTAAACCCTAAAACGGCAAACACCCCTTAGTTCTCTTCCATGTGTTTCATTATGAAAACCACAAAACATCCAAGATAATTTGTAGGAGAAAGAAAAGGTCACCCATAATCACACTAGCCTCTTACAACTGTTCCTATCTTTATGATTTCTTTGTAGTTGGACAAAATGTAGACCTTTGTACAGAGTTAGGATCAAGTACATATACCATTTTAAACTACTTTTTTGTTGACAACTAACCTATTAATATATTCTCATTTTTCCACAAAGCCTTCAAAATGGTCATTATTGTTATTATGAAACAAAACTTACGTTATTTCCCTTTTAATGTGTTTTTATGCATTTAGCATATTTTCAGTTTTGAACAAGTCCCTAGGATAAATTCCAAGGTGTAATATTACTTAGTCAAAGGTAATAAACAATGTTGTGGCTTTGGGTACATCTTGCAACGTTGGCTTCCAAAGCAATTGTTTTGATTTACAATGCCACTACCATGATTACTCTCATGTCACCCCAACTGAAGAGGGTTCTAGAACTTACAGCATCATAAGTCACATTCAGAGACATTATGCTGCTGTTTTTTTGAAGCCACTATCCATAATCCTATTGTGTCACCTGTAACTGGTCTTCAAACTTCTCTATGCCTAAACTTACCCTCTGGGCACAAAGGAAGGACACTCAGAGGAGACAGCTAGAATGGTGGAAAGACGTAGTATAGGTTAGTCAGGAATATCCTGTTTAGATTCCTGGCTTTCTAAATTACTAGCCATGTGGTCTTAGGAAGGACACTTGGCCTCTCTGTGCTTCTGCTTTCTCATCTGGAAGCTAAGGATAACTTGGCTTACTTTACAGAAAGTAAAAAAGTGGCCAAAAATATTAACCCCCAAATATTCCAAACTTATCTCCCAACACTTGCTCCATTCCATGGGCCTCATAATGCAGACCAGGATGATCTGTAAGAAGAGAAGCAGGATATCTGACATAGGGGTTTACAAAATACTACGACTTACACACGCAAGAGAGAAAAAGAGAAAAAGAAAGAAAAGAATAAGTAAAGAGGGGAAAGCAAGAACAGGAAGAAGAGAGTTTGTGCAAGGGTAGAGAGTGTGAGGTATGAAGAGAGGAAACCTGGAACCACAAACTGAAGCATGAAGAACATGAGAAGGCTGGGAAATGACAGGAATTGAAGGCAGGGGAAATGTGAGAATGGGTGCTGTGGCTTTTACTTGCATCAGGTCCCTTCCCTACTCTGGATGTCCCTAGATCCCACCATCAAGAAGAGTAGTTACAACTGGTATCCATCCTCAAGCCTTGTCAAATTCTATCACACACCACTTGGAAACTGACATTTCTCCCTACTACCTCCCATGGTAAATCCTGACTCCTCAGGGTGACTCTTTGGCCCCACCTCCAATTTCATGAAATTGACTCCAACCCACCTTTTAAAAAAAATGTCTTCCACACTCTTCTAGCCAAAACCACTTTCAAACAACATGTGAAAATTTGAGATTTCCTAACTATTCCTTGCATTTTTCCATTTCTGAGCCTGTGCTCATGTTCCTTCTTGAGGCTTGGATGACTTTCAGTCACCCTCTCAAAATTAGTCAAGCTATTTCATGTGGTTCCTCCTCCATGAAAGCTTCCCAGGCCCTTCAACTGGAATTACTCCCATCCTCTGTGTTCTCAAGACAATTTGCATCTGCATCTCTCCTATAACCCCAATAACATTCTCATTGTATTAGTTATTTGTGTACATGTCTCCTTCCTTCTACTCAAGGGTAAGCAACTGAAGTGCAGGGTCCATGGCTTATGGCCCCTTGATGACTCACTGAGTGACAGATGGGTGTTCATTATGTGTGAGTGAGGTGTATTAGAAAGCTGAGTCAGTTCTATGCAATATCTGAGAATCAACTAAGGGTGACACTCATCGTTTGTCTTCTCTCATGGATCTACTTATCTAAACTCCACTTATTTGAGTGACTAGATAACATCAATGCACAAGTGAATGAATGAAACCTCAGAGTATCTAGCTAGAGTCCACCCTTTCCTAAGGCACACAGGAGGCTCACACCAACCAGCCAGTCCATCACCAGTCTTTCCAGTTGAAATCAAGTAAGTTTGCCCAACTCATGCCAGATAATTTGGCATCTATTCTGGTTTCCTAAATGGTATCAAATCTCCAAATCTTATTCTATCTCTGCCAGGAGTTTTGTTGACTTCTGAAGATTGAATATCAACTTTCAAAATAAATGCATTAAGATCCTACTTCCACGATGCAGCTCAGCTCATGGAACAGGACTGCACTATGCCCTGGTTGATGGGTTTTACTGCTAACTGTGTGACAGTGGTAGAGTCACTTCCTCTATCGTGGCCTCTGTATCTTTGCAATGCAGATAACCATAGCCACCCTGCCTACTCCCAGGACTACTGTGAAGAATATATAAAATCATGCAAGTGAGGGCACCTTACCAAAGTATCAGGTAGAATAAGGAAGGAAGAAAACTAACATTTGCTTTGGGCCCCTCCTATGAAGCAAAAATCATGAAACTTTCAACAACCTGTTTCATGCTCTCTACAATTCATATAGTCAAGAGTTTCTGAACATGAAATGTAAGGCTGGAAGAACGAAATTCAAATCCTAATTTGGCCACTTAGTGGTCATATGGCCTTGGGCCAGGTTCCTTCATCTTTGCAAAGCACCTGCCTCCTCATCTTCAAAATTCGCATTCTAGAGATGCTCATCTTCTGGACACTTGTCAGAATCAAGTGAGATGATCCATGTGAAAAAGCTGTGGAAATTGAAAAGCCCTAAGAAATTTCAAGGTATTATTAAAATAATAGAACCGTTTATGCCAACAAGGTAATTAGAGGAGGCAAAGGATGATATAGCTCCACAAACTTGTGAATAGAAACCCCAAAACAGTTCTCCAGGGCTGACTTGGGTCTCAGTCTTGTGTGGTAAAAGAGGATGGGGCTGGTCTTTCTCTGGAGCTTGAAACAGCCTTTAGTAGGGAGCTGGAAATCCCTGTGACAGCAGTAAATTTAGTCAAGAAAGGAAACCTTGGGCCCTGGAGGAGGCAGAGGACTCTCCAAGGAAGAGCTGGAGGAGAAAATGATCAGAAAAATAATACTGCCTTTCATGAGAACCCAGAAGTAAAAAATGGGGTCACTCACCTGCAGTGAGAGCTTGAGTGAATAAATGAGCCTGGGGACTCACATAGAAACATTAAACGCATTCCCTATAAACAGCAACCCAGAGATAGCCAGAAAGGGAGAGTGGCAATAAGGGAGAAGGGAAAAAGTGCTAGTGATGGGCAACACACAGGATTATAGAAAGTGCTTACAGAAGTGATTTTCAAAAATATTTCAGCCCAGGAAAACCTTCTTTAAGGGAAAGTTATGTGAAAACCCAATGCATAATACAGGTAAAATCAAGGTGAGCTGGTTGAGGAGAGGTTTGGAATCCCAATGCTCAGTGCTCAGCCCACAGCCTCTCCATTCCCCTACAGGCAGCTCCTGAGAGAAATCTGAGGAACCCTAAGGGACCTCACAGCAGAATCAGAAAGCCACTGACTTAACAGAGTCTTGGGATCTGTAACAGAGACTACCAGCTCTCCTCCCTCACCCATCCCCTCTCTTTCTTTTAGAAACAGAACCACTTCTACCAAATTTCAGTCTCCATACAGCTACAGACTTCTCTACTTTCCTTGTAGCTAGAAGTGACCATGAGTCTAAGTTTTTGTTTGTTTTGCTTTTTATCCAGTGAAATGTGAGTGAAAGTGACACATGCAATTTCTGAGTCACTTCATTAAAAGAAATTTCTGTCTCCCTATCAGCATGCATGTGACAATGAGTAGCTTCAACTATGTGAAAAGGACAAACTTAGAGGGTGGTAGAGCAACAAGGTGGATGAAGCCTGGGTCTCTGGATGACCTTGCGGAGCAGAACTACCTCCCCTCTCTGGACCACCCATCTACACCTGGACATTGGAGAGAAAGAAATCTCCATATTGTTCAAGCTTCAGCATTCTGGGTTTCATGATAACAGAAGCCTCGCCTATGCTCCAAACTAATCAGGGCCATAGGAGGGAAAGAGAAAAGAGTGAAAAAACTCAATTTGGTGTCTCCTACTCTCTATGCTCTCTCTCCAAGATCTCTGAGCACATGACTCCAGGCCCCACTACCAGAATGGTGACCTCTTTGATGTCCAAAAGTTGTCCATAGCATTTAATAGCAACAAATTCTGTTTATGTTTCATTTTTCAGGGAACCAGATTCTGTAGATGCTCAATAGGTCTTAACTGGACTCTTGAACCACACAGTGGTGAAACTGAGTATCTTTCCTCTCTTTGTTTTTGCTCCATCCAATCAGGAAGCCAGATTTCATGGTCCTACACACTCCCCACTTTCCCAGCTTTGCTGCTTCCTGGCTATTCCCAGGATAAGTCAATTACTTTTTTGGGGAAATCATAGCCTAGCACCTCTTTCTGTAAATTCCAAAGAGATCCATCAGTTCAGGTTTAAAAGTATTATCTCAATTCCAAAAACTATTACAAGATTTTGAAAAATCAACTTTGTATAAACCCTATAAAATCTCATCTTTGTTGTGGCTGCTTTTCAACTTTTCTTTCTTGCTATTTTCTCATCTTGATTGCCTAATAAAAGCAGAATATGGAGATTTTAGGCCCTCCCTTCCTATCACCTGACAGTCTCCCCATCTCTTGGCTTCAGAGAGCCAGAATCTTTGCAAAACCGTTGTTAAATTCTAGGTCATTACCGAAAATAATGTTGAGGTGTATAAAATAAACTTAATGCCTTAGAATATAAAAGCTATTCTAATCACTACAACTAATTACCAAGAAGAATGACTCACCAAAATATTTTAAATGTCTTAAAATATAATAAAGTAAAAAGAGAAAATGTGAGCAATTGCTTAGTGAGCTGGCAATGGGAAGTAGGTCTCAGAGAATACAATTCCCATTTTAACATCAAAGAAGCCAGGATCTTTCAGAATCATTGTAAGTTCTATTCTTATCAGTGTTTAAACTTAAGACCTTCAAAAGTGGTAGAAATTTCCAATTTTTTAACAGATCTGAAGCTTGCCCTTGCTGTGTACTACAATGACACTGTAAGAGTTTACGTATCTGTAAATTCATGTAAGATTTTGGTGTAAGAATTAAATGCATCCCTCAATGCTTCAGTTCCTTCTTTCGGGCCCTGCTTCAAAACATACATCCCTAGATGAAAGTCCTAAGATGTAAAAATCATGTCAGCAACAGATCCATATCTTACCTTCAAAGATCCCATCTACACTGAACCGCAATGCATCATTCATTCCCACACTCATTCAGTCCTCACTATGTTCACAGCAGCATGAGTGACAGGCTCAAAAGGGATATTCACTTCAATTGAGCATTCATCTGTGGCTGGTGGGGAGCTGGCCCTTTAAGAGAGGTGATATTTTTACATTCCTCAAAATTACACTGATAAGTAGACATTCTTACTCCCATTTTACAAGTGAGGAAATTATAGTTCTAAAAGGTTTAATAATTTTTCCGAGGTTATAATCAAAGATCTGTTGGGCTGCAGAGCCTGCCCACTCCCCTACGCTGCCTTCCTCTAAGAGAAAAGAGAAAGCAGAAAACTAATAGAAGTGACTGTGCCCTAACTTAGTAGCCCAAACTTCCATATGAAATAGGCCCTCTTGATTCCCCCATTTTCACAGATGAGGGAGTCTGGGCACAGAGAGATTAAGTGACATTCCCTAAGTCACACCAACAATGAGTGGCAGAAATGGGATTTGATCCCAGGCCATCTGACTGTGCCCCTTACCATTTACAATAAAGCTGCCTGTCTATGCTAGAAAAAGTGAACATACACACATGGAAAAAGAGCAATAAAATAGTGACTGATTTCTACAAATTTAGGAGAAGGAAGACTCAGTGCTGACTAGCTAAATAATAAAACACTTCATAGAAGCAGCAGTTTTTAAAACCAGTGATATAAAGAGAGGATCAGCCCAACCATCAGGGAAACCAGAAATGGAGAAGGTGGGATGGGAAGGAAATGTGTTTGCTCAATGATCTGCCAGTGACTGAATCTTCTCACACAACAGTTCTTAGCCATCCATGTGTTTAGGAATCCTGGGGAGCTATTGTTTCAGATGCAGGTTCCTGTCACCCTTTTCTCACTCCACCCATATTTGGATTCTCTAGGACTAGGGCTAAACTATGGAAGCTGAATTTTTATTACTATTTTCAGATAAATTGTATTTTCAGCAGAGTTTTAGGTTCACAGCAAAATTGAAAGGATGGTACAGAGATATCCCATCTACCCCCTACCCGCCTCCCCAACACACACACACCCTCCCTCACTTTCAGTATCCCAGCAGCACCAGGGTGGCACATTTGTGACAATCAATGAACCTACACTGACACATCACTACCCAAAGTCCACAGTTAACATTAGGGGTCACCCTTAGAGGTGTGCATTCTTTTGGTTTTGACAAAAGTATAATGACACTTACCATTGTAGAATCGTACAGAATAGTTTCACTGCCTTAAAAATACTCTGTGGTCTGCCCATTCATTCCCCTCTCCTCGCTAACTACTGTTAACCATAGATCTTTTTACTGTCTCCAAAGTTTTGCCTTTTCCAGAATGTTTTACATATATATATATATATGAAATCATATGGTATGTAGCCTCTTCAGATTGGCTTTTTCATTTAGTAGTATCTATTTAAAGTTTCTACATATATTTTCATGGCTTAATAGTGCATTTCTTAAGGCTTCCATCGTCTGGATGTATCACAGTTTATCCATTCACCTACTGACAGGAATCTTGGTTGCTTCCAAGTTTTGGCAATTATGTATAAAGTTGTTATTAACATCCATGTAATTTTTTTGTGTAGACATACATTTTCTTTTTTTATTATTATACTTTAAATTCTGGGCCAGGCACGGTGGCTCATGCCTGTAATCCCAGCACTTTGAGAGGCTGAGGCGGGCAGATCCCGAGGTCAGGAGATCAAGACCATCCTGGCTAACATGATGAAACCTCGCCTCTACTAAAAATACAAAAAAATTAGGCAGGCGTGGTGGTGGGCACCTGTAGTCCCAGCTACTCAGGAGGCTGAGGCAGGAGAATAGCGTGAACCCGGGAGGCAGAGCTTGCAGTGAGCCAAGATCGCACCACTGCACTCCAGCCTGGGCAACAGAGCGAGACTCCATCTCAAAAAAAAAAAAGTTCTGGGTTACATGTGCAGAACGTGCAGTTTTGTTACATAGGTATACACGTGCCCTGGTGGTTTGTTGCAGCCAACAACCCATCACCTACATTAGGTATCTCTCCTGATGTTATCCCTCCCCTAGCCCCCCAACCCCCAACAGGCCCTGGTGTGTGATGTTCCCCTCCCTGTGTCCATGTGTTTTCATTGTTCAACTCCCACTTATGATTGAGAACATGTGGTGTTTGCTTTTCTGATCTTGTGATAGCTTGCTGAGACTGATGGTTTCCAGCTTCATCCATGTCCCTGCAAAGGACATGAACTCATCCTTTTTTATGGCTGCATAGTATTCCATGGTGTATATATGCCACATTTTCTTAATCCAGTCTATCATTGATGGACATTTGGGTTGGTTCCAAGTCTTTGTTATTGTGAATAGTGCCGCAATAAACATACGTGTGTATGTGTCTTTATTGTAGAATGATTTATAATCCTTTGGGTATATGCCCAGTAATGGGATTGCTGGGTCAAATGGTAATTCTAGTTCTAGATCCTTGAGGAATCGCCACACTATCTTCCACAATGGTTGAACTAATTTACACTCCCAACAGTGTAAAAGCGTTCCTATTTCTCCACAACCTCTCTAGCATCTGTTGTTTCCTGACTTTTTAATGAATGATTGCCATTCTAACTGACCGTGAGATAGTATCTCTCACTGTGGTTTTTATTTCTCTAATGACCAGTGATGATGAGCATTTTTTCATATGTCTGTTGGCTGCATAAATGTCTTCTTTTGAGAAGTGTCTATTCATATCCTTTATCCATTTTTTAATGGGGTTGTTTTTTTCTTGTAAATTTGTTTAAGCTCTTTGTAGATTCTGGATATTAGCCCTTTGTCAGATGGATAGATTGCAAAAATTTTCTCCCATTCTGTAGGTTGCCTGTTCACTCTAATGATAGTTTCTTTTGCTGTGCAGAAGCTCTTTAGTTTAATTAGATCCCATTTTCAATGTGTTTGGGTAAATACCAAGGAGCATGAGCACTAGATTATATGGTGAGTGGATACTTAGTTTTGTAAGAAACTACCAAACTGTTTTCCAAGGTGGCTATGCCATTTTGCATTCCCACCAGCAACAAATAAGAGGTCCTGTTGCTCCATATCTTCATCAGCATTTAGTGCTGTTATTCTTTTGGATTGTCACAATTCTAATAAGTATGTTGTGCTATCAAATTTGCATTTTTAAAAAGAGCTTCTCTGTGATTGTTATGCAGATGACTTGAGGCTTTGAGAAATATGGGGTTTATAGAAGAAAAAAAACCCACCCTTCACACCAGCTTCCAGTTTCTTACATGAATGTTACCAGGACTGATAGTCAACTGGTACTCACTTATACGGCCACATGAGTTAAGATACTGACATGCTCCAAGGCTCATTGGTAACAAGCCATTGCTCCAAGTTCTGCATGTATCCTACCACCACCCAGGCACCCCAGAGCTGTACCTTAGAGCTCCCACCTTTCCTAATATCCTGTATCAAAGGAGCTAAGGCTTGGCACTGAGAGAGTCTCAGGACCTGCTCCAGCTACAGCCAGAGCCCTTTCTAATTGATGAGTGCCTGAGTCCTTACTAGTTATTAAATATTTTGAAAATCACCCCTGAAATTACCTTATGGGATTATGCACCATCTCCCAACCTTCCCTGATGACTAACAACACTTCTGGGCTTGTTAGACTTATGATGAGGCCTCACTCTCAAAAATGCTAATTCAGTAGCTCTGAGCTGGGACCCAGAAAACTGCATGTGAGTATGTGTTTTTCTTTATTTTGTTTTGTTTTCAGCACCCAAGATACTTTTTTTCTCTAATCTCCCAAGATTCTTATCTTTGGAAGTGTCTTGCAATTAAAAGGGAGGGGGACAATATTTCAACTCAGGCTAGATGGATTTTTCAAGAAAAAGTTAGCTAAGCATGGACTTTGGATATATAGAGATCAGTCTTGAGATGTGAAATTCAAAGCCTGGTCCCACCTTACCTACTGTGTGACTTTAGGCAGTTTACTTAACTTCTCCAAAGCTACCTTAGACATTGCTCTAAAGATTAGATGAAATAAATGTGTGAGGCACATAGTAGTCAAACAATTACAAACAATATTGTAAGTATCAAGCACATTTATGAACTGTCTCTTTTAAAAAAAAAAAAATCAGCCTTGATTCAGATTCAAGGTTTTGCTACTCTCCAAGCAGCAAAACTGGCCAAGGTTGGCTGAGCAAACAGCTTGGCTTCATCAAACCAATGGCAAATGTGGCTCCTATTTATTTATTTGGTGGGCATCCAAGCCATATCAAAGCTCGTTGTAAAAACCGTATTTGGAAAAAATACTTACTCCATTTTGATTTAACAAACATTTACCTCAAGTACTATCATTAGTCACTAAATGTTTCATTTTATAGACCTCTTACCTAGGCTAATTATTCTTTTCTGTCAATTTTTAAAACTGCAAATATTCTTAGCCCCGAGTCTTGCATTGTTCTAAACCAAGGAGGAAAAAAATGGGAAATGTCATCTTTCAAGGAATTTCATCCTTCTTAAAAGCAGAATGATTCTTGAGAATCCTGGCTCATCCCATGTCATTAGGGATGAATGCCACCTTGTTGTAAGTGCTAGGCTGCAAAGAGTAGAGAAATGGGTAGATAATGAAATTACTGAACACTCAAAGTGTCAGAGACTGACAGGCAAGGGCCATCCATCACTGATTATATGAGGCATTTACATGCCGCTTTCCTATCCAGGGACAAAGACTTCAACAAGAATAGTAAATAGTCTGGAGTGTGTCTGTGCAAAAAACTAATAATTTAATGAACTGACAACCAGCCAATACCCTGAAAGTGTGGTCTGCCTCTGCCCCAGAACTTGTTTTACACCCAGGAACCTGCCTCTTGAATGATACAAAATGGCAATGTTTCCAAAACTTAAATTATTCATGTGCCACCTTCTTCACAAGCTACATTTATGTAACATGTATACTAAATTTGATGTACTTATTTAAATTGGCTATTCTTTTTTAACTATAATTAATTGACTTTAAAAGAAAACTGTATATTTCCAACAAAATGGAAAAACAGTATCACCTGCCATAAATGCAGAGTAATCATAAAAATAATTGTGAAGCAGGGAAATGAAGCCATTAAGGTCTAGTCAATACTGCTCCCTGCTATGGACTCTGAGCCTGAAGTCTGCTCTTTTCTTTCTGGAAAAAAAAAAAAAATGGAGATTATCAACTTAGGAATGTGTTAAAGACACTCTACCCTAAACTCAAATTTTCTCCTTGATATCCTAAAGGGATTAAAAGCAAACTGAAAAAAGATGAATTTGCTCATCAAATGAGCCAGTGCTATTTATTATCATATCCATGTTCTAGATGAACAATTCTTACACTCTGGAAAATACCACTTAGCGTTCTAGCTACAGAATGTAAAGCATGGACAGGCTTTCACAAATCCGGAACAAACTATGGAACTCCCAGGCCCTACCTATTAAACCCAAATGTGAGAACACAACTGTGCTCTACTCGTCTGGGAGACAACTCATGCAATCCCTCTTTGAGGACTTTCATATGAAGTTACTTAGAAGTCATGATCCTTTTCTCCTTTTGATCCCAACATGAAGGTGCAGCCAAAGACACATGACAGCTCAGGAAGGTTCCTGGGTCCAAAGCAGGGCAAAGCGCTCTGCTAGGGGGCATATGACTCACAGTATGGAGAAGGCTAAAGTTGGTAACTAGAGTTTTAGATCAGAAAGCCAAGATCAAAGAATCTTGGTTGCAGGTGGAACATGGAATTGGTCAAGTCAGTGGGAATCAAATTAGATTGTACCAAAGTCTAACCAGCACCAGGATAGCTCCCTGATAGGGTACCAAGAATTGATCATAGAGGATAACTGCAGCTCTTCAGCTCCCATCATCTCTGGTCTCTTCTGGCCACCACCAACTCCAACTTAGCGGTTATCAACAAGAAAGCTACTGCCCCTTAGGGGGCATGTGAAAAATCTGACAGGGTGCTGAAATACCGGATTTAGTGACAAGGCAGGAATGCCGATCATTCTACACCATGTTGTACCATGAAAAATTGTCTGACATTCCACACAGCTTGAAAATATCCCACAATACATTCTTGTAGGGAAGAACCTGTTTGTCATGAACCAAGCCTATGACCTAAATTCATTTTACATATAAAGCAAAAAATATTTTTGTATAGTGTTAATGGACTGAATTTTCTAGGAATACAAATACTATGTAGATTAAAGGAAGATTAACTTATTCTATGAAGAACTTTACAAAAAACTATTCACCATTTTTTTAAATTACATAATAAATGTAAATGCCATTCATAGTGTTTGAACTGCCAATAGCACACATCTGATCGATCAGTCTGCCTTTATAGCTCTTATTCATGGTGATTCTATATATAGGAGGAACCATCTGATGACTTCGTTATATCTTCAAGTGTAGCCATACCCGAGTATTTATTGAAATGTATACTATTTTGTTATAAATTACTCCCCTTTTATTTCTGCTTCATATTATAGTTAGGGCATTATGCTGATTTTAATTGTGTGTGTAGGAAAGTTACATTGTCTTTGAATGTCATTTCAGTATTGTCAAGTGAGTGTTTCAAAATATTTGTTATAAAAACGGGAAACTGGGTCTGATATACCTAAGAATAGAATGCTAAAGAGACCAGCTCCTATTGTGCTGGTTCTTACTCATCTCCATTTACCACACTGAGACCATCTATGGCTTTTCTTAGGGTAGAGGAAAGCAGGCTACTCCTCCTCTACAAGCTTTAAGTGAGTGTTGGGCTACACTATCCCGAGGGAAAGGGTGTTTACGCCAAGGAATTTGTTTCTGATGTGCTTCCTCCTAAATCTTGCTACCAAAGAAGTCTCTTTGCTGTGGCAGCAAAACCTGTGAGAAGGCATATGCTATATGTTTCCACTGAAGTAACCTTCTAAATCTCTTCCTTTTCTACTATGCTGGATAATATTCTCTCTCTCTCTCTCTCTCTCTCTCTCTCTCTCTCTCCCTCCCTCTCTCTCTCTCACACACACACACACACCCTATCTACCTTGATATCCCTCCTTGATTGTCTGTTTAAATCCTTCTGATGGAGGCTCTTCTGGTCCATTTCCCCTGGATTACTGTAGCTCTTCTTCCTCTGGGATCCTGAAACACTCTCTGCTCCATTCCACAGGCATCTGCTCTGGGCCCCAGCACTCCCTGTATTGCTGTTTGTCTTTCCCATCCACAGCGGCCACTTGGCTCTTCATCACTTTGGCTTCATAATAGAAAAAGCCCCAGCCATCAACTCTTGAAGGAAAACAGGCTCACTGGGGAGTATCTCATTCTTCATTCCAGAGAGCTGAAGAGTGACACACATGCCATATTTTCCAAACCAAAAACCTGGACACGAGGCCTGACAAAAATACGGGTATAGAGTCTGACAATAGTACAAAGTATTTGGAATCGTGACTGCTCCAGAAATTCAAAGATGAATGACCCTGTTGGGGAGATCTTAGAAACTCTTCAGAGGAAGCCACCAAAGACAACAGCAGCCGCCTGCGACTTTCCTCTGCCATGAAAACTGAGATGAGAGAAAGGCCAGTCCCTATTCTCCTAAAAATCTGCTGGCCTCTTCTCAGCTTTGCCATCACTGACCTGCCACACTCTGCCTCTTAAATTTTGGTCATTCCCGAAATTCCATTTTAGCCTCCCACCCCATTCCATTCCTGAGAAATTTTGTTGACTCTGACGGTTTCATTGCCACCTAAATGCTAGTAGATCCACAATTTCCACCTGCCATCCAGATGTCCTTCTTCACCTTCAGACCTATAAATCCATTTGCCTCCTGGAAGACACCAACCTTTAGAACTACAGGTATACTTCAATCATATGTCAAAATTATACTCATTCTTCTTCCTTTCAGCTTGCTAAATAATACACTTGCTGCTCTGTCTGTGTCACTGTCCTGGTTCATGGTGTCACTGTGCTTCCCAGCATGTAGAGAAAAATACTAAAAGCCATATTACTGACCTCATTGTTTGCCAACTCATTCAATCATTGCTAAGTCCTAACAATCCCATCCCCTGTATTCCCACAACTTCAGTCCAGATTTCCATAATCTTCTTCCTGGAATATTGTAATACCACAGACCTCAACTTATTCTTTCCTTCTCACAGCACCCACCCTCCCCAACATCCTACCAATGTCACCCTATTAAGACACATATTGTCAAATTTCATTTTAGCTCCCCAACAAGCTTTCAATAGTCACGCACAATGCATAAATTCTATTATTTTCTTTCAACCATAAAAAACTAGAAGTATTTTAATCCAGCAGACCTGGGATTGAATTATAGGTTCACGGGTTACTGGCTGTATGACCTTGGGCAAAAGGAAGAATATAGACTCATTATTTTAATTACCCTAATTGTAGAGTCTGTGTATTTTACAGAGTTCAACTTCCTATTCTGCTACTCTAAGTGAAAAAAAAATAATCACCTCTGAGATCGGGTTGTGTTATCTGACATTCAAAATGACTCAATTTTAAAGTGACAAGAATCTCTTTTTCTCAAAAATTGAGATAACAATGCTTATCCCAGGTTTGTTGTGATGATGAAAATGGGAATCATACTTGCCTGATTCACATTCCAAGGCTCCTCTCCTTCTTTGCCCAACCATAATATTGGTGCAGTGAGACCACTTATCAAGGGATAAACTTGGGAAATCCATGACCCCAAAATAACTTAATCTTAAAGTAAGAACACAGACATTGTGTGAGACTCAAGGAGTCTTCCTGGGGAGGAAGAATGAGACTCCCACAGTCTTCCTGGGGAGGAAGAATGTGAAAAAAAATAAGTTTGATATACAACCTACAAAAATGTAGGAAGTTAGAGAAAGTAAACCCACGTAAATCCAAGTCATAAGTTTTATGAAAGAGGCTTCTTTCAAAAAATCTTTCAAAGAAAATAATGATAGTAAAGTAGAAGAATTTTAGCCACCTTGATACCAAGAATACTTAAAATTTTACTTCCCGAAGCAGGAAATGTTCCAAAGACCATAAGGATAAATGTTCATTGCATTTCTTCTAACTGCCAGAAATAGTGCAAGCGCTATGAGCAATCCAAGGGGAATAAAACACTCATTGCCTTGAAGGACCAAATGGTCTTACAAAGTCATTAACATGCTTAGCTAGTGAAGCAAAGCAGAATGGGATACGGCCTCAAAGAGGGACCAACAATGTGGTTCTGAAGAATGAGACTGTAAATGGCCTCAAAGCTGCACTGGACAAATAGGCAGCAGTGAGCCAGGTTAGTGTGGAAGCCCTACTACAGATCTTCCACCATCTCCCTACCAAGCCCTACTGCCCAGAGACATCTACCAGGATAGAGATGCATGGTGTTGTAGGAGTTTGTCAGATAACTGTCTTTCCCAGGCCCTGAGTTTTGAATTCAGACCAGAACCACCCCAAAAACATGAGTTTCTCTTGCAAAGAAGGTAGACACTGGCCCAGGCTTCCCTCTATACTTATGCCTCCAATCTAACCCCTTCTTTTCTTTCTGATTTTTTTCCAAAATAGAAATATAACAACTCTGATCTTGGCAAAAGATTTTTAACTACTGACTTTGTTAGGGGAAAAAAAAGAGGTACATAAAACATAAATATCAGCTATGACCACCCTATCTAAAGATTCCCAATTAAAATGAGCTCCCAATTTCCCAGAGTTGCAGAGAACCCTAGATGATCCTTAGGGGTCAACAGAAGAACTAATTTTTCTGTTGAGAATGAACCCTCTTCATTCATAACTAATCTGCTTATGAATGGAGAAGCACTGAGGAGACAGGCCCCATGATTCTGTGTGCCTGTGGCTGCTCCAGCTCTAGACCATCTCAGAGAAGCACAGGCACCTTAAGTCATCCTCAGTCATCCACACTGCAGCCAAAGTGAAAAGGTGTCAGACATCAGCATTCCCACGCTCCAAGCTGAGGGCTAAAGGCATCCTTAGTCCCTGCAGAGCCTGAGCTTCACTTGAATACATAGCCTGATTCTGCTGAAATTTAATCAGAAAGAATGTTCACAATGGTTTATAAGTTTACACTCCACTCATCACCACTGGGCTGCCATCAACTAGAGAGCTCTCCTGAGTGGTCTTAGATCCTTGAACCTCACCGAGCCTCTTTTAAGTCATCTGTTAAACACAGGCAATATCTTACTTGCATAAAGGCTGAACCCGACAGCTTCCTAAGTTATCTTCCAGCTCTAACCAACCTGCACAGCAACCAGGAAAAGGAAAGGCTGTTTGTCGAGTTCAACAAAGGACTGACTTAAGCTAAGTTTCAACTGATATGTTTGTTTACAGGGCTCTGAATCCATAGCACCTCCAGCCATCTGAGCCCAGGGTCAGCCTGCCCCAAGATCTAGCCTCCCATTCCACCACAGGCCCCCTCCTCGGCTTTTCTAGCCTTTCTCAGACATACACACCCCCACTGGCCTTGCTTTGATCATTCTTTCACGTTCTTTCTTTAGCTCTCAGTGAACCCTGGAAGTTGCATTCCCAACTATGGGATTAAGGCTACCTCCAGGTTCTCCCAGCCCCACTTATTCATCTGTGAAACAACTGGCCAAGGGAATGATGCTGCTTGTAGACTATCAAATAGAGAGAGAAAAAAAAGTGTTGCCTGTTTTAGTCCTTATGCAAAGCAGGAGTGTTATCTTATAAAGTTCAAGTAGTCATGGACCTCAATTTCTTCATCCTTAAAACAAAGAAGAGAGGGTTGAGCCAGCTTCATTCAATAGTGATTGCTCATATACTATGCAAAGAACTGTACTCAATTCTGCTAAAGGTAAATGTCATTAGCGTTGAGACCATGTTTTGCTCATTTCATTATGTCCCTTTAGCACTGAGCTTGGCATATACTAAACAGTAGAATAGCTGCTGAATTGTCAATCACCAACTCACAATCTCTGCCTTCAGAGAGCTTATACATTTTTAGGGGGAAAAAAAACATGGACACAAATAATCATCACCAGAATAGAAAGTCAGCACTAAGAGACAAACAATGCAACAGAATAAATCTTGGAGAGAGATTTGTTTTCATCCGGAGCATTGGAGAAGACTTCAGGGAAAAGGTGATATTTGAGCCACTAGATGAGAAAACTGCTAAACTGCAGAGATGGGACCTTCCAATGGTAATCAATCCACCTGGGAGCTCCAACTCAGGACCAGAAGGTTTTCTGCCACCATCTGGAAAAGGATCTCTACACTTTTTCTTCCTTTTCTCTAACCACCTTTCCAATATGGCTGACTTTTTGTTTCCCCTCTTCTCTTACTTCTCCATCTACTGAAAACTCTTACCAGGAAGTGGTTTGTTAATGTTCTTCCTTTCTTTTTGTCTGCCCTAAGTTAATGCGCTTCTGGCTAAATACTTGAATTTATGCACCTTACATTATCTTTTCAGCACTGTTTTCAGTAATTTATAGGAACCAGGGTCTGCTGCATCATGTTATTTAGTACTGTGGTGGCTTTTAGATATGGTCTGCACCTTGGTGCTTCTGCACGGGGAAAGAAACAGTTATAGATCCTGGACAGGCTCTCCTGCTTTTGTCCTGGGGAAGACACCCCTGTATAGGTTAGTTACTGAGAAGAGTTATGGAGGCATTGGCACAGAATCCTGAGTCATTCCACACCATTAAGAAAAGACAGGCTGAGGAAGAGAAAGTCCTGAATTATCCAACAAAGTTGCACACTGGGACAGCCAACATCCCAGCCAGCCAGAAAAACCAGGCAGGGGAAACAGTGCCCCCAGGATCACACAGCCAGAGGTTCTTTATGTGAGGGTGGGTGGTGGCAGAGGGTTTGGAAGTAGGACAGACAGAGCCCATCCCCACATACAGCTACACTTTCAAAGAACAACAATTTTTCACTGAATGCATATCAAGTTTTTTTTCTGACTAAACATTGTGCATCCATTGCATCCATTCATTTATTTTTGAATTCATCCATTCATTTACTTTTCTTAGCAATTGTAGTTTTTACATTTCCTGTCAGAGAACTACATCCTGAGAAGAGGGTCTCCCAGTTGTAATGTTAGAACCCAGTAACACCCTGCCTGACTTGGGTTTTCCAAGAAAAGCCCAGGGAGAGATGTGTTAACCTCTGCCCTGAGTGGAGAGATGAATAAATCCCTGCCCTCCAGGAATCTGATGTCCAAAACAGGAGACAAGATGCCTTTTAAGGACCTTGAGGCTAAATGCACTCAGACGCAAATAGCTGAGCTGCCTCTGGCTATCCGGTCAATTTTCCTCCCATAGACTCCCAGCACCAATGCCCAGGAGAGTGCTTTCTGACTCACAAGGCACCTATCAGATGCCCAAGGCTGGGCATTACAGAAGGAGGACAGGACCTCTTGGAAATGTTCAAGAAAGGCATTTAGAAGCCTGGACCTTGAACAAGGTATGAACTGCAGGTATTTTTTTAAGCTGAATTTGACTGTTTTCAAAAGGGACACACCACACTAGTCATCAAAGGCCTCACCACTTCTCACTTGCTCCCACTTGGCCATTCCACACACAGAGATTATCTCTTTGACTCCTGCCCCCCTCACCCTGCTGAAGAATAACCAGCCACTGGAAGAGGAAGCTAGGAGCCCAGGTGGGGGAAGACAAAGATGTCATTAGGAGGGAAGTTCCAGCTTCTAACAGATGGCACATAACAAATCGGTGTGGTGTAAATGCAATTTATGTGGCCCATAATGTACTCAATTCATCCCCATAAATGAAGGTAAAACTGTACCTCAGCCGACAGGTTCTAGTTCTTACTTATCATTAGCAGTGATAAATCCCACATAATAATGAGAGTTCCTGGAGACACTTTTCATTTCTGGGTAGCTTCAGTTACTCACATTCAAACCACAATTTGCTCATCTTTCCAAAAGCAAGCCTTGCTAGCCACTATTAGATCTGAAATTCATTTTTAACATTAAGTGATTTGAGAAAGTAATACAAACACATAATAGAAAACAAAACACAAATCCAGAAGCACTAAAGGGTTTTCTATGAAAAGCTTTTCTGGCTCCCCTTTCCCTCAACAACAGCTTCCTTAGTGGCAAACAGGATTACAGGTTTCTTATGAACTCTCCCAGAGATCATCCTTGTAGATGCAAAGTATGTATTTACACATCACTTTTATGCAAGTGGATTCATACTATATATACTGCACCGTATTTTTTTTCCTTCTTTTACATTAAGGACTGATGGAGATCAGTCCTGATCAGGGGAAATAAATCTTTTGCATTCCTCTTCACAGCTGCATAGTATTCCATTCTATAAATGCACCATAACTGATTTAACCAGTTTCCCACTGACAGACATTACAGTTATCTTTCTACTCCTCAGAACCCACAATGCAACAATAAATGGCCTTTTGGCTCCGTTTTAGTTTTCTTTCAACTCAACCATTGCCTGATTCAATTACTCCACCTTCCTCACCTAGACTCAGAAACCTACCTCAGGAGAGAGAACATGCATCTCTGCAGAGTTGTAGTTCTCAGCAAAATTAAATTAAATAAAAGCCTCCCTCTCTAGGCCAATCTGGAAGAAGTGGCTCCAAGTAGAGTCTATAAGAATAATAAATCTCTCCTGACACAGGAGCTGGAAGGAGGCTGCCCAGGCCACATTGATGGGCTTCTCAATTTGAGATGTCGACAGGCTATGTTGAAAGCAGAAAATGGAGTCATAAAAATCTGCAATTGTAAGCCCTGTTTTCACAGGCAGAGAGCCGTCTGCTTGTAGCTGACTCTCATTACCTGGTTACAATTGTAATTTCTCTGCATTTCTGTTTCCCTGCACTGAAGTTCACTGGGGATTCGGGGCCAGGGTAGCGGGCTGGGTATTTTTTAAGAGGGAATGAAAAAGGTACCAATTATGGAAAAGTGATTTCTTCTTTTGAATCCAACTGCTATGGACATCATTGTCCCTTTTCATGGGAGAACATCATGATGTTGTACAGGCAAAAATTCTTTCTGGAAAAAAAATCCCACTTGCCCACCCTGCTCCACCAAGAGCATCAGATGGTTAGGCTGGACTTGCAGCTAAGTTCAAAGTACTCCCCAGCACAAACTAACAGACCAGCTCATGCTCTCCCCAGGTTGCCTAAAATGTGAGTCCTAACTATAAAGGAGATATCTAGTTGTTTCAGTGGATTCATTATGATTCCTTATGGAGCTCAACAATGCAGACCTAACAGAAGTAACTGTGGCATTAACATGATTCATTGCAAAGGTCTTCATCATTCTGCAAAATTATTATTATGCCCTCAACAGAGACTCCAGCATCAGTGAGCACCCATCAATAAGAATACTGGGATCAGAAAAGTCAACCTTACCCCCTACCAGGTATAGCCATGAGCCAAGAATATGATTATCCTCCCCAATCCCACCCCCAGCTGCCTCACATCCTCCTCCTTTGGCGAAACAGATCACAACTGATGAGTCAAATCCTAAAATCCCAAGGTGAGGACTCTGTGTGCTCCTGCTCCTTGCATATAACATCTATGGGATGTCACCAAAGTGGCCATCATTCTTGGTGACTGTCCATGACTGTGCTGCTCTGTTGGTTTGCACTGGTGAGTACTTTGAGCCTAGCTACAAGTCTAGCTTAGCCATCTGATGCTTTTGGTGGGGCAGGATGGGCAGGTGGAATTTCCATAGCATTCTGCAGAGGGCACTGAAAAGCAGGAGTGGGCAGTGCTGCCTTGGGGTGGTGGAAGGTTCTGAATGGTTTCCTACAGTGTTCTTAAAATACTTCTTAAGCCAAGCTTCAGTCCAGAACCAAGTGCCAGGCACCAAAGAAAACTCTGCCTGATCCTGCACAATTCTTCAATTCCAGGAGGTGGGTCACAGACCAAGGGAGCCAGTACCCACAGAGGCAAGGACCTGGTCTCGAATGGCTTGTTCTCACCCAGCACATGCTCTGCACCTGAACCTGAAGCCATTCCTCTCAGCTTCTGCCTTCAGGATTTAATTTTCTTTTTTTTTTCTTTTCTTTCTTCCTTTCTTTTATCATCATCATCACTATTATTATTATTATTATTATTATTATTTTAGATGGAGTTTCATACTTGTAGCCCAAGCTGGAGTGCAGTGGTGCCATCTTGGCTCACTGCAACCTCCACCTCCCGGGTCCAAGCGATTCTCCTGCCTCAGCATCCCGAGTAGCTGGGATTACAGGCACGTGCCACCACACCTGGCTAATTTTTTGTATTTTTAGTAGAAACAGGGTTTTGTCAGCCAGGTTGGTCTCGAACTTCTGACCTCAGGTGATCTGCCTTCCTTGGCCTCCCAAAGTGCTAGGATTACAGGCAAGAGCCACTACACTTTTTTTTTTTTTTTGGCTTCCAATTCCTATATAGTTTATCATCAAGATCAAGGAAGACTGTCTACCTTTGACTCCCCAGTGGTTAAAACAGAACTTGACATATAGAAACTAAATAAGCGCTAAATAAATGAATGAATGAATGAGCCAAAACACAAGAAAGTAGTAATTCATTGTGTTGTGAATCTCCAAGAATAGCAGTGCTCAGAGATCAGGGACTAAAGAGGATCCTCCCCTCATGCACCCTAATGTTGATATTCAGTATAGATTCACAAAAGCAATTACAGCCTCCAAGAAGTGTCCTGTAAACTCATCATGTCAAACTCTGAGATTACTAACACCACAGGTCCATGCGCTACCTCTCTTATGTAAAATCGTGTGCATGCATCAGTATGCATTTTTCTGTAAGAAGATTGACCACTTTCACCAGATTCTCAAAGGGATCCATGCCCCCAAGGAACTTCACGTTCACTAACTTAGAAAATCAGAACACCCGAGAACTAGAACAATCCCCACTGCCCTCCCTGAGATGGAATGGGATTGAATGGAGAAGACTGCAGGTGTGAGTTCTGGTGACTAACAAGCACCACTGCTCTGCTTTATGGAAACAGAGAAATCACCAAGACTTAAAGAATCCCTATCCCAGAAACACTCTTGTGCTTGACAGCAAGCACATTTTTTTTTTTAATTTATTTTTTTATTGATAATTCTTGGGTGTTTCTCACAGAGGGGGATTTGGCAGGGTCATTGGACAATAGTGGAGGGAAGGTCAGCAGATAAACAAGTGAACAAAGGTCTCTGGTTTTCCTAGGCAGAGGACCCTGCGGCCTTCCGCAGTGTTTGTGTCCCTGATTACTTGAGATTAGGGATTGGTGATGACTCTTAACGAGCATGCTGCCTTCAAGCATCTGTTTAACAAAGCACATCTTGCACCGCCCTTAATCCATTTAACCCTGAGTGGACACAGCACATGTTTCAGAGAGCACAGGGTTGGGGGTAAGGTCACAGATCAACAGGATCCCAAGGCAGAGGAATTTTTCTTAGTGCAGAACAAAATGAAAAGTCTCCCATGTCTACTTCTTTCTACACAGACACGGCAACCATCCGATTTCTCAATCTTTTCCCCACCTTTCCCGCCTTTCTATTCCACAAAGCCGCCATTGCAGCCGCCCCGTCCAGGAGGGAGGTGGGGGGGGGTCAGCCCCCCTGCCCGGCCAGCCGCCCCATCCGGGAGGTGAGGGGCGCCTCTGCCCGGCCGCCCCTACTGGGAAGTGAGGAGCCCCTCTGCCCGGCCACCACCCCGTCTGGGAGGTGTGCCCAACAGCTCATTGAGAACGGGCCAGGATGACAATGGCGGCTTTGTGGAATAGCAAGCACATTTTTTTTCACCAAGTCAACATCATCTCCAGAATGAGCTGCAAAGCCCTGTCAGCCCAAGAAAAAGAAAAGAGGCTTGAGGCAAGATTAAAGAAAGAAATAAGGCCCAATCTACAAGCTAGGAAAACAGGTTCCTCCTATAATGGTGCTAAACCACTTGATTCCAGGAAGGGAGGACAAGAACAAGGTGATAAGCTATGTCAGCCTTGATTCCAGACGCTCTGCACTGAGAAGGGGCCTTTCATCCCAGCCCACATCCTGCAGAGTCAGGGAGCTGACTGCTGCCTCTGCACTTGAAGGAGAACTCAGTTCTGAATTTGTCATGGTTATGTTCAGGGAATTACTATCTGGGTGCATCTCCTTCTGCATTGTCCGGAAAACACTCCTGGTCACAAAAGAATTGGCTTCAAAGCTTGATTTTGAAGGGCTGTTACAAATGGCTCAAGGGATGTTTGAAAACACACCTTGTACCTGCCTATTTCTAGAACAGTTTCTCAATCTTGGCACTATTGACATTTGAGGCCAGATAATTCTTGGTTGGAGGTGACTGTCCTGGGTATTGCAGGGTGAATAGCAGCCTCCCTGGCCTCTACTCACTAGATACCAGGAGCACCCTCCCACCCCACCACCAAGTTGTGACCACCAAAAATGTCTCCAGACTTTGCCAAAAGTCCCCTGGGGGACAAAATCACCCGAGGTGAGAACCACTGCTCTAGAGTTTCCCAACTATGCTCTGGGGAACACCAGTTCTGGGGTCTTTTCTAGTTATTTCCTAGAGAAAAACAAGATAACTGTGGTCAAATAGTTTGTGAAACCTGGAATTAAACAAAGATAAACAGGACTCTTCCCTGATGGATTCCTCAGATCCTGAAACAGATCAAGGTGCATTGTGAATCTCCAAGAGGAAAACATAATACACAGTATTTTCCCAAAGGCATCTGGCCACAGAATCCTTTTATCTCAGAGCATTTAGGATTAGTATTCCACAGGATTAACTTTTGGAAACACTTGTGTAAGGCAAAATTACAAATACACCTCTAGGGCAAACACATCCTGAGGAAGGGATGAAGAAGAATCAGCTGAAGGATGTAAGAGAACAGCCCATACACAATTCATCTTTGAGCCTCCAACTTCATCATCCTAGATCCTTTTTTTCTCTCTCTCTCTCTTTTTTGAGACGGAGTCTCGCACTGTTGCCCAGGATGGAGTGCAATGGCGCAATCTTGGTTCACTGCAACCTCCACCTCCTGGGTTCAAGCAATTCTTCCACCTCAGCCTTCTGAGTAGCTGGGATTACAAGAACCTGCCATCATGCCCGGCTAATTTTTGAATTTTTGCAGAGACGGGGCTTCATCATGTTGGCCAGGCTGAACTACTGACCTCAGGTGATCCACCCGCCTCGGTCCCCCAACATGCTGGGATTACAGGTGTGAGCCACCACGCCCGGCCCCAAGATTCATTTTTTGAGAAGAGGTTTAGACTTTCAGGCTTCAGAAGTCCCAAATATTTTGGAAGATATCAAAACTCTAAATCACCATCAGCAAACACTTCTTCCAGGGTAACGTGATCAGACAATTTCTCCTGTGAGAGCTGGCCAGGTCCAATAGTCTATTGAGAACAGGAAACAGCAAAAGCACTTGGAGTAGAAAAGAGAGTAATACAGGAGAGGAAGTAAGGAAAGAGGACACCAAAACAGACCTGTCTTAATATTCACATCACAATCCGCACATATGGACATTAGGATGGTCAAGGATATTAGGAAGGCTGTCTTATAAGAGGAATTAGAATCATTCCACGCAAAGTGAATTTAAAATAGTATTACTCTATAATACTAAGTAGATTGTTGTAATTTCTACAGATTTCAAAGATCATAAAATATGAGACCTGGAAAGAATCTTGAAGGATCTAGTCTTGTTTTTTAAACTTGTTTAGCTACAAAAATCATTGACTCAAAACTGCATATGTAAAACACAAAATCATAATAATTCTCATTCAGTATGGTTGGACTCATGCCCAACACTTGACCATCACCTTAATCTTCTTTGCAACACCTGAGGAATCTTCCAGAAACCCCAAGCATCTCAGAGCTGTATCTGAAACCCAATTTATCCATTTCACGGTCAGAAGAAACTGGGGCTCAGAAAGATAATGTGATTTTCCCGAGATCCCATAGTTTATCAGTAAGGGAGTCAGGAGAAGAATGAGCTCATGCCTGACTCTTGGCCCAGGGCACTTCCTATCTCACCACATGTTGGCCAAACATAAGAAGAGTGTTCTAACTCTACAACAGAATGAGTTCCCTTGGAATAGGAGTGATCTCCTCATTCTGTAGGTATCCAAGAACAGGCTGATGACCTTTGTAAGGTGTAGTTACTGCACTGATAAGAAAGATGAACTAGACTAGACATCTTTGCAATCTTATTGCACATCTTGCTAGCAGTACTGTGTCATCCTCCCAGGTTCCAGTGACAGGATGCTCAGGGAAGCCTGCTCTAGGAAGCAACACAGCCTCAACAAAGGGCAGACCACTGCCCATTTCACCTGGTTCCCAAGCTCCCTGCCTTCTCTTGGTGGAAGCAGGTCAGCTGAAATGAACAGCAGGCTCAGCATGGGTGAGCAATGCTAGACAACCGGGAGATACATCCTAAGCCACGTCAACAACTCCAGGCTCAGGAGTATCAGGTAGATTTATGACAGTGCCTGTCAGTCACTGGAAACATCATAAGTGAGGTTTAAAATAATAATGCTGCCTTAGAACCGGTAATACAAATGATCCATGCACACAATGGCATGATCCTGCTCCAAGTTATTAGGTGTGGAGGAAAAGTTCAGCCCAAGCACATTTGTGAGTGTGTCTGTGGGTACACATGCACACCAAAACACACACACATACACCCCGTTCTATAAGTAGATACAAAAACCAGGAGTGTGTAAAGCTGTAAAGCTCCGTAACTCCATCTTAATTCCATCTCCATTCTTTTATCTAAAGGAGAACACAGTGAGCAAATGATGGCAGAACAATAGGGCAGACCAAGAGGTGTCCAGAGCTGAAGAGCAGGAAGACTCACCCTGATACCAAAAGGCCAGGACAACCATAAATACCCAAATCAGGCCTGATGAGCAGCAGCAGGATATGGGGGCACCTGCCCATCTTATGCTGTTACATTATGGAATCCAAGAAAGGATAACTGTTATCTGGTAATTAGCAAGGCACAATGATACAGTAAATATACTTAATATACTTTACACTTGCAGCTTTCTATTATCATTTTTTGTTTGTTCTGTGTGGTTTTGTTTCTTGAAAAGTGTGTGTGTGTACACATATTTGTGTGTGTTTTCTCCAGGAGTCAACATGCTCTACTAACACATCAGCTAGCAGATGGTTCAAGGCTAATCCTCCACAAACCCACTGCCCCTGAAATGGCCAGAATAAAACTGAACCTACCTCATGCACTCAACCTCTGTGAGAATCAAAGGAGGTGATTGATGTGAAAAGACTTTGAAACCATAGAGCACTGTGACACACATACCACATACAAATACATAACATTCTGTGATGCTAGCAGCTGTGGTGGGGTGGGACAAGTCCTGGCCATGGCATCACAAGGGGCTCCAATCCCAGCCCTTCTACCTACAAGCTATATGACATAAACAAGCTCCTTAACTTCTCTGGCTTCAGATGACTTGCTGTCAACTGTTGTAAAGATCAAATGAGTTGCAAAGGTGAGATCTGAGCTATAAAGCGTTCTGCAGATGTCAGATATCAGCATTACTACTACACCTGCCTACAGAGTTGTCTATCATCTAATCACCAGTGATTTTCCTCATTTTCTGTGCAAAACACATCCATACTGGTATGACAATACTTTCCATCTATTACCACCAGTAGCCAATAAAGCAATATAATGCATCTTATAAAAATATGACTCTCTGATATTAGAGAATATTATTCCTAGCTGTGCTGGAAATAGTAATAATAACAATATTCTACAGTTAGTACCTATGTGTTATTAGTCTTTCCCTAAGAAGATGGTAAACTTCTCAGGAGAGATTTTCTCTGACACTTCCATGTCCCCTGAAAGAAGAGGATCATCTGGCAGACACTAAACAAATATTTGATGATTGTCAGAAGACACAGGCAATTCCCAGTTGTGAACAACTCTAGGGCTGGTCTCCCTCTAAAGGTAATTGGTTTCAGAGCCATAATTCAGCATATTCTAGCAGAAATGGTCCTTATCTCCCATCCCACCCAGAGATCTGGTTTCATACCTCAGCAGCTCACAAAAGGAGCATCTGCTTTTGGAGCAGAGGCCCCTGCAGATCCAAACAGGGGCAATAACCAGAACTGACCTGTTCATCTAACAAAGCAGCCCATTTGGAAGAGTGAACAGCTACCAAGGGGTCATGATGCCAGACCAGGTGGGCTCATATGTCACCAAAGTCTGGGCCAGGGGGCCGAGTATGCGTGGTTCAGTGTAGGAGAGGGGTAAGGGAAAGCTGAAGGCTGTGTCTAAGGTTTATTAATAGCTTCCCTTTCCACCTCCCTTCCTCTTCACTTTCTCATCTCAGGGTGACCTCCACAAGTCACACCACAAGAGAACATTTATTATTATTATAATTACAGTGATCATATTGGTATGTATGCTCACAGATGCCGCTGAACGTGTGGCGTGCTAGTTCTCCTGCATTTCCAATTCACAGTGTCTTGAAGCCAAAAATACTCTGCCATCAAATTGCTCCGTTGTGGCTTAAAAAAAAAAAAACTGCCTCCTCTCAGGGCAATTCTTCCCAATCCTTCACAAGTGCAGCCAATTCGATTATTTGTACCACCCGTCACCCCTACTCCTGCCCCGCTGCCCCACCTTCCACCTCCCTTCCCCTCCCCATAAGCAAAATAGCAATGTGCATGGCTAATTCACATGTCAAGCCTCCCTCGGATGAATGACAGGTTAATGATGTGCACGTCTCCTTAAATAATTCATACTTCTAATAACCACGTTACTCAGCACTGACATACACCGCCCTCACCAATCAACATGGCGGAGCGCGCGGGGTGAGGCAGGGCAGAGTAGAGACTTGCGTGGTTAGTGGAGATGGGGAATGAAGAGGCCCTCACCTGCCATCCTCATAGTCACCGGGAGGTACAGGCAGCTCTGGGAATATGTTGATCAGCAGCAGAAGCCACTGCACCACGTGGAAAAGGAGAGGGCAGGAGACCAGGTGCAGGATCAACATCTAAGGGGCCAATGGATCACTGGGCAGGAGAGAAGTCATTGTTTCCAGGGCACCAAGCTGTCTTTACAAGGCATGAACTGCATACTTCAGGGGCCGGCAGCCTTCACACTTCCTCCGTGGAGTCCCCCTGGATGTCCACACTGCAAGTCCTGGTGTGGAAGATCTTCTTACTCTCAACATTTTCTCTCGTATATTTTCATTTGTTCCTTGCTGCAAATTCCCTGGCCTTTTTCAGTTGTGTGTACGTGTCCTCTCATCAGTCAGGTGGTAGGTGTCCAACTTCCTTGTGTCACTCTGCAATGCCTGGCACAGAGCTCAGCATCTCTGGATATGAGGCCAGAGGAAGAGTATTCCTTTCCTACGGCTGCTACAACAAAAGACCACAGCATGGAGCTTAAAGACAACGCAACCTTATTTTCTTCCAGTTCTAGAAGTCAAAAGTCCAGAATGGGTCTTGCAGAGAACTAACATCGAGATGTCAGCAAGGCTGGCTCTGTCTGGAGGCTCCAGGGAAGCATTCCTTTCTTTGCCTATTCTCAATTCTGGAGGCTGGTGACATTCCTTGACTCATGATTCCTTCCTTGTGCCACCCAATGACTGGCTTCCATTGTTAAATCTTCTGTCTCCTCTCATCACTTGCCTCCCCTTATGAAGAACCCTGTGATTAGATCAGGCCCACACAGATAATCCAAAATGATCCCCCCTCAAGATCCTTGGCTTAATCATGTATGCAAAGTCCCTTTTGCCACATAGGGTAACATCCACAGGAAGTCCCTTTTGCCACATAGGGTAACATCCACAGGTTCCAGGAGTGGAGATGTGGACCTTTTGCAGGTCCACATCTGTAAGGCCAGTAATGCCTGGAGATGTGCATTACTCAGCCTACCACAGGCCAAGTACCTACAATATGCCCCAGCTATAAAACAAGGTTGCTGTGAAGCTAAGGAGAAAAGATATTATAAAAGCATTTAACACGGTGCCTGGGATATTAGTGGTTGACGACCGTTGGGTCTCATTATTATTGTTAACTTAACACACTACCAGACTCATCTGACAGGAATGAACACCTACTGCCAACCAGGAACTGAGCTGGTGCTTTGATGCATGTTATCTCATTGTATGCTCACTGCAAACCATGAAGTGGATGTGATCATTCCTCTTTGAGAATGAGACAATGCAGGCTGGAAGAATAAGTGACTTGCCCAAGGTCACACAGTTGATAAATGACAGAGCTGACATTAAAATCCAGATTTATCTGAATAGGCAAATAACAAATGTTCAACCAACACTGCACCTGAATCCATTATTTCCCCAAATAGGCCCAATGTCAGAAGCACCTTTGAAGCAGAGTAACAATACCAATTCCCAGGCCCACCCCTGGAGATGCATGTATGGAACCGGGCCTAGAATTTGTTAATTGGTATAGAATGGTTGTACAAACTTTGAGGGTACATATGACATCTTGATACATGTATACAATGATCAAATCAGGGTAATTGGGATATCCATCGTCTAAGACATTTGTCCTTTTGTGTTGGCAACACTCCAATTCTTCTCTTCTAGCTACTTTGAAATATACCATATATTACTGTTAACTATAATTTCCCTGTTGTACAAATGCTAGATCTTATTCCTTCTATCTAACTGTATTTTCATACTCAATAATGAGCTTACCTTCAACCCTCCCTCCCCTAGCCCTTCCCAGTCTCTGGTAACCACCATTTCACTCTCTACCTCTATGAGATATAATCTCACCCCAGTAAAAATTGATACTTTTTTAACAAGCTATCTGTATAACTCAAATGCGTGGGCAAGTTTGTAAAACAGGAACCTAATCCATCACCCTTAAAATGATATCAGTACCCTCACTGCAGTCCCACTGAGCCCTAATCTCTTTCAAATACACTACCCCCGACACACACTCACACACAAAATCAGGCAGTTTTGCAACAGCAGCATTATTGGCATTTAGGGGCTGATAACTTTGTTGTGAGGGTTGTCCTGTGCATTGCAGGATGTGCAGCAGCATCCCTGGCCTCTAACCACTAGATGCCAGTAGCACTCTCCCCCCAGTTGTGACAAATGTCTTCAGACATTTCTGAATATCCCCTGCAAGGCAAAATTTGCCCCTGGTGAAAAACCACCCAGATGGGAGGTAGGAAAGAATAGGTTGCGAGGGCAAAGGCATTGCCTGCTGCAGTCCCAGTCTTTGCTCTGCTCACACCCCTCACTGAGCTACAGCAGGTTGGAATGGGGCAGTGGGAAGTGCACAGCCTGGGAATTAAGCATGTTGGGGTCTCATCCCCCTTGCCTGCAGCTCAGTGTGTAACTGTGCAGCTACCCCCGGAGGACAGCCAGGTTCTCATTCACTCATGCACTTGTCAGTAAACTGTGAGCAGGGTCTGAATTTCCCTTGTCTGGGTATCGGTTTCCTTATTTGCAAAATGATGACATTAAACAGGAATATCTTCAGAGTCACCTCAAGTTCCAGGTTCACTATTTTCCAGCCAACTCTCCCAACTATGAGAAGGTGAGGCCAAAAGGATGCTTAATTCTGGGGTCCCAGAAGGAGGGAATAGCCACAGATACCTGCAGCGCAAGAGGTACCACTGTGACCTGGGCATGTAGGATGCCCCCAAAGCCTCCACCCCCCACCACCCCCATCTCCCTCACTCTAGAAGCAACTGTATCTCCCCCTTATGTACCTTTTTTGTTCTCTCTGCCTGTCTGCCTGTCATCACATAACAAAGTAAAACTATGAGGGGCTTTGTGAGGTTTTTTTTTTTTTTTCCCTGCTGCTGAATAAGCTTGGGTACTTGTATTTTTATTAAAGCTGATACCGTTAGTGAAGATAATACAGAAAAGTTCTCTGAGTATTACAATTTTTCCTGACCCAGGTTCTTGGAGAAGGATGAGCTGATACAGCGATCTTGGGTAAAAGACTAAAGAAAAGGCTGTGGGTGGCTCTCGGAGGGGGCCATGCAGTATGTCTGGATTCTGGACTGCCCTTTAAGAAAAGATAAATAGACAATCTTCCTTGCAAACTATATATTTGATGTAATTATTTGGCAAGGGTGCTCTACACAGAACAGACATTTAATTCCATTTGAAATTAATGGTATTTCACTAGCAGAGTGTGACCTGAAAAAGAAATTTTTTAAAGCCAACAACAAAAACACCCAAATATTAAGCATAAATGTCTTGTCCCATTTTCCAAAGGCAAATGTAATTGACTTTTAGATGAGGGCTTCCCGCCAGCCCCGACTACCCTTGCAATGTCTGGCAACATTTGAGCTGGCCTAGCAGAAAGAACTCAAAATACACATAAGAATTCCCCAACCTTGGGGAGCTTTAGGGAATAGCTCTGTGACCTGAAGGGAGATGTTAGTAAATAGCTCAGAGCTTGCTTCTTCCAGAAAACCTCCCCAGACCACCATGGACCCACAGAAACTCTTTCTGTAGATATCTTCATACAACCACATGTTCCTCACCTCCAGGTGGAATATTAGTACCTTTCACCTCCCTCCCCCTGCCCAGTGTACCCTCTCCCAGCGTCCTTAGCACCTATAATACTTTGCTGAGTATACTTGCCTACATGTCTGTCTCCCCAGTCACACTGGAATCTTCCAGAGGCAAATACCAGGTTCATTCACTTCTAGACCCTTAGTGCTCAACACCAACAAGTGTTCAATTTCTGCCTCTTTAATAAAAGAATAGGAAAGAAATATGGGCAGGAGGGAAAAGTTCACATCATCAAGCACTTGCCAGGGGTCAGATGTAGCTATGCCTCTCTGCTTCTACCTTCTTGCTATTCAAGTAAGCATGCTTTGTCTTCCAGAAAAGCAAGAAACCCCTGGCTTTCAAGGGCTGTTTCTTCTAAGCTTTAGAATCCCACCCCCATGGTGTGAGTCCAGCTCTAGAAACATAAATGCCAATGATGTTCTGTCTGGAGAATTTCAACTATGGTGCTGCCAAGAGGGACTGTCTAAATGCCATCCCCAAACTCAAATCCGTGCTGGAGTCTGTCATTCTGTCTTTATAGAACGGCCCCAGCTGCACTGTATTTTTCTGTCCTGATTGTCAACAGGAGCACACTGGCCATTGGCTTTCTAGTTCAGTACTCTGTGAGCTGAACATATCATCTCTTATGCACCAAATCATCATTTTCTTACTGCCAGTACTGATCATCATCACTGGGTGTCTGTGTGCCTAAAGTCAACAGATGTCTTGCAAGCAGGAAGCCCTTGACTTATATACATCTTTGCATTCCTAACACCTAACAAAGACTTGGCATGGAGTGTAGAAAAAGAAATAACACTTACTGAGCACTTACTTGCTTCAAACACTGTGCTGTGTGCTCTGCAAACATTCTCTCATTTATTCCTCAATGAAGAGGCTCTGTGCCTTCACCTATAAAATACAGGTGAAGAAACTAACACTCAGAGAACTTAAATTGCTGTGTGCCCAAGGCCAAAGCTAACTAACAGCAAATCTCAGACTGAAACTCAGGTTTCCAACTGCAAATCCCATGTTGCATACCATATTTCATCCCAAGGGTGAACACTCAATAAATGCTTGAGTTAAACTGAATTCCCAGAACACTCCAAAACTGAACACACACACATCCCAGGCTCCTCATAGCTTACAGATGCTTGGTAAAATTATTCTTGACTAACAAGAAATAATTAGAGTCTCTGGAGTACAGTCCATGAGAAATATGTCCTTGGGAATTAGAACATAAAACAAGCCTAAATAGGAATGTCTCAGCTCGTTGGTGAAGTTCATAAAATCACAGAATCTCAGTGCTGAGAGGGACTCTGGAAATCATCTAGTTCAAGCCCATCCTTTCACTAGAGAGGTAAACTAAGGTGCAGATGGAAAATGACTTGGTCAAGTTTGCACGTCAAGTTTTATCAATGACAGGGCCAGATTCCACACTGATCACTCCATGACCCCTTTTTCTTTTCAGATTCCAGTTCTAAATGTCCTGGGTGTTATTTCTCACTACCTGCAGCCCTCAGAAACAAGGCTCGAAGAGGAACTCCTGGTCAAATCTATCTTTCTTGTCAGGTAATTGGGAGTCATGGCCACAGACAGAAGCTGCCATGTCATCTCAACAATTAATCACCCGCGAAAGCCATTTCCCACCTCGTTTTCTCCACTGCCAGAAATATTATCCTTAAGTAATCAACACATGGCAGACACCATGCAAGGGACAACACTGCTTCCCCTTTCCCCCGGGGAAATGGCAGCGTCGACACAGGTTGCAGAGAAAGAAGGGGCTGTGGTGCAGCTGAATACCTCTGAGGCATGGGGATTAACAACATGGCCTTGCAAAGTTGAGTCATGAATCTCAGAGAGCCTCTAGAAGGAGGAAAGCCCTCTTCCTGCTGTCCCAGGGAAGGGCTGGGATAGAACATTCAGGCAAAAGTAAAGACTGATGTCCCACTGACAGCTGCGAGATTTGGGGTAGGAAGTCAGGGGTGATGACTGCAAGTAAACAGGATATGCACAATTTATGTTTTATAGGAAGGCATGTATCCCATCTTCATCCAGAAAGGATGGGAGATGGCTTGTGAAATTAAACACAACAGAGAATATTACACTTTTTAAGGTAAAATTTAAAACAATACTCAAAAACAATCCAGAAGGAACAGAGGATAGGTGCAGAATCCCCTGGAATGGTGCTAAATGCAAATTCTGATTCAGTAGATAGGAATAGGGTGGGAGAGTCTACCTTTCCAACAAGCTCCCAGGTGATGCTGACACTGCTGGGTTTTGGACCACACATTGAGCAACAAATATCTCAGAGACCTGCACTGTCCAGTTCTTGAGGACACTTGAATAACAGAGGTGGAGGAAACCAGCCTGGACTGATTCTGCTGACCTAAGCTGGGGCTTCTAGTTTGAGCAGTTCTTATCACTTCTTTCTCATGTACATCCTTTCACATATATCCCAATGTCTCATTTGGTAGATGAGGAAACTGAAGCTCAGAGAAGTTGACTAACTTTCCCAACAACACACAGCAGTGTCTGCCTCCCTATTCTGAGTTCCTCCTCCTCCACCCTGCTGCCTTCTGCTCTGTATGCTTAGCCCTGCGTCAGCTGGCAGTGGTGTGCTGGTAAATGTTTAAACACCAGCTCACTGAAAGGAAAAATAGAAGAGCCCAGATTTATAGCATTTACCAATTTCCATAGTGTAAATATTCTCATCATGGCCAATTTCTAGCAACTGATGTGCATTAAACAGCTCATAGAATTTCTGACAATTTATCAATCAGCTCTAAAAGTCACTAGGCAACAGCATACCACTGCAGCTGGGAATGAATCCGAGTTTCCAAGGGCTCTTGGTGCAGCCCTTGCCTACAAGGAACTCATAGCCTAACTAGAAGGACTAGGAAAGATTAACACACATGCTAGCATGCTGCAAGGAAAGGCCATGCCTCTGTGGTCTCAGATACTCGTGCACCTGTCCCTGCTGCATGACTGTCACCTCTCCAGCCTCACTGACCTCCTCGGGACTCACATGTGTGCTGCTCCCCTGCTTTAGATACCCACTCCTTCAATGCTCATGTTAAATGCTGCTTCTTCAGGGAAGCCTTGCCTCATACTATATCTCCCCATGAGATACCCCCACAGTACCCAGCATGCCTTCTTCCAGCCCATTCACATTTGCAAGTAATTTACTAATTATTGGTAATGGTTTACTGAATATGTCTTCCTCCCTAAACCATAAGGCAGAGGTCAGGTCTAGTTCATCTCTGTGTCCTTGGCATCTCCCTTGACTCATGTGCCAATATGTGCTTTTTGATGAATTGACTGACCATACATGCAACAGAAGTCTGGTATAAAAAGAGATTGGCAAGGCCAGGAATGATCAGAAAAGGCTTCCAGGAAAAGGTGAGAATCTGAGTCTTCAAGGACAAGCAGGATTTGGAGAAATGGAGGAAAGAGGTCTTTCCTGGCAGAGAACAAAGGTACTGTGATGGCAAAGATCATGGCATCTTTTGAAGACTAGAAGAGGCTGGATCAAAGAAGAACAGAGGGTGAATGCAAGGGAAAGCGGGGGAATAACGTCATGTGAGACAATAAGTGAATCCAAGAGGAAAAACGGCTTGATCTGGGCTGATGAATGAAACCCCACAGTGCCCAAAGTACCCAGCAGACATTGTTAAGAGTAACAAGAAAATGACAGAGATTTGGGCTGCAGCCAACCTGGTGGAATTGCTGAGGCTCCTTTCCTGAACTTAATCAGAGACACCAGAGAAGCAAGGAAGCTGGCCCCTAGGATCAATGCCAAAACTGTGAGACACAGGGTCCCTGTTGTGGGAGAGCAAGCAGCTGGGAGTGTGAGAAGGGCCAGGGCAGTGGACAGGTGAGGTCCAGGGAGACCTGCAGATGCAGATCCTTGCCCACCCACCCCTGCTGCACAATCCCCTGCCACCACCCCACCAGTCCCCTAGAAGCAGAGTTTCTAAGAAGCTCCCTAAGAAACAATGACAGAGGATTCTGGAAAGGAGGTGGAGATGACAGGCAGGGAGTGTTCCCGTCCAGGTTGCAACACCCAAGACGCCCATCCTGGGGTCATCCCCACACCCAAGCCCCACCTATCGAAACACAAGTCTTAGCCTAAGCATTGGCCCCTCCCTGCACCCAGATACACATTCCTAACTCAGAGAATGAATCTAAGCATCCCCAAAAAACCTTTCAAGGAGGCCAATTGGAAAAAGACAACAGTCGGAACACATGATCCAAGAGGAAGCCAAGGCTAGGGCTCTCAGAGGAGAAGAGGAGAACCTCCTGGAGTCAGCCTTGGTCAACTCACTTTCCCTCCCCCATCGTCCTTCTCATTGTATCTAGTGTGATGCAGGTTGCTTGAAGGGGTCAACCAGCACCAGTGGCATGCATGAGAAACTGTCTAAAATCCCTGTTGTGGTCCTGGACTACTCCTTATCCTTTGAGTGCATTGGCACTTGTACCAAACTTTGCACCCTCTATCTGAGAAGTAGGATATTTTACCTTCACGGCATAGTGAGCAAGGAGAGGCCATGCCTGTGCAAACATCATCTCATGCTCAAGGTCCTCCTGCTGCCTGGCTAGGCTGTCTCAGTGATAGCCTGCCACCCCAAAAGTTCAGCACACTGAGGTCCCGAGGATGAACCCTGGCCAAGATTCAAATTAGAATTCATTACACTGTGATGGGCACATCTTCTGCCCAGGGATCCCAGGGCCCTTTTAGAGGGTCAGGGGCCAAGCAGAGATTCCATGAGCCACCTCTACTCTTGCACACAGGGGCCCATCTTTCTCACATCAGCACTGCTTATTAGCTAACAACATCCACACAGAATTCAAGGAACAGAAAATCTTGAAACTGGAAAAGAGAGCATCTGACACAACACTTCTCAATTTCATGTGCAGAATCCCCTGGAATAGTGCTAAACGCAAATTCTGATTCAGTAGATAGGAGTGGGGCCTGAGAGTCTGCCTTTCCAACAAGCTCCCAGGTGATGCCGACACTGCTGGGTTTTGGACCACACGTTGAGCAAAAAGCATCTCATAGACCTACACTGTCCAACATGGCAACCATCAGCCCACGTGGCTATCAAGCATTTGGATTGTGGCCAGTCTGAACTGAGATGAACTGCAAGTGCAAAATATGCACCAGTTTAGAAGGCATAGTGGCAGTTTAGAAGGCATAGTGGGAAAAAAATGTTAAAGATGACAATAATTTTATATTGATTATACATTAAAATAGTATTTTGGATATACCAGGTTAAGTAAATTATTAAAAATAATTTCAACTGTTTTCATTTCTTCTTTGTTTTGTTTTTTTGAGATGGGGCTTCTTCCTGTCACCCAGGCTGGAGTGCAGAGGCTGGATCACAGCTCACTGCAGCCTCAACCTCCCAGGCTCAAATCATCCACCGGCCTCAGCTTCATGAGTAGCTGGGACCACAGGTGTGTGCCACCACACCCAGCCTATGTATATATATATATTTTATTTTTTTGGTAGAGATGGGGTTTTGCTATGTTGCCAAAGCTGGTCTTGAACTCCTGGGCTCAAGCAATCTGCCCACTATGGCCTCCCAAAGTGCTGGGATTCCAGGTGTGAACCCCTATGCCCAGTGTTCTTTTCACTTTAATGTGATGACTAGAAAGCTTTACATTTCATATGTGACTCATTGTACTTCTATCAAGCAGTGCTGCCACAGATCCTCCCATGAAATACAGTAAAACCCACAAAACTGGCATCCCCACAGATACCATGGAACTGCTTCTGTGGCCTCGAAATAGGAGTCCCCTTTTCCACTTATACACAAAAGTCCCACACTCAATTCTGGAAACACTGAGATAATCAAAAGCAAACAGATTCCATCTCTATGAGGTTTCCCAAAACCTTTATTCAGCTCCTGCACTTTGTGAACCTGCACTGAGGGGTACAGTGGACAGGGCTCCCAATCTCACATGTCCTCCCTACAGCAGCACATTGATCCAGATTTGTTCCTCACGTAAATTCCCAGGTCCCATCCCAAGCCTGCCGAATTGGAGTCCTTGAGAGTAGGTTGCAGCCCAGGAATCTAACTTTTTAATAGTTGGATATTCCTGATGAAATTGTCTTGAAATCACTCATAAGTGCTCTTTGATGACTACATGAATACCCCTAGTGACAAAGGGCTCATGACCTCATAGGGAGCCTGTTTCGCTCTCGGGCAGCCAACACTGCCATAACAGTCATCATTATCATTATCCCAAATGGCCCCCAAAAGAAAAGTCATCTGACAAAAGTGTATAATTTATAAGACTAAGCCAAGACTTAGGGCTCAGCATGCCTAAACCCTTCATTTTGCAGATAAGGAGCTGACACATACAGGGAAAGTCCTATTCAAGGTCGCACACACAGAGAGGGGACACTTAAGCCTCAGAGTCAGTGCTCACTCCTGACAGCATCACCCTAGACACCAGCAGCTAAATGTCCCTGGCTCCAAGCAGATGTCTCAGACTTCCTGGAGGCTGGGCATTAATTCTTGGTGGATCTCCCCTGGCTCTAACAAGTCTTGAAAATTCCCCCCTCCCTTTAGGTACCAGAACAGGATGCAGGTAATGCTTGCCAGCTTCTTCCATCAGATGCTGAATCTTACACCTGGGTCCCAAGCTCCTCAGCAGGCATCTCCCCAAACCTAGGCACATTCCCCACAGCAAGGACCATGGCCAGCCTCCATTCAAGGAGTAGGAATGTTCACTGTGGTCCTCCGGATATCTCCTCAGATACTCAGGTTCTGAAACTGTTTCCAGAAACAGAAACAGCCCACAACACCTCCGTGGGCACAGCATCTGGGATGGCCTCCAGAGCCAGCCCTGTGAAGTGGCCTCACCCTGGCTTTTCCTCTGGCTGTGGGCTGGTAGGGACCTAACATGCAGCAGTCTAGAGCCCCTGGAAGGAGTGTCATTTCTCCTGAATCTCTGCTCTTCCCTGTGCAATTGTGAAGAGCCCACACATTTCTCACACTACATGTTGGCTCCACTTTCTTAAATGCAAGTAAGTTGGCAGTTCTTTGACCCTCTCTTCTTCCACTCATGAAAACAGGAGAGGTGGAAGGTTTGGAAGATAGAGTGGTGGGAGAGGGGAGACACAGAAGCAAGGAAGAAACAAAGTGAAGCCTGTGTCAATATTCTGCAGAGAGGGTGCTGGAAAGTGGAGCTACTCTCTAAGGCCATTTGGATTCGGTCTGCATAGCCAGCTCCACACTTCGCCCCTGCCCTCTGTACCTCCCTCTGGGCCCAGGTCTTTACATACTTACCCACACTCTCTATGTGCTCTCATTTTGCCTCCATGACAGGTCACTCCAGTGTCATTCAGGAGGAGGAGTGTCTCTAATTAGGCAGAGAAAGTAGATGCTTCTTGCATAGAAAATTGGGTTGGAGGGAGCAAGGGGTAACCTCTGACTTGTGAAGCTTCTGAAGAGAAAATTCTCCATCAGCAGAAGCTGAACAAACACTGAATCACTAATAAGCACTGCAAGAGAATGAAGCTTCACCAATTTCTTCAAGAGCCCTGGTGACTTATTACAGGTGCTCTGTTTGATGGTAATGGATACCACACCATTGAAGAAAACAATAGACAGAAAAAAATCTTTTTGCTTATCTAATTTTTTGTTTCCTTTCTCCCATTCTCCCTGGCCCCGTCTCAACCACAACTTCTCCTTAAATATACTTTGTGTTATAAAATACAATTTAGAAAAAAAAAGTAGGACACAGTTTTTTCAGTATAACAAACTCTCAGATGTCTCAAAAACTATCTGTTGTTCACCTCCTTAATACTGAATTCCAATCCAATGTGCCTACTTATCTCCCTCTAAAGAAGGAAAAGTGACTGCTCTAAATGATTCTCAAACTTCAGTGCATGTAAGAATCACCTGGGGAGCTCCCAGAACAGTGCAGATTCATGGTGCCTTCCCTATGGAGTTAGATTCTGTGCATTTACTTTGGAGCTCAAGAAGCTGTACTTTAAACAAGTAAGACAGGTAATTGTAATTCTAAGGCAGTTCTCCTGTGAACCATACCTTTAGAAGCTCTGCTCTACAGTTCTGACCCAGGTCAAGGAGAATATATTTAGAGGTTTATTTTCAGAAAACATTTGACTCAAGTGCCAATTCTGCTTATTCTGTTAAACATCTGGGTTCTAGATCCCTTAGTATGCACTGTACTGGAGTACGATGAGCAATGCCTACAGTAAAACTATTCAAAGAGTGGCACCTATTGACCATGTTTTATACTACCAGCAAGCTCTAATAGACTCATAAATTTATCAAAAACCAAGAGTAGGAGGAAGGGGAGGAGAGGGGGGAAGAAGAGGGAGGGGAAGGGAGAAGGGAAAAGGGAGGGAAGGGAAAGGGGAAAGGGAAGGGGAAGCAGAAAGAGAGCGAGGAGAGGAAAGGGGAGGGGAGGCGGAGGGGGAGAGGAAGGCAAGTGGGAGGGGAAGGGGAAGGGAGTGGAGAAGGGGAAGGGGAACGGGGAGTGGAAGTGGGAGGGGAAGGGGGAAGGAAAAGGGGAAGGGGGAAGGGGGAGGAATAAAAACAAGGAGCAAGAAAGGGAGAGGAAGGGAAAGGGGGAAGGGGGAGAAGGCTGCAATTTCCAAAGACATGTACTGATACCTAACTTACCCAAGCTTGCCACAGTCAAGTCCTCTGGAATCAGCATTACAAAATATGTTGTTACTGCAGGCCCAGGAGGTAAGGCTTAGCCTGTATCTTAAGGTGGAACTTTATTGAGCAGGTAGGCTAGCAGTCCCAAGGCTCCTCGGGGCTTTTCCTTTACTCAGTGATTTGCAAAGCAGGACTTGCCACCCTCTTGAGAAGGTCATTTTTTCCATTGCTGCAGCACAGATTAAGTGGACAAACACTGCCCACTACTCAAGTATTTACTGATCATTTTCTCTATGTAAATCCTGAGCTGTGTCAGCACAAGTCACAGAATCAGCTCTCAGAGGGCTTACACTTAAGCTGGGAAAACAAGATGTTGAGAGTCAGAACCACATTTAATCAGAAGGCAAGGAGAACTTGGGGATGTGAGGCTAGTCACCAGAAGTATTGAAGGAATGTGAATCTGAGAACAACCACTTTTCCCATCCTTCCTCTAACCCCTGAAACATTAGAAACCTAAAAGATCATTACCCAGGGATAAATGAACCTTGTCTATAATACTGGAATGCAGATAATATTTATGTTAAATCAAACCACATAGTCATGGGGGAGAAGATAATGGGACAATATGTCACAGAAGGCCAATATGCACCCTTTGGGTGGAAACAGAAAGGAAGTTGCCATTTTCTCAAAAACAATTCAAGTTACAATGGAGAATTATACTCCACCACACACAGCACATTCAGAGGTACCGTGGCCCCACATCTTCTTGGACCCAGTGTGTGCTCTCTGCTTTTCCTTCCATCTACCACTTTTCCAAATCCTGTCTCCAACATGGCCCATACAGTGGCAGCAACAGAAAGTCAATGTGAATGCTCAACTGGCCACTGTGAAGGAGGACAGCATCCTCCAACAGTCAGCAGTATGGAGGGCCTTTTCTTGAATGAGTCATTCATTCATGATTCATTTACTGCTCTGTGCTAGGCACTGTGCCAGTGCCTGCGATACAAGAGTGAACACAAAGACACAGCCCCTCCTCTTCCCACAAAGCTCACATGAGACACAGACAAGCAAACAAGCACTGTGAATGCAATGTGCCTGGACAGAGGTAAGTACAGATGCCACTATTTGCTCCATGCAATGGTTCCTCTCACAACCCCACACGTGGGAGTGAGAGTGAAGGCTTCAGTATTGGCCAAAGAGACAAATACAGATGTGGTGACTGTCTCTGTTCCACCAAGACTCTCCTCAATCACTTTCTCAGCTCTGCTCATGAATACCACAGCAGTCAGACCATGGCCTCACACTGGCAGTTCACTCTGGTCTGATTTAACAGATTCACTGGGTCTGTCCCAGACTTAGTCCCAACTCCCCTCTCTCCCATGCTGACATTTTTCCTGGGTCATTTGGGGAACCCTGCTGAATGCAGCAGAATAATGCCAGAGTCAAGAAGAAGTATTGTTTCAAGAAAGTCCAGAAGATAAGGAATCCCCCAAGAAACAAAGCAAATCCCTAACCTCTCTAGCCCCAAAGGGCAAGTTAGTAGCTGTGGATACCAAGATGTTCCCCACACAGGCCTAGATGTGGGAACATAGTAAGGCAGCTAAAAACACAGACCCTGGAGCCAGACTCACTGGGTGGGAATCCCAGGTCTGACACTTATTAGCTGAGTGACCTTGGGAACTGCACTTAATTTCTCATTGGCTCAGTTTCCTCATCTGTGAAATAGCACCCAATTTATAGTTATTAAAAAAATTAAATGAGCTAATATGTACAATGCACTTTGAACTATTCCTGGCATAGTGCGAGAGCTTTGGGAGTTTTTATTAAATAAAAATAATTGTTATTTCTCCCCATCCAACGGCATGTAGGAAGGTCATCTAGATTCTATGCCAAGAAAGCTATCTAGTCACAACGTCCACTCTATGTCAGCCTTGTTGACAAAGTGCACAGGGGGCTGGCTGGAAGAAGGAACCAACAGTGACTGAATACCTGCTGTGTACCAGCCACTGGGTGTTTTCATGTACGTTATACATCACTTAATCTCTCAACAACCCTGAGAGGTCAAAATAATTACCTCCCATTTTACAGATAAGGAGACAGGGACTCAGAAATTCCCCTAAACTACTTAGGAGTTGGAGACTAGCTCCACGACCATACAGCTTTGTAAGGCTCCATAAACCTCCTCATTTCTTCATGTTGGTATTTGTTTGTTTCTACAAAAGACTGGGAGTCAGGCCCATAAGGGCAAGGGGCTTATGAGGAAAAGGAGAGTTGAGGAAACTGTCTTCCTGTCTCATCACACTCAAGGAGAGAGAAATTACAGGGGACAGAGGAAGTATGGTTAAGGTAGAGAGAAAAGACTAGGTTCCACGGGGTCCAAAGGAAAGAAACGTAAATATAGGGCACTCCCACAGACCTAAAAAGAGGTCTCAGAGCTTAATAATAGGAGTCTCTGGCTGTTGGTAGAGATTCAAACCTAAGTTAGTCCAGCTCTAGGGACCAGCCCACCACCTTCCCTGACCTCTGTGATGGCAGACATCACTGATCCATCACAGCACTCATGCCTTCAGGCACAAATAATCTCAGCATTTAGACTCCAGAAATCCTGGACAATCCATCAGAGTTGACTACCAGATAAAACCTATTTGTCATTTCTTCACTTCACCACGTTGCCAAAGGGAGTTTAAGAAACTCCCTGTCTCTGAAAACTGGAATAATCTACTTAGGGAACTGATTCATATGACACAGGAAACAGGTGAAAAATATATTCCTAGAGCCTGCTGGGTGAACCATAGTTAAGCATTCTGAAAAAAACATTACCCCAGTACTATGGACCAGGCAATGTAGTGCAATTAACCATGCTTTGAGAAGCTAATACTTCATTACCTTCTTGGCTCAAGCATCTAGAATACTTTATGATTTACAAATTACTATCACTTGACCCTACAACTACCTCACCAGGCAGCTGGGCACCTCAGAATGTGTAAAGCATAAAATTCTTATTAGTTTTAATGGTTTGTAAATCTTTTCTGTAGGCAATCATTTTTGCAAATAATTTTCCTTTGCAGTTCTCATACCCTTTCTTCCTTTTCCTTATTTTATTGCATCAGCTAGAATCTCAAAGCCTCACTACTCAGTATGTGGTCTATGAGCCAGCAGCATTGGCATCACCTGGAAGCTGGCTAGAAATACATAATCTGAAGCCCCACCTCAGACCGCTTCATCAGAATCTACAGTTCAACAGGATCCCCAGGAGTTCACATGCACATTAAAGTTTGATAAACATAGCACTGCTACTGTTGAAAAAGCAGAAGTAGTAAAGGTATCAGGTTTTTTTGCTCTGAATGTAATAAGAATGTATCACTATTTTCATCATTATTTATGAAGTTTATTATAAGTTTTTTAGATATCCTGCATCAAGCCAAAACAGAAAACTATGTAAAATTAATGTATTAGTCCATTTTCATTTTAATGAATTACCAGTACCTTCCACTGGTAATTCATTAAAAAAAAAAAAAAAGGTTTAATTGACTCATAGTTCTGCATGGCTGGGGAGGCCTCAGGAAACTTACAATCATGGTGGAAGGCAAAAGGGAAGCAAGGCACCTTCCTCACGAGGTGGCAGGAGAGAGAATGAATGCAGGAGGAACTACCAACCACTTATGAAACCATCAGATTTCATGAGAGCTCACTTACTATTAGGAGAACAGCATGCAGGGAACCACCCCCATGACTCAATTACCTTCCTTGACATGTGAAGATTATGGGGATTACAATTCAAAATGAGATTTTGGGTGGAGACACAGCCAAACAATATCAATTAATAACTTTGAAAAAATATGGTCTAAAGAAGCGTTGGCCACAAGATCATCTAGCTTGTAAGTAACAAGTGGAGCATAGAAGTCCACGCCTGTTCTGCCCTGATGGAGAGTGGCCATCATAAGGGAAGATGGACTAATAACAAATTATTCCCAGCTATCAATACATATTTGTGGAATGAATAAACTCTACTTTGTTTAATGTAATAGGTGTGTTTCCACATAGCTGAATGAACAGTAAATCCTAGATCCTTGACTATTTGTAAGCCACATGATTCAATCTGCAAAAAGAAACCTCTATTTTAAGGTACTCTGTACTAAATCTTCTCACAAAGAGGAAAAAATAGCTTGCTTCATGAAAATGTACTCCCTGATAGATTTTAATCAACAAGTGTTGATTGGGCACAGCTGTGTGCCTATAACTGTCTTTAGTTTTCATAAGTATTCAGAAGATAGAAGACAGTGGTTCTCAAATCTAGCATGCGTAAGAATCACCTGGAGGGCTTATTAAACCGCAGAATACTGGTCTAATCTCCCACCCTGAGTTTCTCATTCAGCAGGTTTGGGGTATGAACCAAAAATTAGCATTTCTATCACGTGCCAGGGACCACACTTTGAGAAACACTGAAAAAAATATCCTCCCTGCATTTAAGGCAGCAGTTCTCACTTCTGGCTGTACATCACACTCAACTGGAAAGCTGCTTAAAAATACTTACGCCTGGGTCCCTACCACAACCAATGACTCAGAAACTCTGGGGATGGAGTCTGAGCACTAGTATTTGTCACAGACTCCCAGGTGTATTTGTCTATTTTCACATTGCTATAAAGATACTACCTGAGACTGGGCAATTTATAAAGAAAGTAGATTTCATTGACTCAGTTCCGCATGGCTAGAGAAGCCTCAGGAAACTTACAATCATGATGGAAGGTACAGGAGAAGCAAGGATGTCTTACATGGCACCAGGAGAGCGAGCAAGTGAAGGGGAAGTGCCACACTTTTAAAACCATCACATCTCTCGAAAACTCACTATCATGAGAATAGCATGGGGGAAACTGCCCCCATAATCTGATCACCTCCCATCAGGTCCTTCCCTCGACACATTAGGATTACAATTTGAGATGAGATTTGGGCAGGGACACAGAGCCAAACCATATCACCAAGCGTTTCTAATGTGAAGTCAGAGTTAAGCAACACTGAGGCTTAGGTTTTGGTTGAAGAGATAAGAAAGACATGCAAAGACAGTTCCAGGGCCCTCCACGCAGTAGTATGCCGCAGCCAGCTGGCATCGTTGGAGAAAAGCAAATGCGTTTCCTGCTTCCCAGCTCTGCATTCACTAACACCACATTGTTAGCTTGAAATAACCCATGGCAGAAGTATTTACACTACAGAAATTGGTAAATGCTACAAATCAGGACTCTCCCCCTCCACCTAGAGAACATTGACCAGCACACCACAAATGGTCAGGCAACATGTGCCACAAAAGATGAGGAGATGAAATCCCACTAAACTGGGGTGAACAGGGAGGACTTACTGGAGGAGGTGGGGCCAGAGATGGACCAAAAGAATTAATAGGACCTGTGGAGAATGAAGGCTATCCACCTGGGTGAAAACATGAGTTCATGTTCAGAGGTGGGAACAGTGAGGGGACTGCACGTGCTTAAGAGAAGGATTCTTGTGGTAGAGGAGTGTTTCCATGAAATTTGGTTTCGGAAGTTTAGAATTTCACATAATGTGTCTCCATAGAAAAGCACACACAAGCAGTGTAGGCCCATATAGTGGCCAAGCTTATATTTAAGAATCATTAACAGGCAAAAGCAGGCAATGTTGCAACTGCAGCTTGCTGATAAGATACCACCCCAACCCTGAAAGTGCTTCCTAGGGATCTCCTGACTTTGTATCATGTCAACGCTTTACAGGCAGTACCTAAGAGGTACCCCAGACCAGTCCATCCAGCCCCCATTTTCTCACTTCAATGACAATAATCTGTTTGATCACATTCACCCTCTCCCAGAAGCCTTTAGTGGGGAAATTTGCATCTTCAAAATCCTCCTCTAATTCCCAAGGGGAGATTAGACTGTCAATATCCATTCAGGATCTTGGATACTCTGCAAGAAGCAGAGGGATCTCAGCTTACTGGAAAAACAAGATTTCAGGAAAATAAAAATTAAGGTTTGGGGTGGGGGATGGAAGAGCCTTGTCTATCCCTCCCATGAAAGGTCAAAGATAGGCCTGCAGGAGCCATTTCTGCATGCTTCCTGTACTCAGAACACTTGGCCTGTATCTATTTTCTTGCCTCTTCTCTCTCCAGATATGGTATGTATCTTCTCTCTCCAGATACACTTCATTCCTGTATCTGGAGCGAGAAGAGGCAAGAAAATAGAAAAATACCCATGAATATTTCATACAGTGCCTCTGCTGACTTTTTAGTTCCCTGAACACCCATTAAAATGCCACTGTAGTAATGTCATTGTTTGCTCGTCATTTTCTACCTTGCTCTTAGGAAGGAGAAAAAACAGAAATAATAATTCCTTGGTCTGATTGGGAGGTCACAGGAAATCATCTACCACTTGTACTAAGGCTTTTGAAGATCAAAGGGCTAAACAATCACATTTTCATTTATTTGGCATCATTCAAGGAGGTAGGATTTCCATAGAAGTACATTTTCCAGATAAATGAAGCTTATCCTTAAGCACCAGATCTGTTTTTGAATTTTAACCATTTCAAATGGAAATTATTCTAGAATGGTCTCTACTTCCCTGTTTTCTTCGATAAAACAAATGGAGAAAAAAAAAAAAACGTAATCTGTCCTGCAGTACTTCAGAATCCTCATTGTTAAGAGCATGTATTTTTACCAAGCTATCATACATGATGTCTCAGGCTTACTGTGATATTTAAGACTGCTTGTCTCTGAATCAAGAGACTCATACTGATGAGCTTTCTGAAGTCCTAGCTGTTTCCTTCCTATCTACAGTCTGTCTGTCGTCACGTCATATTGCCATCACAGTGTCTGCCTCTCATGTCAATTTTCCAATTCCTACTTCCTTCCCAATGATAACTTCTTGCTCTAAATTTGCTAGGAACTGAGAAAATTAACACTCAAAGTTATTACAATAATATGCAAAGAAAGTACTATAATAGTATATAAAGAAATAGTTACTGGGCTCTGAACAAGGACCAAAGTCAGTATTCTCTGAGAAAAATGTTCAACTTGGAGTACATAAAACTCTTGACATCTTGACTTGGTGTCTCTGAATTGTGTTTGTTTCTTTGTTGCTTCTTGATGCACCCTGGCTAGCAGAGGTTGCCTAAGAAGCAATTCTTAGATAAATGAGGTATTGTTTAATAATGTTTGATTAACAGGTATACATACAAGTGTTTATGGTTATTCATACATATATTAAGCACTGACTGTGTGCCAGCTGCTGTAGTGACAAAAGTTACAAAATCCTTTCCATGCTAAGTTCACAGTCTGGCCCTGAGACAAGGCACACAAGACCCCACTCCTGCTAATCTCTTCCACCTCACCACTGACTCTCCTGCTCAGCTGCCATTCTCCAAGCACTCCATCCTGAACACACCAGGACAGGTCCCTCCTCTGGGCCTTTGCACTTTGCTCTTCCCCCACCTGGGATTTTCTTTTGCAGATCTTTGCATGACCGACTCCTGTTCTTTCAGATCTCAGCTCAGCTATTGCCCCCCTGGGCCCCGTATCTCTAGCTGTCCCTTGCTTCCCCTCGGTACATTACTTTGTTTTGTTTTTTCTCTAGAACCTTCCAGAATCTGAAATTATTCTGTCCACTAGCGTGTTTACCATCCATTCACCCCAGTTCTGTACAAGCTCCTCAAGCACAGGGACCTCCTCTGTGTCAGCCACTGACCCAGAACCAACAGGACATCACCAGGCCGTGACAGATCCTCGACAGAACACCTGGTGAATCAGCAAATCAGCATAAATAGAATACAACGAGGTAAGTTACAGCAAAGGAGAGCAGAAAACACCTACCCAAGCCTGGGTGTAGAAAAAGATATCCCAAGGAGGTGAGGACTGAGCCGGATCTGAAACAGTGACTTGAGAAAAATAAAACTTGGGCAAAAAAAGTCAGAGGGTATTCCAGATAAAAGGTCACATATAATCAATATGCTGAAACTATATACTAAAGTAACCTTCACGCAATCTCAGCAGAATATTATCCAAGAATCCCCTGTTCTGTTGGAATGGCAGTGAGAGAGAGACAAGTCCCTCTTCAGTCATGTCCCCTCCCCAGGGGATTATTTGGCCCTCTGCAGATTCCAGAAAACACTCTCAAATCCTCTGTGTATGAGTTTGCTAAGACTACTGTAACAAAGTACCACTCAGTTTGGGTGGCCTAAACAACAGATATTTATCTTATCACAGTTCTGGAGGATGAGGTCCAAGATTAAGGTGTGGACAGAGTTGCTTCCTTTTAAGGGATTATCTTTTAATAAATTATCTTTTCCAGCCTCTGGCCAGCTTCTAGTTGTTTGATGGCAACCTCTGGCATTCCAGCTGCATCACCCTGATCTCTGCCTTAATGTTCACATGGCATCCTCCCTATATGTGTCTGTGTCCAAATTTCCCCCTTTTATAAGGACATCAGTCCTACTGGATCAGGGCCCACCCTACTCCAGCATGACATTCTCTTAACTAATCCCATCTGCAACAACCCTATTCCCAAATACGATCACATTCTCAGGTGCCAGGGATTAGGATTTCAACATGTAAATTCTAGGGAGACACAATTCAAGCCATACAAGACCTCATGTTTGAAACCGGTTTCCCTAACAGGATCTACTTCTTCAGAGTGAAGTCATGTCTGGGTCAACTCAGAACTGTGGAGGCATATCAGCCCTGTCCGGCCGCTAAAAAGGGAGCACAGAAAGAATGAACTCTGGGGCTGGAGAAGCTGCTTGGGAGAAGGACTAAAAGAGAGATGTGAGCCCATTCCTACTTGGCGAGGAGCCACAATATCCCAAAGTACCAGCTAGATCACCTAATAACCTCAATGACCCTGCAAGGTCTCAGCTGTCATTTTAAAGTGATGAAGTGTAGGGCATCCAGGAAAGGAGACATCCCAAAGCTAGAATGTTCAAAGGCCCGGGATCTTGGAGAGACACTAAACAGATGAGAAAAATGGAGACAAAGTTTCCCCCTCTGCAAAATGAGAAGTTAGACAATGGCCCCTACAGACTCTCCCTACCACCTTAATCTATGGTTCAAGGCTGTGCCATACTTTATACTGGGTGACCACTTGATAAACATGTATCAAATAGTTGAAGAAAGGAATAAATGAGTGAGATTATAGCCATAAAGACAAAATGCAGTAACCCTCATTATGGTTACACTCCACCCACCCCTGCAAAAATAAAGTCCAGGAATGAATCTGAGTTAAAGATCATTGCCCTCTGGAAGTACTTAAAATGGAATAATATCATACCCACCGCAACAAAGCAGTTTCCAAACACACCGAGGGCCTAATTAGGCCTCAATATATATGCAAACGGATCCTGCCAGAATTTTCCTTGCCTCGAAACACAGATCTCAGACCCTTTCTCCTCATCCAAGTCCTATTCATTGCTGGGGCTTAGTCAAACTTCATTCCTCAGTGTGGAGGCTCCCAAAGGATCTACTCCAAGAAGCAATTATTTCCAGGGCTGAAAATTCTCCTGTTTTTATGTTCCAGACTGATGTGAGTTCCTCCTGCAAAGGGCTGAGAAGCTACAGCCAAGAATACAATCAAAGAGAAGGACAACCTGTAAGCTTAACTTTCCCTTTGTACTTTAGACAGCCACTATCAGCATCAAGGCAGCGGGTGTGGGGGGGGGGGTGGTGGCAGTGGGGAACCGCAAGTAGAGAATCAAGCACACACCTGTGCTGTGAAACTTCTCCCAGAGAAAATGAAAACACCTCCATTTAATGCTAGGATTTAAGAACAGAAATCTCTTCAGAAATGAGAACTCGAAAGAAAGAAAAGGAGAAAAAAATGAAGAGAAAGTTCACACCCCCGAACTGAATTTCAAGCCACCACCAAAAGGCAATATCCAGCTAAGAAAAAGCAAAGGAAAATCCCCCCAACCCAACAATAAAACAGCAGCCCTCTGAATACACAAGCACACAGACACACAAGGCATCGGCTCTGTGGCAGAAGCGCAAAATTCACAGTAACACCTCGAAACGCAAAAGCAGCTGGAAACTGTGGCACACAGGGAGACTGCTCTGCTGTTGTACCTGCCTAGTGTCTGAAGGACAAGTATCCCTTGCCTTGCATTGGAGAGCTTTGCAAATGAGATGAAGATCCACCTGCAGTGAGACTCAGGATGCACTGAGGACAAGAGCTAATGGCAATTATTTAGTTTTAATAACTGGGTAATTGCTGACCGGACCAGCAGAAGCCAAAAGGCCAATGCCTTTGCTTTGCCAAGAAAGCCAAGGGTTAGATGTTAACTGCATACAATTATGTGGACAGCTGCCCTGGTCACCTCTAATTGGGTTGTGCTGCCACATGATGTGGGGACAGAACATTTGGGTCAGGGGGCCTCTGGCAGACCCACCTGGACAGAGCAAGCACAAACTTTTGTGAGCTATAATTGGCTAAAAAAAAAAAAAAAAAAAAAAAAACCCTTAACTTGGAAAACAGCAGCTGTTCAATGCTGGAGTGAGTTAGAAGTCCAAGGAGATAATGGTTGTTGATCTTGTACATGGACACAGATCTTCCAGCTTCAGTAGAAGCCAAGGGACTATCTCCAGTGGTCCTGAAAGCAGGTGGAACGGACAGAAGATCAAGTCCTTAATATTCAGTCCCAGAAATCACTAACCCAAGTATCAGAATGTTCCCCATACACTAGCACAGAGCATGAACTTTCAGGATCCCAGCCAATGCACTGCCAGCAACTTCTAAAGAGAGGTACTAAAGCTCACAAGGGAGCTGTCTTGAAAGTGTTACCCTGACCACTGTCTGAGGATCGGTGCCATCTGAGGCCCGCCTGGATGCCACAGGCAGCCTCCATTCTGCATGCTCTTCCAGGTTCTGCCCCTTGCTGTGGCTTTCTCCACTCTTGGGATGCTTTCTCCACTCCCATTCAAACCCCAGCTGATAGATTCCCAGCTCCACCTTTCACCCACCCTTACCCTGCCTACAAACTCTGTTTATGAAGAAGGTGCTGAATAAGCATTGCCTGCCCTTCCTAGTTATTTACCCCTGCTGAACTCTTTGAGCTCTCCATCAGCTTCAAACTCAAAGGATCCTTAGAGATCATCCAGTCCAACTTTATAGATAAAAATAAACCAAGGCAGGTTCCATGGACTATTCAGACATTCTTTTATTTCTATTGCGTGTAGAGGAACCTCATCAGTCCAGTATGCTGTATACTTCTGAAGGACAGTGCTCTTATGTGATCCTATATGCACTTTTTATATGCCCCCATAGTATTTAACATAGGTGTGGAGAGAAGTAAATCCTTGGTAAACAGCTGTCCATTAGTTCACCACCATGCATCCTCTTACTCACAGTTCACTGATGGCCTAACTCTAATAATAGTGTTGCGAGGCTCAGAGTGACCTCGACTTCCTCTAACCACATGGATGAGGAGCCACATAATAACTTAATGATTTTATAAATGAGAAAACCACTTTGGCTAATGTTCAACATGTAACAGGCAGCAAGAAAGGGAAGCAGGGGCTGGCTCCCCACTGCCTCATTCCAGACATGTCCCTAGTCAGTCTCCACTCAATAACTGGGTGCACAGCTTTGTGTAATTAAGGGTACTTAAAAGCCCCCACAAAAAAATACTCAGTCCTTGATCTTAAGGACTTTCAATCTAATGGAGAAAACAGACAGGAACATTGATCATTATGATTCTGTGTGATAACTGTGATGAGGAAAGGCAAAAATGGTATTATTCTACATCATCAAATGAAACTCATATTGCTCTTCTGCCTCACAAACATGATCCCTGTGATCAAAACTTGGCTGGCCTGAATGTCAATGCCCCCAGCATACCTCTGCTTCTAGGTTTTTGCTCACACCATTCTCCCCACCTGGAATGTCCTCACTCCTATGTAAATCTATCCCATCTTAGAAACTCAAGTATCAAATTGAATCCTAAATTCTTCAGGATTATTCTTTTCATCTAGGTTTTCCTTAACTACTCTGCCACTTTCATTCTGCAACACTTAGTTTGTCTCTTATGATATTTCCTGTTCAATTCTTATGTCCTTATTCAACTCTCATGCAATCTTATTACTGATCTAAATTTTAAATTCCTTAATGTTAAGTCCCAAGTTCTCTTCTCAAGAAAATTCACATATGGATAAGTCCCAGGTACATAGTGAGTGCTCAGTTATATCTCCCTGCAAAATGAATGTATGAATGAGTGACTGAATATGTTTTTGTGGAATGAATGTATGAATGATTGAATGAATGAATATCTCCTTGCAGAACAGCTGTATGAATCATTGAATAAAGGAATGAATGAATGTACCAAATCATTGGTCAGGTTTCAACTGTTAGTCAATAATTCCAAACAAAATCTATCCTCTGCCTGCCTCCTCTCCTCCCTATTACAAACTAACACACATATATTTATACACTATTAATACTATTTTCAGTCGACCAGAAGGAATTCACCGGTAATGCATTAGCCACAGAGCTCTGCTAAGATTAGCTGGGTTATTTCAATTGCACCTTTTCTAATTTAATTTCTTCTTTGGCATCCCCCTCCAACCCACCCTGACTCCATCTGGATTATTTCTGTGCTTGGTGAAAAGGAGAAAACACATAAATCAGCTGGCAGGAATAGGGTGTAATTCTAGGGTTCAAATTGCCATCCTCTAATGACTGGAATAAATCTTTATAGATGCAAGTAAACAAGATGTCAATATATGGGCACAGAGGTCAGGGCGTAGCCTAGCAGGGCCCCAGCAGGGACTGATTTCTATAATCAGCTTTCATTTATTGATGAATATCCCAAGTTACAAACAAGCTTGATGAGAATCATTTCCTAAGTAAATTTCCATGTCCTAGAACAGGAAGCAAGGCCCCAAGCCCAAACACTGCTCTCAACTCCAAGTCTCAGGGAAGCTTATCTATCTTTCAATGTATGTCTCTCTCAACTTCTCCCTTAATAGCACCTAAAACCAAAAACGCCAGGGGGGTAAAGTTTTTCCCCCCCTATTCTGGACTTTGTGTCTAACATCTGCCATACCTATAGGTATGCAGCAAAAGTGTTGCCCTCTAAAGGTTACAGTATAAGGGCAAGCAATGATGCTCAAAGGTGCCCATGATTCCCAAACCTGGCCATACAATCCAATCACCTGGAGAGCTGGCTAGCTACAGCTGGAGAGATTCTGGAGGCCCTGCGTGGGGTCTGACAATCTGATGTTTAACAGGGGCCCCGGATGATTTTGATGTAGCAGACCCATATGACAAACTGGTAGAGAGCAGAGAAACTCAGTGTGATGGAAACAGCATGTGCTTTTGACACAGGCAGGCCTGGGATAAAATCCCAGCCCTGTCACTTATCACAAACGGGTAAGCTGCTTAACCTTGATTTAAGCACCAAACATTCACAAAATTAGTAGCGCAGTGCCTAGCACATAGCAGAATTTTAGTAACTAGACCAGCCCAAATAGGGCCCCTGAACTCTACCTCTCAGACTGCCTGGCCCAGTGCAAATTTCACTAAATTATATTAGGTCTACCAAATTAAGACTCTTTACAGGATGTAACTATGATTTAAACCTTCCAGATATATACATTCTCAACTAGGAAAATAAATAGTACATTTGAGGCTTCTGAAAATATGGTCAGCATAATGATAGCCCAAAATTCTTGTAGCTATAGGTCAGCCTTGGACTTTTTGGTCATTGATCTCTGAAGAATGTCACAATAATGCTGCCTCATTCATAACATGGTGCCATAACATAAACCCCAAGGACAATGTCACACTAGTAAATAAGATTGAGGATAAGGAAGTCCTTTGAAAAAGCCTACTATAAGGTAATGAAAGTTAGTGTATTTTAAAACTACGTTTAGAAAGGAGGGAAAAACCATCAACAAAGTCACAAATTAGGATCCTTACACTTCTATTATCAAAGTTAATCATTCGTATAGTATTAGGAAAAGAGCTCTTGATTAAAAGCTAAGTGTTGCTAGCAGTAAATACTTAACACTCTTCCTGTTCTTCCTTTATTCAAACATTTTATATTCAGTGCATCTTTCAGAATCCAGCCTTAAGGGAAACTTTCATTCGGGTCTTTAGTGTATTCATTCTCCTCTTGACATAACCTGGCCCAATCATTCTACATGAATGTAGATCACTTTTCCTTTTATATTTCTTGACACGAACATTCAAGAAAATGTGCTGGTAAATATCACTTAACCTTTCTCAAACAGTGAAGGTGGCCCTGGTTCCACCCATCAAATGGATTCCTTACTCATAATTTAACAAATTAGAAGGTGCCCTAAACCTTCTTCTGTGGGGAAGACCCAAGTAAATCTCATTTGGATAGATTACCCATGGTTGTCCAAAGTCAATGCCAAATTCTTAAAATATAGCTAGCCAGGTACAACATTTAATTAAAAGGTCAGTCAATAGAGTGAACATACTCCTACTTCAGTGATAAATTACTAGAAGAGTTTAGTTCAAAATTACTTTTGAAGCCAAAGTCCCAGTTTCCATGAAAGTTTGTTTGTCCATTTGTTCATTTGTTTGTTTGTTTGGTTGGTTGGTTGGTTGGCTTGGTTTGGTTTTTCTTCAAAAGCCCCATGAATTCCAACAAACCCTTTCCAAGGTTGTTGAATAACCAACGATAAAAATCTGTCTACAGGCATTTAGGATATATAGAAAATACTTAAACTCTCTATTTTAAGTTGATAGTAACTATCAGAACCTCAACAGTAACTTAATTATTATATACCTCCTCAGACTGCTCTATGATCTTTTGTTTTTAACATAAAATGTTCAGATGAGAGTAATGAATTCCATTTAAAGGAATCAAGCGCTGATGAAAGGAAGTTATATTTTAATCACTGCACAGATGTAACAACAATCACAATGGGACACGCCTAACATCCCTAAGATCGTCTTCTCAAATAAATGGAAGAGGGAGGCTAAATATATCTGTGGTCCAGCCTCTGAGCTGGCCCAGCCCACAGTAAAACTGTGAAGTGACTTAAATTTGCCCTTGAAGTCCTTCCACTCTTTTACAAGCAAGGCTTACCCTCAGTGGTGATTCCCCTCCCTTGCCAAGTTTGCCAACTGTGGCACCTTACTTGGCTTTGCAATCCAAGCAGTGTCCCATGCTCCAAAATGATCTCTCTCTTTTCCTTATCACAAAAAAATAATGCTTTAGCCAGGTGCGGTGGCTCATGCCTGTAATCCTAGCACTTTGGGAGGCTGAGGCAGGCGAATCACTTGAGGCCAGGAGTTCAAGACCAGCCTGGCCAACGTGGTGAAACCCCATCTCTACTAAAAATACAAAAAAAATAGACAGCATGGTGGCAGGCACTTGTAATCCCAGCTACTGGGGAGGCTGAGGCAGGAGAATCACTTAAACCTGGGAGGCGGAGGTTACAGTGAGCTGAGATCGCACCACTGCACCCCAGCCTGGGTGACAAAGCAAGACTCTGCCTCAAAAAAAAAAAGTTTTAAGACTGTGCTTAACAGAGCTTTTAAAGGCAACTAATCAGAAAACCTCATTCCTGCTGCTAAACTATTATATATATATATATATATATATATATATATATATATATATATATGCTTCCTATTAGCATTTACATTTTTTAAGTGAGCATATAAGAACTTAATTGAATAAAAACCCCAGTGACAAAATCCCAGCCACAGTACAAGGTCATTGTGGGAGAGTATCTCTGGGTAGGAGCCACCTCCATTTCCCTCCTCATATCAGACTACTTAAGTGAGCAGACACAGAGCTATAAATGCACCTTCCCTGCGATGGGATTATTATAGCTTGTTTTCATCACAGAATGTCATGAATGAAAGGGATCCTGATTTTAGCCTCTCATTTCACAGCTGAGTGAATACAGACCCCAGACATTAAATGATTGCCCCAGATGCACAGCAAGCTTTAGCTATCTCTCATTCACTCACCGTGCCTTGCAAGGGCTTTGGAGCAATGGACCTATCCTAAACTCTCCAGTGTCTACTTAACCCTTACCTCCAATCAAGTTTTGTTTCATCTGGATGAGAGCAATTGCCTCCTAACTAGTCTCCCTGACTTCAGGCTGGCCCATCTCTTGCAGGATGGTCAGAATCCTGTCACTCATCTGCTCAAAATGTTTAGAGTATCCCCATTTCAGGACACACCTATAATCTGTAGTAATGCCATTTGAGACCAATCCTACATTACATTCCAACCCAGGATTTTTAATCTCCCATAAGAGAGAGTCCAGTACCTCCCAGGAAAACTTATAACCAGGCATTCCTATTAGAAATGTATTCCTTATTTTGACCCCAAATTTATCTCTCTGTGGCTGCTACAGATTAGCACCAATTCCACAATCTCATACTGCATTAAACAATACTAATATCTCCTGTACTTGACACCCCTTCCTGCATCTAAAGGCTGCTATAATGTCTCTTTTTTGCCCTCTCTTTCTTGCTGTGTGCTTCTCCCTCTCTTGTATGTCTTCCAATTTGTCCATATCTCATTATGTACCCACCAAGGCAGAAAAATTATTCTAAATTAAAATATTATAGACACGATATTCCGAACTAAGAAATGCATAGTTCCAAGAAATTATCCCCATTCTCATTCTAGAATATAGGTCTATTAAAATAGATTAAGGCTTTGTGAGTTTTTTTGCTTATTGTATCACAGAATTGACTCATAGTGAACCTTGAGCTTACTGGTTCCCAAGCTATTTAATATTTTACTCATGCTACTAATTCTCTGAAACATCTACCTCATCCTATTTTGTGCAGTTTAATTTTGGGATTTGTAGAACTTTACATTTATCCCTGCTACATTTTGTTCTGTTAGACTTGGCCCAGATCTCTAGTCTATAAATATCATTTTATATCCTGTTTCTGTCTTAGTATTCACTGTCCCATCCTGTCTTCGTATTATTTGTGCACTGGGTACAATTTGCCATCAGTATCTTCACCAACCTGAGAAAAGTGAAGCCTGCATCTCTTAGGTAGACTGGAGGGCAGGACCAAGGACAGGGCCCTAAAGTTGGCTACTTGGGACACTATCTTCAGGTTAACTTTCAACCACTGGTCAGTATACTTTGAGTATAATCATTTGGCCAATTATTAACCCATCAGTTTTCCTTACATACAAATACATTCCATATTGGCCACAAAGATACCACAAGGAAGTTGTTCAGATATGTTGCCGAGGTCCATTCTGCTTATTTTTTTTTCTACCTAATAAGTCTGTGACCCTTACGAAAGCAGTAAGATTTATGCTAGCATGAATTGCTTGCACCAAGCCCTCATTGCAGTCCCAGTGATCATCACCTCCTCTTCATTATCTTAGTAGCCCCTTCTATAATCTTTCCCTGGGTCATTTTCAAGCCCACCATTCCAGGATCATGGCAAACATCATAGTATGTAATATAAGTTAGTACTACCCACTAACTGATACTGCACACACCTTGTCTTTGCACATGTTTTCAAACAAATTGCTTTTAAAATGTGTCTGATGCTGATCAAAAAATTAGTTATATAGCCATTTAATAATTTAATTTTTATCATTTGTTGGTTTTCAAAGAATAATGCTCATTTTCATTGTTTTTGCAAGGAATCTATTATATAATTAAATAGTACAGACTCAGGAAATACCAGTGAGATCACGGCTTTAAAAAATAAAAATCTTTCCATGAGGAAATCAAATAAATAAAATGAAAAATATGAAATGTATGCAAAATATGAAAAATAATTTACTAAACAAAATGAAAAGTGACATGACTGGCCCTGTCCATTGCACTGGCTTTGGAGTCAGCAAAGTTGAATTCAGAAGCTTTTGTTCAGTTCATACTAGTGGTGTAACCTTGAGGAAGTTACCTCCTCTTTTCAAGGCCCATCTCCCTCATTTGTGGGATATGGATTATCCTAGTGCCTCTGCTGAGGGGGCTGGGAATATTCAATGAGAAAATAATGAATTTGTACAGTTATTGACATACAATAAGAACGCACTAAACTTGATAGTATTTTACATGCTTCCCTTTAAAATCCACCCTTTATATTGAACACTTGAGCCAAAGATGCCCCAATTTTTAAGAAGCATGAAATATGAAGAAGACATAAAGATTTAAAAAGAAAAGGAACTAGGAAAACAGCTGATGCAGAAGTCACAATCATGTTCAAAGTGATAAAGCATTCCTTGGTCTGGTTCTGGGCTTGCACTTCTAAGGACAAGATCCTTCAAATTGCTTCGTTGTAACCATTACACACACACACACACACACACACACACACACACACACACACCCTATACTTTGCACAGAACAAGGTACATGGTCACTGCTCAGTAACCACACTTGATTAATCCTCAGAGTTGGAAAACAAGAAGTAAAATCACAACTCTCCATGCTACACAAAAATTAACTGCAGTAGACATGAAGCAGGTTACCCAAAAGCCCCTTCCCTTGGAATTGCCTGCCCCCCATGGAGTGGTGACCTTCTCATAGCCATGCTCCTGCTTCAGGACTCTGCCCATTGGTCTCAGCAGATTGGCTTAATGGTGGACACCTGACCACAGCTGGGAAAACTGGATTCCCTCTTCTGGGAATCTGCTGGAAACCTAGTTACACTATTGGTAGAGACCCGGAAGGAGAATCTAAAGAATTCTTTTTATTTTTTCACAGATGGAGTCTTGCTCCCTTGCCCAGGCTGGAGTGCAATGGCACGATCTCAGCTCACTGCAACCTCTGCCTCATGGGTTCAAGCAATTCCCCTGCCTCAGCCTCCCAAGTAGCTGGGATTACAGGCACCCGCCACCACACCCAGCAAATTTTTGTATTTTTAGTAGAGACGGGGTTTCACCAAGTTGGCCAGGCTGGTTTCAAACTCCTGACCTCAGATGATCCACCTTCCCTGGCCTCCCAAAGTGCTGGGATTACAGGTGTGAGCCACTGCACCCAGCAGGAGTCTAGAGAATCCTATCCCTGAGGCCTGGATTTTTCCTGATCCCTACCATTTTGAGGCTCAGTTTTTTCCTGAAATACCTACAGTATCTTTCCATTAAATTTTCTTTTCTTCCTTAAGTGGATTCCAGACGGTTCCCATTGCTTTTAATTTTAAAAGAAAGGAAAATAAACTGAACTGATATACTGATAATAATGGAAAACAATAATACTGATTTTATCGGGCTGGTTCTGTCCATTGCTACAACTGCTGTGGCTGATATAAATAACCAAAATAAGATCTAATAGTTTATTATTTGCTAGAACAAACTGAACGGGACTCAGTAAAGTTCTCTAAGAAAGAGATTATAGAATCATGCCATCAAAATATATCATCCAGATCTATAAAAAGAGAATGGATTTTAGATTCAGACCACATGACATCAGAGGAAAGCCAGAATTTGCCAAAACAGAGACTTTTCTGAGAAGATTCATTGAGACCTCATGACAAACTTAGCCAATATTGGTTATTGTGCTTACTACATGCTAGCTACTGCTCTAAGGGCATTTACACGCATTAACTCATTTAATCCTCACAACAACCATGTCATGTTGGGCTACTATTATTCCCACTTAAAGATGAAGAAACTCAGGGAATAAAGGAAGAACTTTCCCAAGGTTTCATGGCTAGCAAGGGGTTAGATCCAGGCTTTAAACCCAGTGCTGTTCAAGGTGCACAGCTGGTCTCCTGTTCCAGCTGACATGCTCAGTGTGGAAGTGCTAAGGCAGAGGCAGGAGACTGCCTTCCAGGAGTTGTTACATATTTTCTACTGATGCCTCCTACATGCCAGGAACTGTGCTAGGTGCTGAGAATGGTCCGAGCAGTGTCTCTCTTAAAGAACATGACTCCCCAGAGTTATAGGATAATGCACAGAGCATAGCACAGTATCAAGCAGGCATTCGATAATCAAAATTCAACCTATACACCACATATGGGAAGCATTTCTTGCCTCCTTGCAATCTACAGGTTAGATTAGCCTCTCATTAACTCTCCAGGAACTCCATGCATCTGTCATAGATTTCTCAGCGTATTGGAAGTATCAGTATGTCTATCCACTCCCCTTTAATTATAAGAATTCATGTGGGTGACTGTACTGTTCATCTACCTCACTAGAGCTGAGAAGCATTCTCAACATGGATAGACCCTCATTCTACCCATGTTGTTCAGCATTCCCAATATGCTCAACAAATGTTTGTTGAATGGACTCCTTAATGTGACTGATTACTTCCCTAGAAGCCCATCCTCAAAAAACAGAAATCATGGTAGGACAAACACTTTGAGCAGCTGGTTCATCAGCAGAGTTGGGTTTGTGCTAAACCATGTTATTTTCCATCCATCCTGGAGGTGACCAGCCAGATGGGGGAGGTTCAGACTGACCACAGAACAATGGACCAACGTTCTCTGGAATTGGCATCATTAGTCTAGGCATTCAGCCACTTGAAGGAAGTGAGCCACCCTTAGTAGAGCAAGCATGAACGTGAATTCACACAGACTTGGAGTTGAATCCCTGCCCTCAACCCAGTAGTTGTGTAACTGAGCAAATAAACCTCTCTGAGCCTCAGTCTTCTCATTTTAATACTTGTTTCTCATAGTCATTCTGAAGATTAAATGAAGATCACATAAATTAGATGCCAGGACATAGTCAATGTCAATACATATGAATATCCTACCCCTGGCTAATGCAGCATATGTCCTTTAAAAGTATATACTGATCCTTGAGCCTGAAGGACATTATGCTAAGTGAAATAAGCCAGGCACAGAAAGACAAATATCACATTATCTCACTTTTACGTGGACTCTAAAAAAGTTGAGCTCATAGAAACAGAGAGTAGAATGAGGGTTACAGAACCTGGGGGAGCGGGTGGATGAGGAAAGGAGAGATGGTGATCAAAGGGTACAAAGTTTCAGCTAGACTGGAGGAATAAGCCTTAGTGATTTTTATACAGAATGGTGACTATAATAAATAATAATGCATTGTATATTTCAAAATTGATAAAATAGATTTCAAATGCTTTTACCACAAAAAATGGTAAGTATGTGAGATGATGGATTTGTTCATTAGCCTTATTTAATCACTTCACATTGAAAACATTTATCGCTGGTGCGGTGGCTCACGCCTGTAATCCCAGCACTCTGGGAGGCCAAGGCGGGCGGATCACGAGGTCAGGAGATCGAGACCATCCTGGCTAACATGGTGAAACCCCGTCTCTACTAAAAATACAAAAAATTAGCCAGGCGTAGTGGCGGGCACCTGTAGTCCCAGCTACTGGGGAGGCTGAGGCAGGAGAATGGCGTGAACCTGGGAGGCGGAGCTTGCAGTGAGCCGAGATCGCACCACTGCACTCCAACCTGGGTGACAGAGCGAGACTCCACCTTAAAAAAAAAAAAAAAAGAAAACAGTTATCAAAACAACACATCATACCCATAAATATATACAATTATTATTTGTCAATTAAAACACCACCTTCAAAATAAATTGGGTCATAATTTCTTCCCCCAAATAAGTATGTACTTATCCTTTTGATATGGATGCAACCTAAGTGTCCACCCATGGCTGAATGGATAAAGAAAATGTGGTATATGCATCCAATGGAGTATTATTCAGCCCTAAAAAAGAGGAAACCCTGCCATTTGTGACAACATACAAGAACCTGGAGGACATTATGCTGAGTGAAATAAGCCAGACACAGAAGGACAAATACTACATGATCTCATTTATATAATGAACCTAAAATAGTCAAACTTATAAAAGCAGAGAGTGAAATGCTGGTGTCTGGGGGCTGGGATGAGGGGGCAAGTGGGAGGTATCAGTCAAAGGATACAACGTTTCAGTGATATAAGATGAATAAATCCTAGAGATGGACAGCGCAGCATAGTGCCTGTGGTCAACAATTCTCTATTATATACTTAAACATCTGCTAAGAGGGCAGATCTTGTGTTAAGAGTTCTCATTACAAAATAATAATAACTAATAAAAAGGGCAGGAGGAAACTCTCGGAGGTGCTGGATAGGTTTATAGCATAGATTATGGTGATGGTTTCAAGGGTGTACACTATTTCCTAACTTGTCATTAAATATTTCACATACTTAAAATATGTACCGCTTTTTGTATGTCAGCCATAACTTGCTAGTTTCTTCAAAAGTATACTTCTATATAAGTATATACTAATAGATCCTTTTAGATGTTTTGGTCTACTTTTCTATCCCCTCTGTTCATCTTTCTCAATTGATAGGCTTTTTGATGTAGATGTGACAGTAGAAAACAGCTGTAAGATACAAATGATTAAGAAAGGAAAACCACAGCATTAATTGAGGATGATAGCCTCATTAACTCAGTTTTTTTGGTAAAATCTTGAGTAGGAAACCCCCTTCAAACCTTCAAACTCGCAAAGACCCAAGGCTTGTAGCCACGTTCACCATGCAAATGGAACATCGCTCCTCAAACCTCAACTAATTGTTATGTTTAACTTTTTTAAACAAACCATAACAAATACTAAGTGTAGCTAATCATTCCCTGATTCCTTTGGTATTCTTTGTAACAGCACTAATTACGATAAACACATTTGGAATTAATGTGCATGTCTTATGCATATATCAATTGCATTCTAATTTGCCATTGATTAATGCCCGTGAAGCAAACAACGTGTCTTCACTTTTAATACACCACTCATATCTTAGACAGCACAGACTTAAAATGGGTCCCAGGCATACAACACCCAACCAGCAACCTGCAGAGAAGCAAAGGCAAGAGGGAAACTGAAGGGAGAAGATTCAGCATGTCCTTTACTTCTTAGTGTTCGTGACACATTCTGGGTATGGAGGCGGAGTCCAGATTCTGCAAACCTAGCATCAGTGTGGGAGGAAATTAGGTTTTGGGGTTAAAAGCATGGGCTTTAGAAACAGACAGACCTAATTTCAAACTCTGGTTCTGCCCCTTATTAACTATTTTGTTTTAAGCAAGTTTCAAATGTCTATAACCTTTAGATCCTTCATTGTAACAGTGGAGATAATAACAGGTTCTCCATAGGATTGTTGTGAGGATTATACAAGAAAAATCAAATGCTTTTCTATTGCTGACATATGGCCTGTGCTTTAATAAAAATAGCATTATAATTAATAATAATCACCATTATTATAATAGAAAAATTACTATTACAACTGGAAATCTCATTCAACAGATTCACTGGTATAAATCAAGGAGGCCCAGCATGTCAAAAGTTCCCAGAGCACCATAGGGGAGGGAAGGCAGAACAAAGGTGTCTTCTGACAGTCTATTCATTGTCAGTTCTTTGTTCTTCATTATTGTTTTTTAAGCAGCTGTTTTAGAGGACTGGGTTCAAAGGGAAGATGATGACAGAGGCAAAGGAGAAGAGCTCTAGAATGAGAAGTCTGCTCCATCATTCTCCTGCCAGCCACCATGGGCAAGCCCACCGAGTTTTTAAGGGTTGATTTCTTCATCTGCAATATGGAGATGATAATGTCCATCTCACAGTGTTGTGAAGATCAAATGAGGTGATGAACTGGGTAAATGCAAAAAGATCATTATCAGAGTTTAGTATTATTATTGTTGTTAGAATAATGATCATAATCGTTATTAATGAATGAAGATTTAGGGAGGCCCATTCTGAAGCCTTTTTATTGTAGCTTTAGCCTTTAAGCGGATGCCTGAATAAAAGGATGCTTTTAATTTCCTGTTCCTAACCTCGCTTCCAAGTCCTCATATCCACATCGGTACAGACAAGGCGGATTCCTGTGTTTCCAGCTCCAGCCTAGTATCTCACAGCAGCACGTACAGGTTCACAGGGGGCTTAGGGGAGAATATGGAGACAAGAACTCAGTCCACAGGCTGTCCTGAGAGTGGGTCAGTAACACCCACTAATAGAAGGGAACTTCTTAGGCATGGTTAAAAGGGACCCAGAAGTTCACCTCCTTTACCCCCAAGATTATCCATCTGGTCCAGGAACCCTAGCAGAAGGTGAATGCCTCCCAAGGCACATCTCCCCCACTGCCTTCTACTACATTAGGAACGCATTAAACTTGGCCTCCCTGCACTGGACCATGAGACCATTGAGCCGAGAAACCATGTGGACAAAGAAGACTTTTGCATTCCCAACATCAGTTATTAGCGTACAGTGAATGCTTAATAAATGTTTCCTGAATGATTGTTAGCAGCTTGTAGGAGCATCAGTGAGTTTTCTGAGACATGTAAAACTAGGTGCAACTTCACCCCGCTATGGCAGAGATAGTCCTCTAGGTCATGGTTGCTCTAGTCTACAGATGCAAAGACTGAGTTATGCAAACACCTGGCACTTACTGGAAGCTGCAGAGACTGACACTCAGCATATCCCTCTACAGCCCTAGACTTTAGAGTCTGAAGAGCCAAGTTCCCTAACTCACTTGTATAGTGCATTTTCATCTCTTTGAGCTCCAGATTTTTCCTCAGGAAATGGAATAACAATACATGTTCTATCCACCCCACAGGATTATTATGAAATTTTTTAAAAGGTAATGCATATAAAATGCTTTCCATTCTGATTTCAAGAATTATTAATGCTTATTTATATCCAAGCTTCTTACACACAGGGCATTCCTAGAATGTGAACTAAGTAATAAACAATAATAATAATAAGTGCTCCTGGTCTCTTTGTGGCCAGTCTTACGGAGTCTCAGCCCTAAGTCAATCATGGCAGTGCAGTTCCAACCAATGGAACATGGAGCCCTGTTCCATCCAATAGATTTAGGACCACTGACTGCCCTGAGTCTCCCTGCGCTTACTGTGCTACACTTACTCTTTGACTGGTTCAGTTGTCAAGATGTTTGCCCTTATTTTTAGTGTCCAGAGGTCTGCTGGATGGGGCCCAGACCTGGCTCTGATGTTAATACCTCTTGAGGCCCCAGGCCCAGCTGTCCAAGGTCTGCAGCCCAATGTTGTTGACTGAGGCCCAAATTTGGGCCTGCATCAAACTGAGTCAAATTCCTGGAGTCATGTTACCACTACCCACTGGACAATGAGTGTGGCCACTACCTACTGGTATCCTCCTCTACCCAAGCTCCTTAGAGGTCACTGTCAGGACAAACAGGGCCTTACTTTTCCATAGATCCTTAAACACTGTGATTCAGGAGGCTGGTCACACTTCTCAGAGACCCCCTTCTATGCTGCCCCGCTGGCTTCCACACAGCACACTACTAAGGTTATGACTTGTCACCCAGCACCAAATGGATTACAAATGCAAAACTTTGCACATCTTTTCTGCTAAGGAGATGAACAAAAACAATTTTCTGGGAAACTTCAAGAGATGATGGTTTCAGCCTTTCTGCATGTGCCACTGTCCAGCAGTAGCAAGGAACCTCTTAGGGTGTCAATCTAAACTAACTTCCACCCTCACCTGGCAGTAACAAGGTAGCACCTCCCCTCCCCTGTCCCCCACCACTATCATGATATAAGAGAAAGCCTGCTAAAACAGAAGGTCAAAATAAGATCCAGAGTCATACAGTACCCAAATGTCCAGGATACAATTTTTTAAAAAAACACTGATACCAAGAACAAGGAAAATCCCAACTTGAGTGAGAAAAGACAATACGTGCCAACACTGAGAGGATACAGATGTTGGAATTTTCTGATAAGGAGTTTAAAGTAGCCGTCATAAAAATGTCTCAATGAGCAATTATGCATACGCTTGAAACACATGAAAAAATAGAAAGTCTTAGCAAAGAAATGGGAGATATAAAAAAAGAACCATCTGGCAATTTTAGAACTGAAAAATAAAATAACCAAAATTAAAAACTCAAAGGCTAGGCAAAAAAAAAAAAAAAAAAAAAAAAAAAAAAAACCCAGAATGGAAAGGAAAGAGGAAAGAAACAATAAACTTGAAGACAGAAAAATAGAAATTATTTTTCTGAGCAACAGAGAGAAAATGGACTGAAAAAAAAAAGAGCATCAGGGAACTACACAAAGCTTTAACATTTATGTCCTAGGATTTCCAGAAGGAGAGAAAAAGAAAGTAGAGTGAAGAAACAATAACTAATATTTCCCCAAATTTGACAAAAGACACAACCCTAAAGATTCAAGCAGCTTGACAAACTCCATACAGGATAAACCCAAGAAATGCACATCAGTTCTTGGAGGCCTCTGCTCCGAGTAACTGTGAATATCTAATGAGACAGATACGCCTGCCAGGACCACAACGGCCAAGTGTGCTGTTATGATGGTTGGGCAACAAATGTCAGCATTGCCTTCTGGTGATTAAAAAGAAAAGGTCTGATTGTCCCTGGTGGCTTGTGCCTATAATCCCAGTACTCTGGGAAGCTGAGGCAGGAGGACTGATTAAGGCCAAGAGTTTGAGAACAACCTGGGCAACATAGCAAGACCCTGGCAAAAAAAAAAAAAAAAAAAAAATTTAAATTATCCAGGTGTAGTGGAATGCACCTGTAGTATCAGCTACTTGGGAGGCTGATGTGGGAGAATCCCTTGAGCCCAAGAGTTCAAGGTTACAATGAGCTATGATAGGACCATTGCATTCTAGCCTGGGTGACAGAGGGAGACCCTGTCTCCAAAATAATAATAATAATAATAAAAGGGAGAGGAAAGGCCTTAATTTACTCTTTAAAACTGAGATTTCCAAGATGAGAAGCTACAATGATTGCTAATGGAAAGATTAACTTTATGTTAACCTAATAAGGCCAACTAATAGATAAGATCCTAGAAGAAAATTAAGCCCTCAAATCCCCAGAATCTCACCCCTTCTACATTATTATTTCTCCATACATACATACAAACCACTTTCCTTGCCTTGACACACAGAAGCAAGGAAACAAACAAACAAAAAAATAAGTGTCTTTTATAAAACCTCTGTGCAATGAATGTTAATCCATTAACCTTTCATTGAGCAATGCATTAGGTGACACCCTGAAGCTGGAATCCCTTCCTGAGAAGCAAACAAGGAGTTCATGCCATTATGGAGGTTATCTGGAAGATAGACACTAAGAAAGCAACAATTTAATATGTGCTGTGAAGGACAAAGCCAGGCTATGAGAACATAAACAAGGGGATCCTTAACCTGGAAGATCAGATAAGACTTCCCAGAGGAGGTGCGTCGAAACAGTACACAGAAGGAGGAGTAAGTGAGACGACAGCAGAGACTCACATGTATTCTACATATTTTGATCACAATCTGATCCAGATAACTTCCTACTTTTGAGAAGCCTTCATTTTATCAAGGGATACAAAACTGCAAATTAATTATTTAACTCGGTAGTACATGAGTGAGGAGAAAGGGGGCCACAAATTTCTAGGACTACACAGTACAGGCAGATTTTTTGAAGGAATTTGTCATAAATAATTAATTTTGACTGTTTCAGTTTTATGTAATAAAAATATCACTGAGTTTGCCTTTGTTAGTACGCACTGCAAAATTGTAAATGCATACCTTTTTGCATGTTTTAATCATGCCAAGAAATACGTTCTATGAACAAAATAAAGAAAATTCTTCCCATTTGTAAAAGGAAAGACCAGCTAATATTTTGTGGTCCAGGTCTTTCCTGTTCACCATTAAACATACCATATCTCCTTGCATACTTACTACACAAAAGAGGTACCAAGTACAATTCTGTTTGGTGGTTGAATACACACAGAACCTGAAAATTAGCACCCAGAAATCCTCCCATCCTACAAAGGTGGGTGAATTCCTTGTCTTATTTTGCTTGGCTTTCTAATGGAAATCCAATCAAATGACTGAGTAGGTGAAATGGGTATAGAAGGATGTGGGGACACGTGTGATTTCACTTGCCCCACTAAAAGCACAGCAGTGACTCCAGATCCTTCAGACATGCTGGGGATCTTCAGAGCCAGAAGCCTGAGGAGAGGACTTCAATTTAAGAGCATCTGAGACTGAACTCCAGAAAGCCCTGTTGACCTCCCCCTGTTGCAGGGACTACTGTGAAGAACCCTACTCTATGAGTTGTAGACATGGCCTCTGTCTAAAGTGTCTTGACTCGTTGGTGATGAAGACAGATAACAGGGTTATCACCTCTCCCGAGTGCTTTCAGTACTCCTGGGAGAAACAGATTCAGGAGAACCTGGCACTGGGCAACATGGTCAGACTTATCAGAGAGCTGGAGCAGTCATGAACACAGGCCTGAATTTGCCCTGAGGTGGTGAACTTCTATGTGACAATAGCAGAAAAAAACTCAGAAAGAAATTGACCCATTTGCCTGACCTATTTTGAAGATCCCTATTTACTATTCTGCAAATACAACTTCTGTTTCTCTTGTCTCCGGCATTTGGAGAGAGTGAACCAAGATGGTCTTTTCATTTGTCTCCAGTGTCTTGACATCGCTCAGACACAGACAGTCCAGATCAGCATGGCCCTGAGGCAGCTGGCAGCAGAGACAAAAGTGATGATACCTGTGCTGGGCAGGCGCTGCTGGAGGCTGAGGTTTGTGTATGTTTGAGTCTGGATCCAGCCATAGCCAATGGCTTCCTTGTGTTTTCTAATGACTTGCAGAGCATCAGATGCACAAATGCCTCAAAGAGACCACCAGAGAAAACCTTGAAACATTCATCTCTGCAGCTCATGTCCTGGGTTCCTCTGGCTTTCCTTCCAGCTGCCACAGTTGGGAGGAGGTAGGATTAAGAGAGTTAGCTGACTCACCTGTGGGTATTGGCAGGGAATCTGTATATTGTCAAGGAATGTCTCCTATATCTTCAGACCTTGAGTACTGGGAAGCCCTTGCGTCTCAAGGGAAAATATTAAGTTGCTATCAGTTCTCAACAATGAATTGTTCTCCATATGAACCCAACTTTGTCTGTGACCTGAAAGCCATTTCATTTCCCAAGGTCTGTTGGTTTCCTTCTATATACAGTCACACGTGTCTGCCTCAAAGCCCGTGCGTCCATTCTTCTGCCTTGAGATGCCAGGAGGGAACACGGAACCCATAAAGATCTGTCCCAAAGCAGCTACAGATACTGCAATTCTGCCACAGTCCCCTAAAGACGATATGCCAACTATAAAGAAAGAAACGGCAAATGGGAGAAGACCACTGGTTCATTTACTTCCAGGATCTTCTGATATTACCAGGTATTTCTAAGAGGCTACATCCATAAACTGCTCCTTCAAGATGAATCAAGAACCTGTTTCTGGAAAGTGCCTCGGCTGGATCGATATAAAATGTCATGGATATGTGGGTGAGTTGTGAACAAAGAAAAAATGATCACATTTAAAATCTGAACTATCAAGTAAGAAAGGGAAAAAAATTACTTTAAAGTTTATATGGAACCAAAAAAGAGCCCGCATCACCAAGTCAATCCTAAGCCAAAAGAACAAAGCCGGTCACATCAGGCTACCTGACTTCACACTATACTACAAGGCTACAGTAACCAAAACAGCATGGTACTGGTATAGATCAATGGAACAGAACAGAGCGCTCAGAAATAACGCCGCATATCTACAACTATCTGATCTTTGACAAACTTGAGAAAAACAAGCAATGGGGAAAGGATTCCCTATTTAATAAATGGTGCTGGGAAAATTGGCTAGCCATATGTAGAAAGCTGAAACTGGATCCCTTCCTTACACCTTATACAAAAATCAATTCAAGATGGATTAAAGACTTAAACGTTAGACCTAAAACCATAAAAACCCTAGAAGAAAACCTAGGCATTACCATTCAGGACATAGGCGTGGGCAAGGACTTCATGTCTAAAACACCAAAAGCAATGGCAACAAAAGACAAAATTGACAAATGGGATCTAATTAAACTCAAGAGCTTCTGCACAGCAAAAGAAACTACCATCAGAGTGAACAGGCAACCCACAAAATGGGAGAAAATTTTCGCAACCTACTCATCTGACAAAGGGCTAATATCCAGAATCTACAATGAACTCAAATTTACAAGAAAAAAGCAAACAACCCCATCAAAAAGTGGGCAAAGGATATGAACAGACACTTCTCAAAAGAAGACATTTATGCAGCCAAAAGACACATGAAAAAATGCTCACCATCACTGGCCATCAGAGAAATGCAAATCAAAACCACAATGAGATACCATCTCACACCAGTTAGAATGGCCATCAGTAAAAAGTCAGGAAACAACAGGTGCTGGAGAGGATGTGGAGAAATAGGAACACTTTGACACTGTTGGTGGGACTGTAAACTAGTTCAACCATTGTGGAAGTCAGTGTGGCGATTCCTCAGGGATCTAGAACTAGAAATACCATTTGACCCAGCCATCCCATTACTGGGTATATACCCAAAGGACTATAAATCATGCTGCTATAAAGACACATGCACACTTATGTTTATTGCGGCACTATTCACAATAGCAAAGACTTGGAACCAACCCAAATGTCCAACAGGGATAGACTGGATTAAGAAAATGTGGCACATATACACCATGGAATACTATGCAGCCATAAAAAAGATGAGTTCATGTCCTTTGTAGGGACATGGATGAAATTGGAAATCATCATTCTCAGTAAACTATCGCAAGGACAAAAAACCAAACACTGCATGTTCTCAGTCATAGATGGGAATGAACAATGAGAACACATGGACACAGGAAGGGGAACATCACACTCTGGGGACTGTTGTGGGGTGGGGGAAGGGGGAGGGATGGCATTAGGAGATAAACCTAATGCTAAATGACGAGTTAATGGGTGCAGCACACCAGCATGGCACATGTATACATATGTAACTAACCTGCACATTGTGCACATGTACCCGAAAACTTTAAGTATAATAATAATAAAAAAAAAAAAAGAAAACATGCCTTTGAAAGAAAAGAAGAAGTCAAAGAAAGACTCTGAGATTGAAGTATTTTGAAAAGAAAAGAAAAGGTTCACCTGCTGAGAATATAAAGGAAACAGATTTCAGAAGGACTCACTTCCCAAAAAGACAACAGAAAAACCATTTAGTACAATATACTGCAAAAAATTACTATAATGCCATAGATGTTGGGGGATGCTGACAATAATATCCAAAACCATGACGGTTAAATTCATTGATGTCAATTTAAAATATACTTCTAAATCTTGACAGAATGAAGTGTCACTTACAGTCAAAAACCCAGCCCTCATGTGCAACAAAACACATGTGTCCGTGTACCATGTGGAATGTGTTCTTTCCACTTGAGTGTTAATTTCTCTCAGGAAGACAGTGGAACAGTAAGGAGAAAACTTTGCCTTCCACCTAAATAAGAAATCTCCGTTTATAACAAGCTCAGTCCTGCCCCCCTCAACCCGCCCCGCCGTGGCCTCCTGAGTGCCATCTAATCAGTTTACAAGAGGGTCTCACGGAGGGCAAACAACTGGCCAAGTTCAGGAATGACACTCAAGCCTGCAGCCCAGGAACTCAAGTGCTCAAGAATTAGGATGACAAATTTAGTCCAGTCGCAGGAGGACAATTAAGAAGGCTGGCTGGTTTGTTTCATAACTGGATTCCTGGGCAGCCCTTGTATGACAGCTGTTTAACACCAGCCCAAGGGGGATGAGCCGAGATGAAAGAGAAAATGAGTTCAACTGAGCCTCATTCTGCTACTAAAAAGAAGAAGAAAAAGAAAAGAGGGAGAGATTCAGACATTTGGCGTCACCTTGGGCTACTACTGTATTGTGTTTGGAGGGCTGCATTTCTTTTCTTGGGGGATGAGGTGGTCAGATTAGAGGGAAAGAGGTTATATTTTGAAAGAAAAGCAGACTGTTGTTAGTGAGCAAATCAGAACCGGTTCCAAGAAACCTAAGTCCTGGCTGGAGCCCATGCTACAGGTCATAACCGTATCCCAAACAAAAATCCTTATCGGAATGCTCATCCCCAAAGCCGACTTCAATTGCTGCCTTTTCATCTCAGCAGCCACCAACAGGCCAGGGGCTCAGCAGCCGCTTTCATTAATTTCCGCTATCACTGCTGATCTTGAAGCTTTCGCCAGGAAGGGAGCCAAGGGCTCTGTCTTTTTCATAGGTAATTTACAATTATGAGGGCCAGTTTCCTTGAACCCTATGGTGGGGCAGAGGGGATTGGGGAGCAAGCTTCTTTCTCTCCTAAAGAAACAAAGGGATTGATTAAAAAAAAAAAAAAAAAAAAACAGACGGTGAGAGCTCATGAATACCGCAGCTCTGGCTCCAGCCCGAAATAAACATGAAAAATAATGAAAGTCCTGAAAGTGAACAGCTGAGGACGCATCTCCGGCTGCATTTGGGGGCAGCTCTCAAAAGCCACCTGGAGTTTCCTGAATCCCAAGTAATAACTTTCAAACTATTTTCTAAGCCAATTTTTTGAGAGCCCTGAATGGCTGGCATAAGTGCCAAGAACAATGCAGCAGCACAGCTTCCCTGGGAGCAGCCCGGCCCCCTGCCCAGCCGACAGTCACCAGGCAGGAGAGCCACGTGAAAGGCAAGCGGCAGGGAACAGCCCCCTCTGGGAGCCCTTCTCTTTCTTGATGTGCTTTACTGACTCTTGAATTTACACTCTACCCATTCTGTTCTGGGGAAATAATTTCTAAACCAAATACATTAAAGGGTAGATTTTTTTTAATTAACTGCAATAAAAAATGGTTTTTTAAAAAAAGAGATACCTAACTTGTTAGATGTATTAGTAATAAGTTAATAACAGGCCCTGCACATACTTCATCTCATTTAATACTCCCATCACATGTAGGAGGTCAGTGTTAATTTTATCTCTGGTGATCAGAGAGATTAAATCTTTCAGTCAAGATCACAAAGCTATAAAGTTCCTTAGCTAGGATCAAACCCAGGTCTGGCTAGCTCCACCCAAAGCCTGCAGATGTATTTTCATTGCAAAACATGGTCTCTCCCGTTAAAAGAGAACACTATCAGTGCAAGCTATGGAGAGGGATTTCAGGGCTAAGCCCTTCTGTCCAAGTGTGGATCCCTCATGACTCATTCTCACTATGATGATTGATAAAGCCATCATGCCTGCACAAGACTAGGACCCACAGCCTGAGTAACAATAGCATGCAAAGTCCTGTGCACCAGCACAGTGTCGTCTGTGCTCTTGGTACTTGGTAATTAGTTCTCAGGGAGAAACAGATACTTGGTCTCTGAAGCTCTTTCAATCTTCTTAAGACAGGACTAAGGTCCTCTCTCAGCCAAATTACAAAAGCAGCAGTTTGCCTTTGGTGCCTGAGCTTTGCTGTTGCTTTCTCTGCCCTTTGCTCTCTTCTAGAGCTCCAGGCCCCCTTACTACTGTAATTTCTTCTAGAGCTAAAAGGAAAGACCACTGACTAATTCATACTAACATGTGCGGGACTACAGATATTCACCCTTACAATAAAGAATTGCATCTCTAATGGTAAAAATTAGAGCACACTGAGCTAGGTAATGGGATATATTTCTAGGGACGAGATCTTCCTAGCATCCCTAAAAACAAACCACAAAAGTAGACAAATTTTGTTTACATTTTAGATTAAGCCAACCCAACATACATCTACTCACACACACAGAGACACAAATAACTTAAAATAGTAATATCTCAACCACCTCAATCCAGTTATTGTCTGCTGAATGCCTCCTATTGCATGAGGGCAGATTGCTAAAACAAACAGGACATCAGGACCCTTATAAAGCTTATGATCTGTCCAGGCACCATCATGCATCTAAAGGCATCACTGGGAAACATCATAACCCCCATCTTTTCGTTCCGAGGGGATGCTGAAAAAAGAACAGCCTTATATAAATTGGCTTAGGTTTGCAGGTTTGCTCAACAAGAGGGCTCCTGGCCTTCTCCTCCACCACAAAACAGGGGATTGAGAAAAAAGAAAATGAAATCTTTGGGCTTCACAGCAAAGCACCAAACTTGGAGCTTCCCAGAGGAAAGCTGAGGGAAAAACACTCCAAAGCTGCTTTATTTAAACACATAAACTATAGGGATCACTTTGAAGGCAAGTCTCTGATCTCCGTATTTCTTAAACCTAACTCAGTGCTTGGCACCAAAAATAATGGCTCAAAGCGTTTGGTCAACATAGCGGGACCTTATTTCTACAAAAAAAAAAAAAAAAAAAATTAATCATCAGGGCATGGTGGTGCGCATCTATAGTCCCAACTACTTGGGATGCTGTGGCAGGAAGACCACTTCAACCTAGGAGTTCAAGGCTGCAGTGAGCTCTCATCTTGCCACTGTACTCTAGTCTGGGCAAGAGCAAGACCCTGTCTCTAAAAAATAAAAAAAAATTATCAAAGATTTGATGAAAGAGTGAATGCACAAATGAAGAAATCACAGAAATTAGTATGGACATCAGGTCTAGCTATTTGAGAACTAGCTTGGTGGCCTTGTGCAGGTCCCTTGACCCTCTCTGCACCTCTGCTAAGGGAGAGTAGTACATGCCTTCCCCACTTCTCAGGGCTCCTGGGGGCATCAGAGGAGCTCATGGGCCCCAGAGCATTTTCAGCAGCATAAAGCATTCTGTAAGTTCACGGGTTATTATTTTTTTGCTTATGCCCATGACAATCTACATCAGTTCTTGCATGGAAATCAAATCTATCACTGATTTATCAGCTTATGTACTGTAAGCTGATTGCCCCAACTCTGCCACTGGGCTCCCACCTCCACTGTTTGCTCAGCCCCTTGACCTTCAGATACCAGAGACCATGAATGGGGCCTGAAAGAGGCCCTCCTTCTCCCCTGAGGACTGAGCCTACATGGGTCCAGCTACCCCCACCCCTAGGCTGACCCTCATTCTACATACACCAGGCTATACCCAGCACACCTACACAAGCTCCCCAGCTAAATAGGCCATCTAGATGTTAAAGCACTGCTGTGGCAGACCCCTTTCCCATCCCTGCCTGTTAGCATGGTGATTTTTTTCAGCGAAGTGGAGAGATAGCTCTGCCCACAATATGCACATTTTAGCCCAAGATAAAAGCTTTTAAACAGCAGCAGCAGCATGCACGCGTGCAAGAGCAGAGGCTCATCCCATTTAAGGAGACTGACATGGGAGTTCATCTTTCTAGTAAATTTCATACTGCCCCCACCCCCTTGGGGGCACAGCAAAGGCACTGGCATTTGGCATTTTTAACTTCCTGAAGCAGAGCCTGGTTCTGAGTGTTCTTCTCTTGCCAGCATCTATTATAATCTTTAAAAGCAGTGTCGTCCTAGAGTGACCTGCCTTTCAAATGCAAGCACTACGGTTTAGGAACATCGTGTTCAAAGACAACAGAGAACACTGATGTAACAATGGCCCTGACCTCATGCTTCTGTTTCTCATTTTGTACACAAAATGTCTGCTATTAAGCCTCCAAGCTAGCACAATCCTGTTATATTATAAATGTGGCAGCCCCCTTGCCTAAGCCCTTTCTTGCTTACTTTGCACATGTTGGAGCTCTTATCCAATAAGCACTCAAGATGGACTTAACTGAGGGCCAATTAAACACCAAACCAGCAGCAGTAATATAAGATGATGTTCTGTCCTCCAGATATTTACACGAGAGCTAACGCATATTTCTGGAATGTTTGTTGTGATCAGTAAGGGTATTGTGTCCATAATCTCATTTATTCCTTCTAACCCTATAAAATATTCCCCAGTGTTAAAGAAACTGAGGTTTAGAGAATTTACCAAATGTTCCCAAGTTACTGGAAGGGCTGAGATTTGGAACCAGGCCTCTGACTTCTGAGCCCATAGCTGGAAGGTGGGATCAATGTCACCACCATGAAACAACCAGAGATGAATGAAGGGCTAAATGGTGCCAATTGATGTTCCTCCCTTCATTTGTCCTCACTCATGCTTTGAACAGTGTCTACTGAGCATCAGGCAAATTCTAGATACAGGGATGAGTGTTCCTGTCCTTAAGTTACTCACAGCTCGGTAAATCTACACAGGCTCAATAACCTGGGCAGCTCCATGGAGCAGGGTTGATTTGTAAACTGGAAAAGCATGTAAGTTCCAGATGTACAGAGGACATGGAGACACATCACAGTGGGCAAGGCAGTGTGATCCAAAGCCTAGAGTCTGGAAGGTAGACTAAAGGTGACAGGGAAACTGAGCCTCCCAAGAAAGTTGAAGGGGAATGTCAGAGTTGGGAAAGTCAGGGATTAGGTAGCCTCTTCTGGAAGTGTCCCCGGCAGTGACTTCTGGGATAGAGATGATTTAGAGTTAAATCACAAGCCCTGCTCTTTCTCCCAGAAGGAACATGACTCAGTAAATGAAGATGCAGATTAAGAAGACACATCAATTTGCATCTCTGCCTCGGGCTGGGATCTAAGAAAAACCTTCGAAAAGATAGCCATGATATCCCCAAAGATCATTTATTTTGCCCCATGCCAGAGAAGTAGCTGTCTGGAGCATATGTGAATGAATGGAGGGTGATGGTGTTTCTCAAAAGCTCCCTCCAGGGTCCTCACAAGAAGGTCATGTCAGCAGAAACTAGGCAAGGGAATGCGGGCTCAGCGGAGACACCAGACAACCAGACAGATTCTGGCTCTCTTTGGGAATGCATTCACTCATGCAGTTAAACCCTACTCAGTACCTGCCCTTCCAACCATGATAAATACACTCTGCATCCAATTCAACCTTGGCCCCCTGGCCCCAGACCATAGGGTGATCCACAGGGTAGAACAGAAAGCCTAAACTCAGCATTTGGCTCTGTGTCCCCACCCAAACCTCACCTTGAATTGTAATAATCTCCATGTGTCAAGGGCAGGACCAGGTGGAGATAATGGAATCATGGGGTTGGTTTCCCCCAAACTGTTCTGGCAATAGTGAGTGAGTTCTCAAGAGATCTGGTGGTTTTATAGGGGGATTCCCCCTTCGCTTGGCTCTCATTATCTCTCCTGCCTGCCCTGTGAAGAGGTGCCTTCTAACATGATTATAAGTTTCCTGAGGCCTCCCCAGCCATGTGGAACTGTGAGTCAATTAAACCTCTTTTCTGTATAAATTACTCAGTCTTGGGTATTTCTTCATAGCAGCGTGAGAAAAGACTAATATAGCAGTTGTTCACAAAAATGCCCTAAGGGCCCAGCTGAGGAAAACATGGAGAGAAAAGCGGGAGGTAGAAGCAGGGAATGAAAAGAGATGTCCTATCTGGTCAGTGGCTGGTATAGGACTTACACTGACAGCTCCTAGGAATCAACCCAGATGGAGCCCTCCATTCACCACAAACACCTCCTCTAACACTTGCCAATTTTCAATATTCTTCTAGAATGCAAGAGATGCAGCACAGTAGTACAGACGGGGAGGCAGAAGATCAGGTTCTGGTCCCAGCTGTGTCCCTGATTAGCTGTGGCACATATTCCTTGAGCCTCAGTTTCCTAATCTGTAAAATGCCGATACAAACAGTATATACTTCATTGGACTATTCAGAAAGGTAAATGAGAGAATCATATAAATTGTTCAGAATAATGTCTGGCAGAGTATATGCATACATCTCACATGCTCTGACGTCCACTCTTCTCCAGACTGCAAACCTTCAATTAACATGAATTTTGACTCTTAGAATCTTGTTCATTCCCAATAGCAGGGACAACCAAAAGAAATTCAAGATTTGCTGAGTACCAAGTCTGAGCAAGGTGATTTTCTAAGCAATGCTCATAAATTACATAATTCTCAGAAAACTTGATAAGGTCAAGTTCTCTTGGCCCATTTTACTGATAAGAAAACTGAGGCTCAGAGAGATTAAGTACACTCACTCCCCAAGCTACACATAGTCTGTTGGCAGATTTGGAAGTTGTCATGTGCTTTCCCCTACAGCACACTGTCTGCCTTTTGTTTTATCTCCAAGTTCTGGGCCCAAAACGAGTCACCTCCTGACAGGCGTGGTAGAAGCAGTGCCAGGGCAGGACTCTCCATCATGACAGGTTCTGTAGTTCCACTCATGCAGCCTGATACATACAGCACTTGACACCTAATACCTTCTGAAATATGGATACGCCAAACCTCCCTATCACACATTTGTGCAGTTGTTTTACTTTTTTAATGCAAGGATAAAACCTAGCTTATGACCCTATTAACCATCATTTTGATAAATTAAGTTCATTTCTTCAAGCCTGAACTTATCATTTTGGATCTGAAGTCTTTCATCCAACATATCCATTGTGTCTCCCATCTTCATGTCACCTACATATTTCTTTCTTTGTCATTGATTAAAGGAAATGTTAACAATGCAGGATCAAGAATAGAACTTTATAACTCTGGAAACCTGTATCTGGCTTAAGATTGCTTCATTAAAAATGTACTCTGGGCATATCATTCCATGAATAACTGATCCAGCCCAAAGGTCTCAGTCTTGAGCCTGGGGTAATCTAGAGAGACTTTTCAAATGTCTTGCTGAAAGTAGGATATACACGTGTACCATAAAACAGAAAATGAGGTTAGCTGAACAACATGTGCTTCTTGTTTATCCCATGATGATTCCTAGTGACTACTATTTGCTTTTCCAAAGTTACACATACCATTTTTTAAATAATCTATTATAGAATCTTTTGCCTAGGATTTTAAACTAACTCATGAATCTGAGTTCATAAAACTATTTTGAAAATAGGAATAATTGCTTGTCTCCAGTCTTTCAGAACATTCCCACTCTGCAATGATTTCCTGAAATATTACTAGCAATATTATATTACATTATAGTGTGACATCTGGCCTGGGATGTAATTGTTGAGATTAAGAGACTTAAGGCAGATGGAGTCCTCTTATAACTGGGTCACCAGAACTGGTCATTTGTATTCATTATTCCTAATCTACCCCAGGTTTGTGACTTATAGGACTAGTCTCTCAGTGAGCCTGGACTTCCACCATCATTTGCTGAGCTCAGAAAATCTAGAGCTAGAAAAGATCAGCCAGATACTAGGATTTTTCCAGGGGTTATATACAGATGCTCTTTGGGTCTGCAGGCCCTAGGAGAGCCCCATCACAGAAATTATCCTTTGATTTCTGATAGGTCAAGTGTAAACGGCCTTGAGCCTGAGGCAGGATTCATCCCAGCTTCAAGGTCCTCATATTTAGTGCAGTATATCCCCAGGTCTTTGTCCTGACATCACCTAATCGTTCTACTCTCACTGTCCTAACCTGGTTTCCAACCATTTTCTTGGCTTCAATCAACTTCCTATTATCATCCCTGACACACACAAACTCCCAGAATCCAGATCAACCATAAACCAAGTTAATTCTCAGTCTTGCCTAGGTTTTCTCAGCCCTGCAGTAGAACTAAGTCTCCTCAAACCTCCACTGCCCAAATCTTAGAACAGCACTAGAATTGCAAGATCACAGGTTAAGCTGACCTGCAAACTACAAGCAGCACCCTGAATCTTAAAAATCACTCAGAAGCCTTTAATCTTAGAAGCAGAAATTCTACTTCTAAGCATTTATCTTAAGGAAATAATGAGGGATGGAACAAAGAGCCATAAGAGCAAAATTTCTGAAACAAACTTAAATGTTCAACAATGGTGGATTGGTTAAAAAAGAAAAAAAAACCTGATGGTATGGACACAAATGGAACAAAAGAGATGACAGATAGATTAGATAGATAGATAGATAGATAGATAGATAGATAGATAGATAGATAGATAGAACTGTTATATATATAAAGCAGTGGTCCCCAACCTTTTTGGCACCAGGGACCGGTTTTGTGGAAGACAATTTTTCCATCGATGGGAAGGTGGGGTGGGGGATGGTTTCAGGATGAAACTATTCCATCTCAGATCATTAAGCATTAGATTCTCATAAGAAGGATGCAACCTAGATCCCTTGCCTGCACAGTTCACAGTAAGGTTCATGCTCCTATAATAATCTAATGCCACTGCTGATCTGAGTGAAGGCAGAGCTTAGGCAGTAATGCTCTCTTGCACACCGCTCACCTACCTCCTGCTACCTGGCCCAGTTCCTAACAGGCCACGGACTGATACTGGTCTACAGCCCAGGGGTTGGGGACCCCTAAAAAGGAGATGCACACACACACGTATATTCTTAGAAGGGATATATGTATATATATAAGTATATGAATATATAGGTAAGCGTGTATGCATCTTATATATATATATATATATACACACACACATATATCCCTTCTAAGAATATACAAAACTATATGTACTATAAGATCCAAGTTTTTTTTAAAGACATGGAAATATGCAGATGATGACTGGACAAACAGAAGGATAGGAAGGAGGGAAGACGTTGGAGGGATGCACACAAAGATATTAATAGTAGTTATGTATTTCTGGATAGTGGGTTTACAAGAGATATATGTATGCTTTTCTATTTTTCCCAAACTTTCCACAAAAGTACAATGAATATATATTCTTTTGCAATCAACAAAACAATAAAAATCCATCAACATAGTTACAATACATTCTCTCATTACAACTACGTAATTTATTCAATGGTAATTTATTCACCATTCCTTCATGCAGCAAATAATATCTCAACATCTACCACATGAAAGTCCTGTGCTAGGTGCTTGAAAGAATCCACAGAATATGACATGATCCTCATCCTCAAATTAATTACAGTTCAGATTGGGAGACAATGAGTGAACACAAATACTTATGGCAAAAGGCAATGCCTGCACCATATGGATGGACAGACAATCAGAGCTAAACCACAGAGGCCCAACAGGGAATTCAGCAGTACCCTAAAAACAGGCAAATGTCAATAACTAGAGATGGTATTGGAGCAGGGAACATACCAGATTGAACACTGGAAGTCTTGCATCCCAAGTAGCCCTAGTCCCAGGTCAACTGGGACTGCTGGTCCTATTCTGGGGGAGAAGCTCTGGAAAAAAAGGGCAGAGGAATGGAGATGGGGCAGGCAAGGCTCATTCAGTGGGAATAGGGCAGTTTTTTACCCACAGGATGTATAAATAGGAACCAGATTGCAGATGCCTCTGAAGTCCCAGTGACAACAGAGAGCTATTGAAGATTTCTGAGGAGGAGCAACTTTGGAACAGCAATTGAGCAAACTAGATGGGGAGAAAAGGAATAAAGAGGTGTCCAACGGAGAGCCCCCTGGGGGTCGTCATATGGTGGGATGGCACAAATGCCTTCCACATGGAACATGCATGAGACATGAGAAGCTTGGGTTGGTCCTGGGGTTTAGGTCAGACTTCCCCACTCTCATGGCACACGCAGGCCTTACCCAACCCTCATCACCCACCACGTTGGCCTACAGCATTAATCCAGGTAAATTAGCACGAGTTTAGTTCCAAGCAAAAACTGATTGCTTAATAAAGTGTAAAACCATTTACAAACAAGTGCCCTCATAGGAAGAAAGGCCAAGTACGAACACTCAGGACAAGACAAGACCAGATGTTCCTCTAAGGCTCCCAGAGGGGAAGGTGTCCATTCTCCTGGGTACAGGTTAGTAACACAATGCCGTGAGCTCTTGGAATTCAGAGCCACTGAACACTTGGATAAGGGGAATTTGCCTCTGATGACAGACTTGTTTACTTTAAAGACCTATGAGCAGACTGGGGTGGATCAAAGATGGCCGAAAAGGAACAGCTCCAGTCTACAGCACCCAGCGTGAGCGATGCAGAAGACAGGTGATTTCTGCATTTCCAACTGAGGTACCGGGTTCATCTCATTGGGGAGTGTCGGACAGTGGGTACAGGACAGTGGGTGCAGCGCACTGAGCATAAGCCGAAGCAGGGCGAGGCATCGCCTCACCCGGGAAGCGCAAGGGGTCAGGGAATTCCCTTTCCTACTCAAAGAAACGGGTGACAGACAGCACCTGGAAAACCGGGTCACTCCCACCCTAATACTGCGCTTTTCCAAAGGTCTTAGCAAACGACACACCAGGAGATTATATCCCGCGCATGGCTCAGCGGGTCCTATGCCCACGGAGCCTCGCTCATTGCTAGCACAGCAGTCTGAGATCAAACTGCAAGGTGGCAGTGAGGCTGGGGGAGGGTCACCCGCCATTGCCGAGGCTTGAGTAGGTAAACAAAGCAGCCAGGGAGCTCGAACTGGGTGGAGCCCACCTCAGCTCAAGGAGGCCTGCCTGCCTCTATAGACTCCACCTCTAGGGGCAGGGCATAGCCAAAAAAAAGGCAGCAGAAACCTCTGCAGACTTAAATGTCCCTGTCTGACAGCTTTGAAGAGAGTAGTGGTACTCCCAGCATGCAGCTGGAGATCTGAGAACGGACAGACTGCCTCCTCAAGTGGGTCCCTGATTCCCGAGTAGCCTAACTGGGAGGCAACCCCCAGTAGGGGCAGACTGACACCTCACATGCCCGGGTACTCCTCTGAGACAAAACTTCCACAGGAATGATCAGGCAGCAACATTTGCTATTCACCAATATCCACTGTTCTGCAGCCTCCGCTGCTGATACCCAGGCAAACAGGGTCTGGAGTGGACCTCCAGCAAACTCCAACAGACCTGCATCTGAGGGTCCTGACTGTTAGAAGGAAAACTAACAAAGAGAAAGGACAACCACAACAAAACCCCATCTGTACATCACCATCATCAAACACCAAAGGTAGATAAAACCACAAAGATGGGGAAAAAACAGAGCAGAAAAACTGGAAACTCTAAAAACCAGAGCACCTCTCCTCCTCCAAAGGAATGCAGCTCCTCACCAGCAACAGAACAAAGCTGGATGGAGAATGACTTTGACGAGTTGAGAGAAGAAGGCTTCAGATTATCAAACTACTCCGAGCTAAAGGAGGAAGTTCGAACTCATGGCAAAGAAGTTAAATACCTTGAAAAAAAATTAGACGAATGGCTAACTAGAATAACCAACGCAGAGAAGTCCTTAAAGGACCTGATGGAGCTGAAAACCACAGCACGAGAACTACATGATGAATGCACAAGCCTCAGTAGCCAATTCAACCAACTGGAAGAAAGGGTATCAGTGATGGAAGATCAAATGAATGAAATGAAGCAAGAAGAGAAGTTTAGAGAAAAAAGAATAAAAAGAAATGAACAAAGCCTCCAAGAAATATGGGACTATGTGAAAAGACCAAATCTACGTCTGATTGGTGTACCTGAAAGTGATGGGGAGAATGCAACCAAGTTGGAAAACACTCTGCAGGATATTATCCAGGAGAACTTCCCCAATCTAGTAAGGCAGGCCAACATTCAGATTCAGGAAATACAGAGAACGCCACAAAGATACTCCTCGAGAAGAGCAACTCCAAGACACATAATTGTCAGATTCACCAAAGTTGAAATGAAGGAAAAAGTGTTAAGGGCAGCCAGAGAGAAAGGTCGGGTTACCCACAAAGGAAAGCCCATCAGACTAACAGCTGATCTCTCGGCAGAAACTCTACAAGTCAGAAGAGAGTGGGGGCCAATATTCAACATTCTTAAAGAAAAGAATTTTCAACCCGGAATTTCATATCCAGCCAAACTAAGCTTCATAAGTGAAGGAGAAATAAAATCCTTTACAGACAAGCAAATGCTGAGAGATTTTGTCACCACCAGGACTGCCCTAAAAGAGCTCCTGAAGGAAGCACTAAACATGGAAAGGAACAACCGGTACCAGCCACTGCAAAAACATGCCAAATTGTAAAGACCATTGAGGCTAGGAAGAAACTGCATCAACTAATGAGCAAAATCACCAGCTAACGTCATAATGACAGGATCAAATTCACACATCACAATATTAACTTTAAATGAAAATGGGCTAAATGCTCCAATTAAAAGACACAGACTGGCAAACTGGATAAAGAGTCAAGACCCATCAGTGTGCTGTATTCAGGAAACCCATCTCACGTGCAGAGACACACATAGGCTCAAAATAAAGGGATGGAGGAAGATCTACCAAGCAAATGGAAAACAAAAAAAGGCAGGGGTTGCAATCCTAGTCTCTGATAAAACAGACTTCAAAACAACAAAGATCAAAAGAGACAAAGGTCATTACACAATGGAAAGGGATCAATTCAACAAGAAGAGCTAACTATCCTAAATATATATGCACCCAATACAGGAGCACCCAGATTCATAAAGCAAGTCCTTAGAGACCTACAAAGAGACTTAGATTCCCACACAATAATAATGGGAGACTTTAACACCCCACTGTCAACATTAGACAGATCAACGAGACAGAAAGTTAACAAGGATATCCAGGAATTGAACTCAGCTCTGCATCAAGCAGACCTAATAGACATCTACAGCACTCTCCACCCCAAATCAAAAGAATATAAATTCTTTTCAGCACCACACCACACCTATTCCAAAATTGACCACATAGTGGGAAGTAAAACACTCCTCAGCAAATGTAAAAGAACAGAAATTATAACAAACTGTCTCTCAGACCACAGTGCAATCAAACTGGAACTCAGGATTAAGAAACTCTCTCAAAACTGCTCAACTACATGGAAACTGAACAACCTGCTCCTGAATGACTACTGGGTACATAATGAAATGAAGGCAGAAATAAAGATGTTCTTTGAAATCAACCAGAACAAAGACACAACATACCAGAATCTCTGGGACACATTCAAAGCAGTGTGTAGAGGGAAATTTATAGCACTGAATGCCCACAAGAGAAAGCAGGAAAGATCTAAAGTTGACACCCTAACATCACCATTAAAAGAACTAGAGAAGCAAGAGCAATCACATTCAAAAGCTAGCAGAAGGCAAGAAATAACTAAGATCAGAGCAGAACTGAAGGAAATAGAGACACAAAAAACCCTTCAAAAAATTAATGAATACAGGAGCTGGTTTTTTGAAAAAATCAACAAAATTGATAGACCGCTAGCAAGACTAATAAAGAAGAAAAGAGAGAAGAATCAAATAGACGCAATAAAAAATGATAAAGGGGATATCACCACCGATCCCACAGAAATACAAACTACCATCAGAGAATACTATAAACACCTCTATGCAAATAAACCAGAAAATCTAGAAGAAATGGATACATTCCTCGACACATACACCCTCCCAAGACTAAACCAGGAAGAAGCTGAATCTCTGAATAGACCAATAACAGGCTCTGAAATTGAGACAATAATTAATAGCTTACCAACCAAAAAAAGTCCAGGACCAGTTGGATTCACAGCCAAATTCTACCAGAGGTACAAGGAGGGGCTGGTACCATTCCTTCTGAAACTTTTCCAATCAATAGAAAAAGAGGGAATCCTCCCTAACTCATTTTATGAGGCCAGCATCATCCCGATACCAAAGCCAGGGTGAGACACAACAAAAAAAGAGAATTTTAGACCAATATCCCTGATGAACATCGATGCAAAAATCCTCAATAAAATATTGGCAAACTGAATCCAGCAGCACATCAAAAAGCTTATCCACCATGATCAAGTGGGCTTCATCCCTGGGATGCAAGGCTGGTTCAACATATGCAAATCAATAAACATAATCCAGCATATAAACAGAACCAAGGACAAAAACCAAATGATTATCTCAATAGATGCAGAAAAGGCCTTTGACAAAATTCAACAACCCTTCATGCTAAAAACTCTCAATAAATTAGGTATTGATGGGATGAATCTCCAAATAATAAGAGCTATCTATGACAAACCCACAGCCAATATCATACTGAATGGGCAAAAACTGGAAGCATTCCCTTTGAAAACTGGCACAAGACAGGGATGCCCCCTCTCATCACTCCTATTCAACATAGTGTTGGAAGTTCTGGCCAGGGCAATCAGGCAGGAGAAGGAAATAAAGGGTATTCAATTAGGAAAAGAGGAAGTCAAATTGTTCCTGTTTGCAGATGACATGACTGTATGTCTAGAAAACCCCATCATCTCAGCCCAAAATCTCCTTAAGCTGATAGGCAACTTAAGTGAAGTCTCAGGATACAAAATCAATGTGCAAAAATCACAAGCATTCTTATACACCAATAACAGACAAACAGAGAGCCAAATCATGAGTGAACTCCCATTCACAATTGCTTCAAAGAGGATAAAATACCTAGGAATCCAACTTATAAGGGACGTGAAGGACCTCTTCAAGGAGAACTACAAACCACTGCTCAATAAAATAAAAGAGAATACAAACAAATGGAAGAACATTCCATGCTCATGGGTAGGAAGAATCAATATCGTGAAAATGGCCATACTGCCCAAGGTAATTTATAGATTCAATGCCATCCCCATCAAGCTACCAATGACTTTCTTCACAGAATTGGAAAAAACTACTTTAAAGTTCATATGGAACCAAAAAAGAGCCCGCATTGCCAAGTCAATCCTAAGCCAAAAGAACAAAGCCGGTCGCATCAGGCTACCTGACTTCAAACTATACTACAAGGCTACAGTAACCAAAACAGCATGGTACTGGTACCAAAACAGAAATATAGATCAATGGAACAGAACAGAGCCCTCAGAAATAATGCTGCATATCTACAACTATCTGATCTTTGACAAACCTGACAAAAACAAGCAATGGGGAAAGGATTCCCTATTTAATAAATGGTGCTGGGAAAACTGGCTAGCCATATGTAGAAAGCTGAAACTGGATCCCTTCCTTACACCTTATACAAAAATTAATTCAAGATGGGTTAAAGACTTAAATGTTAGACCGAAAACCATCAAAACCCTAGAAGAAAACCTAGGTAATACCATTCAGGACATAGGCATGAGCAAGGACTTCATGTCTATAACACCAAAAGCCATGGCAACAAAAGCCAAAGTTGACAAATGGGATCTAATTAAACTCAAGAGCTTCTGTATAGCAAAAGAAACCACCATCAGAGTGAACAGGCAACCTACAGAGTGGGAGAAAATTTTTGCAATCTATACATCTGATAAAGGGCTAATATCCAGAATCTACAATGAACTCAAACAAATTTACAAGAAAAAAACAAACAACCCCATCAACAAGTGGGCAAAGGATATGAACAGACACTTCTCAAAAGAAGACATTTATGCAGCCAACAGACACATGGAAAAATGCTCATCATCACTGGCCATCAGAGAAATGCAAATCAAAACCACAATGAGATACCATCTCACACCAGTTAGAAGGGCGATCATTAAAAAGTCAGGAAACAACAGGTGCTGGAGAGGATGTGGAGAAATAGGAACACTTTTACACTGTTAGTGGGACTGTAAACTAGTTCGACCATTGTGGAAGTCAGTGAGGCAATTCCTCAGGGATCTAGAACTAGAAATACCATTTAACCCAGCCATCCCATTACTGGGTATATATCCAAAGGATTATAAACATGCTTCTATAAAGACACATGCACACTTATGTTTATTGTGGCACTATTCACAATAGCAAAGACTTGGAACCAACCCAAATGTCCAACAATGATAGACTGGATTAAGAAAATGTGGCACATATACACCATGGAATACTATGCAGCCATAAAAAATGATGAGGTCACATCCTTTGTAGGGACATGAATGAAGCTGGAAATCATCATTCTCAGCAAACTATTGCAAGGACAAAAAACCAAACACCGCATTTTCTCACTCATAGGTGGGAACTGAACAATGAGAACACATGGACACAGGAAGGGGAACATGACACACTGGGGCCTGTTGTGGGGTCGGGGGAAGGGGGAGGGATAGGATTAGGAGATATACCTATTGTTAAATGACGAGTTAACAGGTGCAGCACACCAACATGGCACATGTATACATATGTCACAAACCTGCACGTTGTGCACATGTACCCTAAAACTTAAAGTATAAAAAAAAAAAAACCTATGAGCAGAAAGCTCACCTGGCTTTCTAATTAGCTTTCTAACATGGACTTACACACAAAGTGGGGAAATCTTTCATCAGACAACTTTCAGATCCATATCCATTTGTTCCCCCTCACCCCAACACATACATTCACACACTTCCAATCTCGGCAAGAGCATAATTCTCATTCACATAATTCTCATGGTTTCCTGCTGGCAAAGAAATTACCGTCACATGAAGAGAGAGAGACAAACCAGCTGATTTCAATGATCTTAAAGTAATAAATACACCCTCACATACATGCATGGTGTTTTTCCAAGTGTCTTTTATATTCAGTGTTCCTTTAGCCTCAAAACAATCCTGGAGGCAGGTATAAATGATCCCACCATCCCCATTTAACGGAGAAGGAGAAGAGCAGAGAAGCGAAGCAATTTAGTCTAAGATCAGATAGAGATATGGAGTAATGTCTTTCCCTGGGCATCCACCATCCATTCTCCACAACCTTTCCATTCTTTCAGATGAATACAGAAGTCGAGGAATTCTTTCAGAGTCAAGGAATACGGAAGTAAAAAGACATAGCTCCATTCTCGAATTACTTATATTCAATCACATTGACAAACCTATACCCCTGCAACCATTAACCAAAGCCACATGCAGCACACACACGCTAGACACTGAAGCATGAAGGACAAGCAAAACCAGGGTATGCTTATAATGAGGAAGGAATAAAATAATCAGGATTTTAGAAAAGAAAAGAGGACCTTCTAGACCCGTGCTGTCCAATACGGCAGCCATTAGCTACATGTAATTACGGAGCACTTGGAAGGTGGCTAGTCAGAATTGAGATGGGCTTAGGTGTCAAATACAAGATTTCAAATACTTAGTATGAAAAATATATATAAAATTAATATTTTTATAGTAATTACACATTCAAATAAGATTTGGATATATTGAATAAATTAAAATATATCATTCAAATTAATTTCACTTGTTTCTTTTTCCTTTTTTAACTTGGCTATGAGAAAATTTACATTGCAGATGTGGCACATGTTATATTTCAATTGGACAGCACTGTCTTAGACAGTTCCCTTCTTTATTTTTATGAAATAAAACCAGAATTTTTCTTTTTTCCAACATTCTTAATAACTGTAGACAAATAGTCATTTCCATAATGGCATATTCCTAACATTTCTCCCACTTTCCTGGACTTCCTCCAGTTCCTCGGGCCTACTTTGTTCATCACATTGACCTCAGAACTGAGTTTCCTTCTGTTATGGTCTTTACTGAAATTCTCACACTCAACACACCTAATTCCTCAAAGCAGGGGCCCATTACTGCAATCTATTCCTCCTTGGATAGGCTCCAGATTTATTTCCTGCAGTAGATACCATAGGGAAGGGTCAGAGTGGGATCAGATTTCTCAGACTCTAATTGTACTTCAGAGGCACCCCCCTACACAAACCTTTCTTCTACAGTGCTGCAGTTTGAACGTGTCTCCCAAAGCACATGTGTTGGAAACTTAACCCCCAATGCAACAGTGTTGAGAGGTGGTTACCTTTAAGAGGTGATTATGTCATGAAGGTCAGAGCCCTCATGAATGGATGAATGTCATTATGGAGGGAACGGGTTCATCATTGTAAGGGTGAGTTTGTTATAAAGGCAAGTTTCGCCCTCTCTTGCTCTCTCATGCTATCCTGCCTTTCTACCTTCTGCCATGGGATGACACAGCAAAAAGGCCTACACCAGGTAGGGGCCCCTTGATCTTGAGCTTTTCAGCCTCCAAAACTTGAGCCAAATACACTTCTTTCTCTTATTTATTTATTTATTCATTTATTTATTTATTTATTTTGAGGACGGAGTCTCACTCTGTCGCTCAGGCTGGAATGCAGTGGTGCAATCTCAGCTCACCACAACCTCCGCCTCCCAGGTTCAAGCGATTCTCCTGCCGCAGTCTCCTGAGTAGCTGGGATTACAGGCACCTGCCACCATGCCTGGCTAATTTTATTTTTGTATTTTTAGTAGAGATGGGGTTTCACCATGTTGGACAGGTTAGTCTCCAACTCCTGACCTGAGATGATCCACCTGCCTCGGCCTCTCAAAGTGCTGGGATTACAGGCGTGAGCCACCATGCCTGGCCCAAATACACTTTTTTTTGCTTATTTATAAATTACTCAGTCTGTGGTATACTGTTATAGCAGCCCAAATGGACTAAGACTTATGATTAACATAATTCAGTATCCTGAGGCTTTTTAAATCTTAAATTTCATCAAACTGCCCAGCTCTGACCCTCTGTTTTCTGCTGTAATTGTTTTCCTTGGATGGTGTGACTATCTCACAAGCACAATATGCAGGTGGTGCCCTCAGAGGTCTCCTACTTGTCACTGCCCCAGGGTTTTCTATGTGATCATCAGGGAGAAGACACTCATAAACAAAGGTAGCAACTGAAAGGGAAAAAGAGAAGGACCCACAAAGAGCCCAGTGGAGAAGACCAGCTCACACAGACAGCAGGCAACAATGCTGGGCGCCTTGTGGGTGAGCTCTAGGTGTCCGGGACTGGAAAGGAAGAAATAATGCTCTGAGTAGGAAAAGGAACTGGAGAACAGAAGGAAACCTGAAGGAGGTCAAAACAGAACATCTCTTTCTTTTTGTTTTACTGCATGCTGACATTTTCTTTTTCCTTTTTTTTTTTTTTTTTACATTTTTTTTCTTAGAGATAGGGTCTCCCCTCTGTCACCCAGGCTGGAGTGCAGTGGTACAACCATAATTCACTGCAGCCTCAAACTCCTAGGCTCAAGTGATACTCCCATCTCAGCCTTCCAAGAAACTGGGATTACAAGTGTGAGCCACCATGCCTGACTAATTTGTTTTTCATAGGGAAGAGGCCTTGCTATGCCGCCTGGGCTGGTCCTGAAATCCTGGTCTCAAGATATTCTTCTGCCTTGGCCTTCCAAAGGCGGGAATTACAGGCATGAGCCACTGTGCCTGGCCCATGCTGCCATTTTCAAGGCTAGAATATACTTCTTTTTTGGTGGAGAAGACAATTAGAAAAATGACTTCTCCCTCAATGGTAGGGAAGCTCTTCAAGTGCTTTCTCTCTTCCAGTCAGAACTGCAGTGCCAGCTGACATCTAACTCACTAAGTGAAACCCTACAAATAGAGATGACAATGGTCCACCATGGAGGGAGATCTGTCTCCACTGACCTGAGACTCAACTTCAGGGAACTTGCAGGAGATAAAGAAACTCTCCCCCAACCCCAAAACATTCCGCAGACAACCAGATCTTAAAGGTCCTGGAGGAATTAAGATGATTTCTTGTCCCAAAAGAACTGCCTGCTGACTAAACGTGGGTCCTATTTGCTCTCCTTGGTCCTAATGATTTCTTTTAAGTTCAATTCTTATTCTCATTCATATTCTCATCCTCATTCTTCTCTCTCCCCACTCCCTGTCTCCCTGTCTCTCTCTCTTGCCCCCTCCCCGACCCCCATGGCATCTTGGATTAGTGTGAGCATTGGCATCAGGAAGCCCTGAATTTGAAACTCAGCTCTCCCTCTTTCTAGCAGCAGCATGAACTCAGCCTTACTTCTCTTAGGCTACCTAATGTTTTCATTATGCACCCCATCACTCAACAAAGTTTAACATCTCCTGCAATATTTATTCTTTCATGTAGTCAACAAATGTTCACTGAGGACCTTCCGTGTAGATATCAGACTCCAGAAATGCAGCAGTACCAAAACAAAAACCTTGTCCTCGTGTATCTTATATTCTAGTTTGGGAAAGATAATCAATACATAAAATAAATAAGTAAATTACCTGTCCGACAGTGAAAATGTTATGAGAAAAAAATAATGCAGGAAGGGGGACTGGGAAATGCAGCAGGGTACAAATTTAAAAGACTTAAAGAAATTAAGGAAGCAAGTTGAATAGATTTGGGGAAAGAGGATTCAGGCAGAGGGAACTCCACTGCAAGAGCTCTGAGGTGGAAGCAGCAAGGAGACTCCTGTAAATGGGTGGTCAGGAGAGAGGTGAGAGCAGCACGGGAGAAGATAAGCAGTAAGAACTTTGGCTCTACTTGGCATACACCAGAAAGCCAGAGAAGAGGGTGGCGTGGCCTGACCTGTGTGTAAGAGAATCACCTGGTGTGATCACACTGCAAGAAGGCTGAAATCAGGGAGAATAGATCTAAGGCTACTGCAATAATCCTAGTGAGAGATCAAGGTGACTACACCAGGGTTTTACCAGTGGAGGTGATAAGAACTAGTCCTTATCTGCTTTATAGTTTTCTACTACTATGTTCCATACATTTTAAAATACACCTAGAAACAGAAATAGTAAAACAATGAGATTCAAAAACAAAAACAGAAGATCTAGTGTTTCACCTACCCCTTCGATGTACTGTACTGTATTAGAGTTCTCCAGACAAACAGAAACAACAGGATATACAGATACATATGAAGAGATTTATTATGAGAATTGGCTCACGCAATTATGGAGGCTGAGAAGTCCCATGATCTGCCGTCTGCAAGATGAAGAACCAGGAAAGCCAATAGGTAATTCAGTCCAAGTCTGATGGCCTGATAACCAGGGGAGCTGATGGTGTAACTCCTGGAGTCCAAAGGCTCAAGAACCAGAAACTCCAACATCCAAAGACAGGAGAAGATGGATGTCCCAACTTAAGAAGAGAGAGAGTGAATTCTCCCTTTCTCCTCCTTTTTGTTCTATTTGGGCCTGCAACAGATTGGATGATGCCCACCCACCGTGGTGAGGGTGGAATCTTCCTTACTCAGTCTACTGATTCAAATGCTGGTCCCTTCCAGAAACACCCTCACAGACACACCCAGAAATAATGTTTTCCCAGCTATCTGGGCATCCCTTAACCCAGTCAAGTTGACACACAAAATTAGCCATCCCACCTACTTTGGAGAGTACTAAGGTAGCTTACACAAAATAATTGGTATGGAGTACCAAGCACAGGTGGTAATACAACACGAGCTTAAATTATACTCATTCCTCCCAACCCCACATATAATTTAGCCTATGACCCATCACCCAGCTCCTCCCTGTCCTCTTGACTCTGGTCTTCCTAATAATGCCTGTGACTTGGTTGCTTGTCTGATTGAAAGTTACCCTCATTTAACTTTCAACCATGCTGGGAGCTTCCCTACTGGGAAGGCAGCATTGTATGGGCTCAGAGAGAAAGGCAGGGAAGTCTGTGGTCTTGATCTGAATCTAAAACTGGCATGAAACTCCAAAATCTACCATCTAATAACAGCAGAATATGTGTTTCTTCTCAAGCTGGCATGGAATATTCACCAAGATACACCATATTTGGAGCAATAAAATACATCTTAACAAGTTTAAAAGAATAGAAATCCTTCAAAGTATGTCCTCAGACCACAGTGGAATTAGACTAGAAACCAATAACCACAAAAAGATAGTTGTAAAAATTCCCAAATATTTGGAAATTAAACAACACATTTCTAAATAACTTTGGGTCAAAAATGAAGACAAGTTTTTAAATATTTCTAACAAAATTAAAATTAAAATACAACTTATCAAAATATGTCAGATGCAGAAAAAGTAGTGCCTAACAGGAAAAATATAGCATTAAGTGCATATGTTAGAAAATAAGAAAGCTATAAAATCAATGAACCTAAGATTACACCTTAGGAAACTAGAGGAAAAATAGTAATTTAAGCTTAAAGCAGGTGAGAAAAAAAGAAAGAAGAAAAATTTGAGCAAAATTCAGTGAACTTGAAAACAGAAAAACAATAGAGAAAATTAATTAAACCTAATGCTGGTTCTTTGAAAAGATCAATAAAAATGACAAATATCTCATGAAGATAACCAGGAAAAAAAGAAAAAAGACACAAATTACCAATATCAGAAATAAAAGACTAGTCATCATTATGGATTCTGCTGACATTAAAAGGATAATAAATTACTACTACAGATAACTATGCTTACAAATTTGATACTTCATATAAAATGGACCAATTCATTGAAAGACACAAACTAGCATAACTCACACAAGGAGAAATAAATAACTTGAATATCCCTATTTCTGTTAAAGAAATTGAGTCAATAATAAACCTTCCAAAAAAGAAATCACCAGGCCTGATGCTTTCACCTATGAATTCTACCAATCACTGAAGAAAGAAATGATTCCAATTTTCTACAATCTCTTCTAGAAAACAGAAGCATTCTATAATACCCCCAAACCAGATAACAGCATTGTAAGACAGGAAAACTACAGACGAATTATCTCTCATGAACACACATGTAAAAATCCCCAACCAATATTAGCAAATCAACTCAACAATATATAAAAAAAATTATATAATGCAACCAAATGGGATTTATCCCAGATATGCAAGGTTGGTTCAATATGAAAATCAACCAATGTAAGCCGCTACATCAACAGACTATAGAAGAAAAACCCTGCGATCACATCAATCAATGTGGGAAAAGGACTTGACAAAATCCAACATCTACCATGATAAAAACTCTCAGCAAACTAGAAACAGAGGGGAACTTCCTCAGTTTGGTAAAGAATATCTACCCAAAAAACGTACAGCTAGCATGATGACATGAGCTAAGAAAAAGAAAAACATCCCACAGAAAAGGACAAAAGGTGAAAGCTGATTTTTCCCTCAGGTTTACAGGAGGCTGCTGAGGCTGAGGAGGGTTGGGACTTCTTCTTTGTTACCACCACCCACATGCAACAAAGATGACAACCTTGTGTTGGGAAGAGCACAGATGAGGAAAGGTGACATAGCACCTGCCTGGAGTAAAAGCTTTCTTGTCACTTTGAAGTTTCATTTTATATGCATGCACGCACCCACACTACACACACACACACACACACACGCACACACACTTGAGAAAGGCTGGTATATTGCACTGCCTGGCCCTGTGCAAATTTTCGTGTTTGGGGTTTTTTAATAAACTGAATGCACATCTTGAAAATAAATAAAACCTGCCCAGTTACTTTAAATCCTGTTTATCTGAAATCCCACCCATAGCACATACCATACCCTGCTTTATTTTTCTCCATAGCATTTTCTAACATACGGAATAATTTATTTTGTTTACTGACTGTCACCCACTGGAAAGCAAACCCCTCAAGACCATGGGTTATAAATTGCTATATCCCCATCACACAGTAGGTGCTTGTTAATTTTCCTTGACTGAATTATCCAGTTTGTCCTCATCTGGGTTACTTAGGGGCCAAGACCACTTGGAAAGAGGGTTCCTATGTTGGAAGCAGTAGGTCCATAGCTATCCTTCAGCTGTGAGCATTTTCTCAGCAAGAGGAACACTTACTGTTGTTACAAGATGGAGGCCTCCTCTGTCTCTTCCTTCCCTAGACATACTGGCCCTTCAAGGAACACGCTGCCAGGCTCTGGGAATTCTAACTAGCTCACCTATGACAAGAAAGGAATCCTATCCCTCCTCAGCCTCTACAGCTCTCCCCCAACCTGGATTGGCTTCCTGAGCCAAGAGACTCACATGTGAGGATGGCTTAGAAAATAGCATCATGCAAATGTTTTCATTCAGCAGTGAAATCATTTGATTTCACTCAAGCTTGTCTTTGCAAGGGCAACTGAAGCCAGCTTGACAGAGAATCGTTAAATAGACTAATTAGGAAATTATTTGGAGAGGCTGCGTGGCAGAAAGGGGAAGAGTTAAGCAACTAGAATTGGGCTCTGGCAGTTACTTAGTAGCTGTGTGGCAACAGGCAGGTCAAGGAACCTTTCTGAACCCCCATTTCCTCATACTGGTACAGGTCTGAAATAATGATATTTCACAAGGTTGTTAACCGGATTCAAGGAGATGATGCATACATAAAGTACTTTGTAAAGTGGGAAGAATGAGCCAAATTATTTGTTGCTACTTTTGATTGTTGTTATTATCTGGAAGAATCACGAGAGTAGGAAAGGGGAGAAACTTATGTGCTGAGGATCCAGTACAATAAGAACAAAAACCTGAAAACTAATGGTAACTTGGTTATTGGAAGGGTGCCATAGAAACATCATGAGAGATATGGAAAAGCGGGGCAGGCAGTGGTGATTAACTTGGCATAAACTAGTTCCATCCTCCTTCACTTCCCTTCCCTTCCCTTCCTATGTCCTCCAGGCACAGAACTCACAGGACAACACCCTTAGCTCAAATATCCCCAACTCTGAACTTTCCTCAAGGTGTCCCAGAGCCACAATACCCTGGACTCAGTAGCCTGTGATGCTTCCAAAAGTCCTTCCAGTACAACTCCACCATAATCCCCAGAGGCCAGTTCTCACCTTGAATCTGTCTCTATGCAGAAATGCAAGGCAGAGGAGGGGCCACAACTTGGTGCTGGGAAATTGCCCAAGGCAGGAGCTAGCTCTGGTCCTCCCTGCACTCCCAGAAAGTGAGTGTGGCCTGAGCTGGATTGCTAGGAAGGGTAGCTTAACAGAGCCCTTAAAACACAGCCTTACGGCCAGAAAGATTAGATTTCATGTTAGATTCTGGATTCTGCAGCTGCCCAACTATGTGGCCTCCAGTAAGACGCTTGACCTTTCCAGCCTCAGTTTTCTCATGTAAAGATAAGAGCACTAAGCTGACAGCTCTCACCACTTAAAAGCACTAAGCTGACAGCTCTCACCACAGTGCATGGCCCGCAGTAAATTACAGATGTTCATTCCCAGACTGTCCAAGTTTAAAACCTGGATCAGATGTCAGTGTGCAACCCTGGGCAATTATCAACCTCTCTGTGCTTCCTTTTTCTCAATCATAAAACATGGACAATAAAAGAACCTAGGCCTGTTGTGAGGATTAAATTAGTTAATTCATGTAAAGTGGTTAGAACAGTACCTGGTATATTGTAAGTGCTCAAGAATAATGACAGCTAAGATTTGTTCAATAAAAATAAATTAATAACAATAATAAATTATTGATGAAGGGACTTGCATACCAAAGTGGTTCCACCTCATCTCACAAGCTCTAGCACATAATAAGAAATTGATAAATATTTGCAATGGATGATCCTGGAAACGTCCATCTAATCTCCCAACATTTTGTTCCATCTACTCACAAATGCCACTGCTTGGCCAACAGAGGCAGAAATTGCAAATCCATGTTACTGTCCCCTCCTCCTCATGCTTCACATGTTGCCTTTTTATGGTGATGCTGTCTACTTTTCCCTAAACTTCTTAATGAGAGAGGAACTCAGATGAAATAAGCATTTTCCAAAGAAGTTGGTCTGGAGAAAGCTCCTATGAGCCACAAGAATGGACAACTACAGAATATTCAGTTCAGGACAATTCATTGCTCTGGATGAGGTGGGGGTGGGGGTTTGATCTGAAGATGAGCATAAACCTCATGGATGTGCTGTTCCCTCTGGCTGAAATGTTCTTCGTCACTTCATTCTGGCTTTTCTCAAATATCACCTCCCCAGAGAAGCCCTCTCAAACAGCAACCCCAGTATTCTGTATGTATTATGTTGCTTTGCTCTTCTTCATGGATTGTACATTGCATTTGTTCATTAGTTTATCCTCTGCCTCCTCTGAGAGAACAGCAAAGAGACTTGCCCGTTTTTTTCACTACTGAGCCAGAACAGTGCCTGGTACATACATAGTAGACACCTAAGAAATATGTGATACATGAATAAATGAAGCAAAGGTCCTTCCCCAGCACAGGTGACTGCCAGCACTTTGGCTGGATTGCAGATTTGACAGCCTCAGTCAAATGACTTTTCTCAAGCTCAGGAGGATAAGCTGGGTTGGGCTATAGGGCAAAGGAAAATGCAGACTCAGGTCTCAGCTCTGTTTTTTCTGAAAGATGGGAAGACGTTGGCTGTCTTTGATCTGTAAAATACATTCAGTGACATTCCATCATTCGATTAGAATGTTAAAGAGTTGCAACAAAATTAATTTGCTTATCACCAGGGAAATTAAAATGTTTGCAAATAAATTCTACCCCTGCAGCCCAATTTCAGGTGGTTGATACATCTGATGTGTTGGCAGCAGTAAGAACCAAGAGAGTACTGGGAAAACTAGTTTCTAGCTAGAAGGGAAAATTCAGCAAAGGTTAAAAAAAATTTTTTTAATTAAAAAAAAAAAAACCAACACCACTGCCTGAGTTTGTGTTTTTAATGGCTTCACCAAATTGGACACATTATTTAAGGAACCAAAATGCAGGCTATACAGATAACATCTCACTCTCAAGCAAAGAACAAGTCAGACATTAATTGTATCCCAAAATGACTTGAGTCCTGCAATTTAGCACAGTTTCAGAGTATGGGCTTTGCAATTAGTTAAGCCTAAGTGTGGACTCCATCTTTGCCACATACTAGCTGTTGTGACCTTGTAATGTTTCCTAAACTTCTCTGAATCTGAGTTCCCCATCTGTCAAATGGACATCATAAGATTAATCTCATGGGGTGCTGAAAAGATATATAATTGTACATAAAGCAGAGTAGGTGCTCAGTACAGGAAATGTACTTTTAGTATTACATGAATGATGTTAAATATTAGCAATGTAAAAAAATTCTAATAATAAACAAAAGATAATGTATCCCATGCCTATAAAGGGATGGTACATATCAAAAAAACAGGGGAGAATTGGCACAAAATCCCACCCAGACTTCAACTTCTTCTGGAGCTTTCCTTGGAGACCACTGTTCATTGCCCAATATGACATTCCTGCTATGCAGGGACACAGTGAGGTGGCCTGGAAGGATCTCCAGGAGATGAATGAATTCCATGTGACGCATTCCCAGATCCAAACACCCAACCCAAATCTCCCCCTCTACCTCACTATTTCCAACTCCCTCTCTACCCGCCTCCTCCCAAACACACAGAAGGTGGATGCAATAAAAAAGGAAAGAAGTAACCTGGGAAAGCTTCCAGGGAGTGTGAGGCTGGAGAATGAGTGTGAGAGACTGGAGGGCTAGACAGAATTGCTGTCTAACCAAAAGCAAAAGCGAGGAGATGGGCCAGGTGGCCAAGGCAGAGGAGGAAAAGAAGTGGCTCCACTGCACGCTAATGAGCCTCCATCATAATGTCATAATAGCAGGCGCAGCCCTCTTGCCACTTTCCCTTTTGCAATAGTACTCTGTTTTCCTGAAGTCTCTAGCAATTAAAAAACAAAATCTATATGCCTCAAAAGGGCTTTGTGATTGCCTGAGGAACAGGAGCAAAGCATGAGCTGGCAAAGGCACCCAGTGCAGTCTGAGGCCTGGAAGAAATATTATCCAAAGGAAAGAGAGATTAAAATATGGCTGCTAAAAGGAATCCCAAGTTAATGCCAGAGGCCAAAAAACTGATGATGGGGGGGAAGAAATGTGGCCAGCCCAGAGCTAGCAAGTTTTGGGAGATTTACAGAAAAACAGGATTTATGACCCAACTCCCCAGCCCAGATCCAAACATGAATTTTTGCTGGCTATATGCACCAAACAAGTTATCAGAAGCAATTTAGCAATCAGCTAAGCGAAGATACATGGACTTTCTCTTCTTTACCAACTTCTTTGGCCTAACATCTCTCATTGTATGATGACAGCTGGAAGAATAGGGAACCTCACTTACCTTGCTAGTCTGGGTCTCTTGGGAGAAAGGAGGGCCAGGACTAAGGCTGGTAAAATTCTGTGCTTAATTGCAAGACTGTGGTGGCATGCAGTGCCATCAGGAAGGCTGCACCAGGTGACACTCATGCAGCCCATATTCATTCACAGCTGTGGGTGGGCTGATCCGGGGCACCAATTATCTAATTGCTGCTAATGTTCCGTATATTTACTCAGCTGCAAATTTGCAAGATGGGGCCTGACTCACAAGAAGGGGATAATAATGGGAGAGATATTTCCATTTGAAAATTCATGAATAAGCAGCAAGAGCCCTGTTTATTAAAATTCAGATGCAGATAAACAATGAGTGTAGTTCCAGGAATAATTGCAGGGTTTCCACAGTTACAGAAAACCAGCCCCTTTGTCAACACTTCATTGTTCTATTTATACCTTGAGAGATATTGCACTGAGTTTCTATAAATACAATGGAAACTCATTCATCTCAACCCCTCTCACTGTCAAGTCCAACCTTCTCTTCAATAAAAGATCTGCATCCCAAGTGTATCTGACATTAGGTCTCAAGACTGTCATGGGCAAATCCTTCCTAATATAAGGGATAAAGAACAGGCTTGGAGTGGGCTGGGGATGGGGGAAGGGAAGCAACAGGCATTCTATTCTGGTTTCGGAAATAGGCAGGAGGCAGATACATTTTAACTAGCTCTCAGCCTTTGAGTGTTAATCTCAGTGATTAAAGGCAGGTGAAACAAACTGCCCAGGGTATCTCAACCCCTGCATGGGATAGGATCTCATCGTTGATATTCATTTATATATTTTCCTTGAATGTGATTCAGGTCCTCCTTCTATGGATGTTGGCCACCTCTCTCCTATTATATGCAAACCTGCATTGTGGTGGTCCTGAAATCTACTTCGTTGATTCCCCCTAGCCCCAAAGTACCTGGAACTACACTTTACTACTCAGTGTTAATCAGAGAGTCTGGTTCAGTGAGGGTCTTTAGATCTCAATTACTACCAAAAAGTGCCCCCATAGCAGGTTCCTGTGCTGTCCCCAGATACAATTAATATTTATAAGAATATCACATTTTTAAGTATCTTACTGAATGGCTGACACTATGTATATTACTTTACATATAAAATCTAATTATCATACCAGCTCTGTGAAGGAAGTCCTATTATTCTCTTTCTTATGGACTAAACCATGAAACACTAAGGTAAGTTGCCTAGATATACAGCTAGTAAGTAGCAGAGCCAGATTTTGTACCCACAACTATTTGAAACTAGGAAACGTGCTCTTAGCCACTACATCAGTATGTTTTTCTGGCTCTTGGACTCAATTCCCACTGCTCCTTCTTGTGGATAAGCCTGACTGCCCTGTCTCTATGCGATGCCTCAGATAGCTCACACTTCTCTCCATTAACTTATTAATTTAAGCAACCCCCACTCCAATACCACACACATATGAAAAACTTTAGTCTCTGTCTCTCTCCACAGTCCCTAGATTGCAAGAGCTGACCTTGCAACCACAGCAATCTTCCACGTGCCCACACTTACGTTTAAAAGAAAAAATCATTTTTCTTCTCACGTTTAGAAGAAAAAGTCATTATAGACCTATAGCTTATAGATGTACATGTATACATTATGTATGTGTGCATATACATGTTTATGTAGGTATAAATAAAACACATAAATGTACATATGTGTATGTGTGTGTGCATAAGCTTCTTGTGAGTGCCTCCCTATAGGTAAGGTAAATTTATCCACAGGGAAGTGGGACTATACCAGGAGAGGGACACTGATGCATACATCGCACCCCTTACCATCTGACTTCCCATATGCTACGGTGGAACCAGGTTCATTAAAGTAGTTTACACATACTGAATTTTAATACAGATAGCTTCTTTCAGTAGTATATCTCTCAAGAAACTCTAGTCTCTGGCCCGGGCACAGTGGCTCACGCCTGTAATCCCAGCACTTTGGGAGGCCGAGGTGGGCGGATCACGAGGTCAAGAGATGGAGACCATCCTGGCCAACATGGTGAAAGCCTGTCTCTACTAAAAATACAAAAATCACCTGGGCGTGGTGGTGCACGCCTGTAGTCCCCAGCTACTCCGGAGGCTGAGACAGGAGAATCGCTTGAACCCGGGAGGCAGAGGGTGCAGTGAGCTGAGATGGTGCCACTGCACTCCAGTCTGGCCACAGAGCAAGACTCCTTCTCAAAAAAAAAAAAAAAAAAAAAAAAAGAAGAAGAAAAGAAACAAACAAACAAAAGAAACTCTAGTCTCCAAACATTTCACAGGTTTCAGAGCCAAAGAAGAGGAGCTTAAACAAGAAGGAATGGCAAAGAGGTCATCCAGGGAGCAAGGAGGGAGACTTTCATACTCACTCGTCAGCAACAGCTAGCAGCCTCGGCAAGAAATCTGCACCCTGTTATTGGAGAGAGATTTCTCTTCACAGTCTCATTTTGCAGACAGTGGTTAAGTTCTAGGCTTTTGACTCGGGCCCAGCACCCCTCTAGGTAGAGGAGATGGCCAATTACGAGTTCAAATCCAGTGGTCCTGAAGCTCATATCCCCAGAAGTTCTCGACTTCCTGGATCATTCTCACATTTATTTAACAAATTATTGAATATCCACTCGAACAGGCACTGGGCTAGCTCAATCTATGTTGCTCCCTTAACTTGTGCTCCACTGAGCTGCTGGATTAACTGGGATTCTCCATTGCTTCTGATGCCTACTTCATGCTACTCCTACCAGTCGGGTCACCTGTTATTCCATTCTCATATACACAAGCACTGCTTCTCCCACAACTGAGGTATGTGTTTACAGGAGCCAACCGTGTCCATTCTCAAAACCATTTATCATTGTCATTACATGTCATTATAATTACATTGTTTAATTAAGTAATATGTAAATCAACAGAAGATGAGTACCAATAAAAGCTTCTGTCAAAGTTTAGTTAAATGTTTTGCAAAGACCTGATAAAGGTAAGTCACTTAAAAATGTAGTTGAACCTAATTCGGTGTGAGTGGGAAAAGTATAAAATACTGGGAGTAGGGAGAATCTAGAGTCTTTAAATTGCTTTCCCAGTTGGTTTCTATTCCATGAAAAAAAAAATCGGGCACTGGAAATCATAGATGATGTATTATGGATGTGAGTTAAACAAGAAAGATAATCCGGAACTCTAATCAGCAGACCAATTAAAAAAAAAAAAAAAAAAACGAAGGCCTGCCCATATCAAAAGATGAGCAAATAAATACACATCTCTAAACTTTAAGTTAAAATAATATGTCCAGGGCATTATGTATTTTTTAATGATTCCCCTAAAGTTCAGACAAATTTTTCAATTACCAAGAATTGGTCTCCACCATAAAATACAAATGACTACAATTTATTGAGACATGGGCTATAATAGACATATCTGGGGTTGGGAAATGAGGGAAGAGGGGGTTAAGGTGGAGCATTTGAACCAGACTTGTGGTGGAGGAGGAGAGAAGAAAACCTCCAGGAAGGAAAGGGCACCTGTGTACACTCTTAAAGAGGATGCAAGAGCTAGCAAGGCAAAGTAGAGGGGGAGAGTAGGCCAAGCACCAAAACAGCATCTATAAAGGCACATAGTGCATTTGGGGATCTGCAAATGAGTTGGTATGGCTGGAACACTGAACATAAGATGGCAAAGATGATCCTTTCCACAGTTGCTTGCATGTTTGCTATTTTACAGGCACGATGCAAGGATCTGCATGGATGGAACACACATTCCCTAGAGTACTAGGGAAAAATTGGTCCATTACACTTTACAAAACCTTTTCACATTCATTCTGCAGAAAGTCTATCTTCAGAAGGCTGTAAGCAGGTCTGCCTCTAATTTGTTGACCCCTTTACCCATCCCTACCCCATCCCCAGTTTCCCTCCTCACCCAGGACCCAAAGATCTCCCTCTGTAAATATTGTAGTTGAACCTGTAGAAGTCAGCTGGGGCATGGTGACTCATTCCTGTAATCCCAGCTTTTTGGGAGGCTGAAGCCAGAGGATTGCTTGAGCCCAGGAGTTTGAGACTAGCCTGGGCAACATAGGGAGATATCGTCCCTAAAAAATTAAAACAAACAAACAAAAATAGCTGGGCATGGTGGTGCACACCTGTAGTCCCAGCAACTCAGTAAGCTGAGGTGGGAGGATCACTTGAGTCTAGGAAGTCAAGGCTGCACTAAGCCATGATCGTGCCACTGCACTCCAGCCTGGGCGACAGTGAGAGACCCTGTCTAAAAAAAAAAAAAAAAAGTCATAGAAGGAAACTTGGATGAGCTATCAGGTCTGGCTGACAACAAATCCAAAACTGGCCAAAAGGCCTCAGAGTTTTAAATAACCATGTTATTCTCCCTCCTGTTCAGTGATATTTACTTCTAAACTGAAATGCTTATCCAACCACCCAAAGGCCACTGAAGTAGGTGACAGATTAGATTACCTGATACACTTCTACACCCTCCAAGAAATTTCCTAGTAATCACAGTCGCTGCTATTTTTTTCCAGCTGGTTGCTGACAATGTTTCAAAATGAATCCTCCTACACTCTAATTTTTACCCTTGACTAGCTGACTTTAATGGTAATCTCCTCAGGTTTGGAACCCTGATGGAGTCGAAAACCTCTCTGATTTCTTTCAGAAGTGAACTTTAGTAGAAAGCAGCTCTATAAGGCCACTTTTTTTTTTCTTCATTTCTTCTTAAAAAAAAAAAAAAAAACAGGATACATGTGCAGAATGTGCAGGTTTGTTACATAGGTATACGTGTGACATGGTGGTTTGATGCACCTATTTACCCATCCTCTAAGTTCCCTCCCCTCACCCCCCACCCTCCAGCAGGCCCCGGTGTATTGTTTCCCTCTCTGTGTCCATGTGTTTTCAATGTTCAACTCCTACTTATGAGTGAGAACATGCAGTGTTTGGTTTTCTGTTCCTGTGTTAGTTTGCTGAGGATGATGGCACTGATCATCAGAGAAATGCAAATCAAAACCACAATGACATACCATCTCACACCAGTCAGAATGGCAATTATTAAAAATTCAGGAAACAATAGATGCTGGCGAGGCTGTGCAGAAATAGGAATGCTTGTACACTGTTGTTGGGAACATAAATTAGTTCAACCATTGTGGAAGACAGTATGGCGATTCCTCGAGGATCTAGAACCAGAAATACCATTTGACCTATCAGGCCACTTTTAAACTTGGTTTTCATTCTTTCCCTGCCCTGGCCCTCAACCCGAATCATTTTATCTAAACTGCCATCCAACTGGCTTTCTTGAGACTTCAACTTCTTAATAAAATGACCAAAATTTCCCTTGGACTTTGGGATGCTATTTGTTTAAAATGGTCAGGAAAATCTAACTTCTTGTATAATCAATCGATTTGAAGTGTTCTCTCCCTTACATCAACAAATTTGATCACTTGAAAGTAAGCTCTATAAGGGTAGGCCTTTCCCTGTTTTGTTTGCCATTATTTCTCCAATGCCTAGCAAAAGCCAGGGCAGGAAGTATGTGCTCACTAAAGAGAAACTGAATGAATGAATGATCCTCACAACAACCCTGTGGAATGAGCAAGCTAGATATTCGTATAGTTGAAACCAGACTCAGTGAGATTAAGTGGTTTGCTCAGGGTCACCCAGTCTAGCACTCTATTATCATTTGTCTAGTGCCATTTCACTAGACCATGTACCTGAACCCCAGCACCAGAACAGGAAGATTTTTACAGTCTTTGCTTCTGAAGAACTAAAATCAGGCCCCTGAGTACAGTCCAAGGTTCATAGCTCTTAAGATGAAAATGCAAACATTGGAAATGGAGCTCTTGGAAACATCACTTAAAAACTGTATCCTGCCAGGCACGGTGGTTCACGCCTGTAATTCCAGCACTTTGGAAGGCCAAGGCAAGCGGATCACTTGAGGTCAGGAGTTTAAGACCAGCCTGGCCAACATGGTGAAACCCCATCTCTACTGAAAACATAAAAATTTGCCAGGCATGGTGGTGGGCAGGTACCTGTATTCCCAGCTACTCAGGAGGCTGAGGCAGCAGAATCACTTTAACTTGGGAGGCAGAGGTTGCAGTGAGCTGAAATCGTGCCACTGAACTGCAGCCTGGGCGACAAAGAGAGACTAGGTCTCAAAAAGTAATAGTGATATTAATTGTATCCTGTAACACAGTTCTGAAGGGAAAAGGAAGGGAACTGGATGGCAGCTGCAGAAACCATATGAAAACACAGTGTGTTTCCATTGTGCTCAAACACAGCGGTCCGCATAGACAGAATCCAACAGACTGTATACACCAGCAGTCTGCACACTACTGCCCATGAGCCAAGTCTGACCCTCCATCTGTTTCAGTAAATAAAGCTTTATTGGAACACAGGCCCACCCATTCATGTATGCATTGTGTATGGTTGCTTTCACACAATAGCAGAGTCCAGTAGCTCACCCGGTGGCCCACAAAACCAAAATATTTACAATATGCCCTTTTACAAAAGAAATTTACCAGCTCCTCACACAAACTCACATAATAACAACATGAGCATCAACAATAGCAGCCAAAATTAAATAAAATATTACTGATGTTCAGAGTGCTGGAAAGGATAATTTTTCTACCCAATACCGAAAAAAAAATCACAAAACAAATTTATTCAATACTTGATACCTGCTTAGAAGCCTCTTGTCAATAATATCTACTCTTGCCTGAACTCTTGAACCAGACAGCTACACCCTTCATTACCACTGCACTTAGGATTAGCAATCAGTGAGAAAGCTACAGAAAACAAAGTTTTTTCATTCTATTTTGAAAGAAAAATCAGAGAAATGCACACATTGAATGCAGTACTACAATAAATGGAAACCCAGCATGCCTTGTAAAATGGTCTAGATCTCATTAAATGATTTCTTGGCTACGATCCGTTGGGCTCACCAATGGATTTGAATGGGCTCTCCAGTGAAAGTGACTGTTGAAGGTGCTACCCTTTTGAAAGGAAATAACATACTAGAATCAGAAAAGACAAAGACCGATTGTTAAGAAAACTGATTTGTAATTAAGAGTGCAATTTTCTGTCTTTCAGTTTTGCCACTAATATTCCTTTGAAAATCTCTTAACCCTCCTATGTACTACTTCCTGTATCAGCCAAATGGAGAAAATCAGATCCGTCTCCTACCCCTTGTCCTCTTTCTCCAAACAAATGGTTTGGAAAGGATGTATTAACTGCACTTGCTATGAGATTTTTATAAGACCCTAACAGGTAAATGCTAAACATTGCTTATGTATATTTTCTCCAGGCCCAGATTGTTTTCCAGAGAGGTAGAACTCACAGTAAATAGGAACAAAAGCCAGGGATTTTATCTCCTACAAGAGCCTTAGTCCAAGTACAGCAAATGCAAGATGGAAAACTTTCCACGAATTAAATTCTGGTAACTTCTAAGGGAAGAACTTCAACCTCTTCTTCTTCTGAAGGCTAAGCAATAATAGTCTTCTATCAGTATGAATAACTTTAACTGGAATTCGGAATAAAAATTCAAAGAGGTAAGTCACTTTCTACAGACTTAAAAAGCTTGGGCTGTGGTTGGCTGTGAGATCCAATAGGTCCCTGTCTCTGATATTCACATCCTTTGTTGTACTCCAGGCTAAGGCTGAGCCCCTGCCTTTTATTCTAGGCATGAGGCTGGCTGTGTGGACCGGAGAGCACCTAAAGCCAAAAGACCATAAAGCCCCACCCCGTGACAGTCAGCATCAGTTGGTATCACTTTGATCTCTCCCTCCCTACCCACCCCCACTTTAGTCTGGCCCATGTCCCTTCCTTCGGAAACTGCTCTCCCGACTCCATTTTATTCTGATGAGGCTGTCAATTAGAGAGTTCTGCCTCCTCAAGCTGACCAGTAATTGGTCCAGAGGTGGGGTAGACACATGATCCAAGTGGGGTCAACAATTTCAGGGATAAAATGAAGAAAGGAAGAGAAAGAGAATATATACCTACTCTCCTTTGGTCAATGCAAGCTCTAAATTGCCAGAACACACGTTTCCCATCACATGGAGTCTGCTGGAACATGAAACTAACAATGAGGAAAGCAGCATTGGAAACAGAGAGAGAAAAAGCCAGACTCATAACCACACTGAGCCTCTCTGGCTCCAGCCATGACTGAAGCTACTTCCATGCTGGATTTTTAGTTAAGTTTTTCATTTGGTTAAGGTTTGAGTTTCATTTCTTTCACTTGTCACTCAAAGCTTCCTGACCAGTACAGGGAATGCACACCTCAGGCCACCTTATTTTCCTACACAAAGTGATCAGGAAGCAGAATGCCGATGGCTCAGGGCAAACCACCCACTCCTAAAATCACAGCTCAGCGTCCAAGCAACCACTTGTGACTCTGAAGCCCAACCTTAGGCAATGCTTTGACTTAATTCTGGTCTGTGGCATATTATGTTTGCAATTTGTCAACAGCCCCTTGGATGGGTATTTATTACATTTTTATTCAAGACTAGGTGAGAAAATAATCTGTAAGTATCTCATAATGAATTGCTACTAGAACAAAGCTCACATTGCATCCAGATGCAGTTACCATAACAGGTAACAGCAAATCATCCATCTTTTAGAATCATTCATATTTTAAAAAATCTATTAGCTCCTATGATTTTCCAACAATCTAGAATTTCCTGATTACCTTTGTGGTTTTATAATACTTTGTATCTAAATTCTTAGACATTTCAAACTGACATTAAAGACCCCATATCATAGCCCCTTTCTCCTCCTTTTACCTAATATCCCACAAGGACCCGGCTCTTCAAAAAAGCTGGTCTACTCTTTCCCAAACATGCCATCATATTCCTACTTCCACACATCTCCAAAGGTAGTTTTCTAAGGTCTTTTCAAAGATCTGCAATGGTCTTGCCATTCATCTTCTACTCATTCATCTAACACGCTGAGCCCACATACTTGTCAAGAGCCAGTTGGGTCCCATCTCATCTTTGAAACCATCCTAGATATCTTAGCCCAAAGTTAACTCTTCCCTCTGAGCTCATACTTGTTTGCTGTTTGGCAATTACTTGGTAAAATACTGATTCATATTTAGGGTCAGTTTTATATTCTTAAGGAGACTCCAGGGAAACAAGTTTTCTAATACCACAGAACCTCCCCCATCAAGAGCTCTGCAAACATGTCACATGTGGATAATGATGATGGTGATGACATAGCAATGACAACTAGGAAATCTGGGACACCCACAGCTAAAGTCCAAAGTATTGAGTCTGCAAGACATTTGGTGGTCCAGGCTTTTATCCTTTTATACCTAAACCCTTGGGACTTTTATTTGCAAAACGTCCCAGGAATCAGTGATTTGGGCACTCTGTAAGTTCCTCTGGAAACTAACAAATATAATCAGAAGACGATGGATCCCTTCTCTTTACAGCTATCTGATGTTTCCTCTCTGAACCCCAAATTTTTGGAGCTTATAGTGTGATAGAATCGTCTTCCTTTTCCCATTCCCTTCATCCAAATTCCACCTAGCACCTAAGATCCTTTGTTACGAGAATTTAAGGACCCATGCTGCTTCCTTGACTCCTCCATCCCACAGTGACCCTACTTTCCCCAAAATCCTAGGGAAATAAAGGTTTTCATAGCTCATGATGGACAACTGATTACACACTTCCCTGTGTTATCTAATTGCATCTTCTCATCTCCCCAACTACAATGCCAGCCTCTCAGGGTAGGGACAATTCTTTTGCAAAGTTCTGGCCTTCTCTATGTCCAGCCTAGAGTTACACAGGATAGCCATTTGTTCAATAATGGGTCTAATTATGAATGACATCATCCGTCTTTCTTCCAAAATAACTTTTTATTTAATTTGTGGGAGCAGTGTGATCATCCTTAAATGCATATTTGTGTGTGTGTGCCTCTGTTAAAGAGAATGGTCAGCAACAGGTTGAAACACGGGTGTGGCAGTAAAGAGGGGCTGTTGAGTATCAAATCAAAACTAAATCCTAACAACTCTTACTCAGGAATTTGCACATATTAAACTCATTGTGTGCTCAGTGTGCTATATGTAAGTGTACTCAGTCTTTGTGTACACCACTTTGACATGTCCATTGAGTTGTTATTTGCAAAAAAGAGTGCAATGACCACAAAACAGGAAATCAGGGCTTGGGTCTCAGGCCTTGGGTCTCAGGGCCCATGTGACTCTGTACAAGCCACTAAACTCAGACTCTCAGATTCCACATCTGTAAAATGGGGCTGGGAATGCCTGCCTTCCTTACTTCACAAGAATGCAATACAAAAGAAATGACAGAGTGCTTTGAAAAAATAAGAATGCTACAGAATGAACTCACATGGTCCATGACTTCCTAGAAAGAGTTGTTCCAATTATTTCACGGCCCTCATGAAAACTTCCTTCTCTGAACATTTGGTAATATAGTACAAAAAACTTAAAAGTCACTCTTTGATAAAGCACAACAGGTGCAGGCAGCATCCATGGTGCTGGGCTTGCTTGGATTCCTGAGTGACAGAATTAAACCAGAGGCAGGACCATGAATATGCTGAATAGCCTCATTAAACCAGACCCCTCACTTAGATGCATTAATGGGTCTGTGGATCAACTACTATGTTATAGAGCATGTTCTGGATGCAACATAAAATTAACTATTCGTAAGTGATCACATTCAATGCTTATTTACATGTTGGAGGCTCAGCACCGGCCAACTGTTATCTTTGAATAGGCCCCCTTGTCATGTAAAGCCAGAAGCACCTGTGAACATTTTAACAGGCTTGGGTGACAGCCCTGTGATCATCCATAAATGCACTCAGATCAAAGCCCATGCCCCAAAACTACAAAGGAAGAAAACACCAACTCTCCTAGCATCAGTGCACAGGCTAACTTTGATGTAAAGAAAAGGTTTTCTGTGACATGAAGAATGACAAGAAGACCCAGTAAATACACCATCAGACCTAAGCAATTTCTCGCCCAGGAGAACTTCAGTGCACCAGACCCTTTCCTCGTCCAAATCTACATGATAGCCAATCTCTCCTGAAAAATCAGCCTCTAGTGGTGTGCTAAGCAGAGCTATGCCCCTTTGGTCTCTCAGCAAGCTGCATGCACATAGCCTTCAATCCAATTTAACAATTATTGACTCCACACCTACTGTGCATCCAACCCTATGGAAGTCACGGTCATATGTTTAAATGGTATCACGGATGTGTGAACAAGGATATTCACTTGCAGCATTGTTTACAACATCAAACAGCTAGAAACAACATGGATATCTATCAGGGATCGTTTATTTATTTATTCATCTATTTATTTTAAAATACTTGTCAAACAAAAATTGAATATTTTCAAGGTGTTCAATGTGATGATTACCAAAATCAAATTAATACATCCATCACCACCCATGCTGGACATTAGATCCCCAGAACTGGTTCAGCTTATAACTGAAATTTTGTATCCATTGTACAACGTATCGCCATATCCTCCACCCGCCAGTCCCTGGTACTCCCTGCTTCTATGAGTTCAACTTTTTTAGATTCCACATGTAAGTGAGATTATGCAGTATTTGTCTTTCTGTGTCCGGCTTATTTCACTTGGCATAATGTCCTCCAGGTTATCCATGTTGTCACAAATAGCAGGATTTCCTTCCATTTTATGGCTGAATAATATTCCATTATATATATATATTATATATATTATATATACGTATATAATATATATTATATATTATATATGTTATATATTATATATACGTATATAATATATATTATATATTATATATGTTATATATTATATATACGTATATAATATATATTATATATAATATATACGTATATAATATATATTATATATAATATATACGTATATAATATATATTATATATTATATACGTATATTATATATTCTATATTATATATGTATATAATATATATTCTATATTATATATTATATATTATATATATTATATATTATATATTCTATATTCTATATATTATATATTCTATATTCTATATATTATATATTCTATATTATATATTATATATATTCTATATTATATATTATATATTATATAATATATATTATATACTATATATGATATATATATGATATATATCATATATCATATGTGTATATGATATATATCATATATCATATGTGTATATGATATATATCATATATCATATGTGTATATGATATATATCATATATCATATGTGTATATGATATATATTATATATGTGTATATGATATATATTATATATTATATGTGTATATGATATATATTATATATTATATGTGTATATATATTATATATAATATGTGTATATGATATATATTATATATAATATGTGTATATGATATATTATATATGTGTATATGATATATATTATATATAATATGTGTATATGATATATATTATATATTATATGTGTATATGATATATATTATATATATTATATGTGTGTATATAATACATATTATATATATTATATGTGTATATAATATATATATTATATATATACATCACAATTTCTTTATCCATTCAGCCACCATTGGACACTTAAGCTGTTTCAATATTTTGACTATTGTGAATTAATGCAATGGTGGTCATTTTAAATAAATTTTAGTGCAGCTATTTAATGGAGTATTATGCACAAATATTAAAAAGGATGAAGTCGATCTATATATACGGATCTAGAAAAATATCCAATACAGTGAGTGGAAAAAAAAGCAAATTACACAGTAGAATGCATGATGGAACCCATTTATTTTCAAAAAGATAATATGTACATACCCATATTACAAATTTGCATGCATATGATCACACATGTAGAGAGGAAAGCTGAGGGAGATAAGGACTAAACTTGTGAGGGTGGTTACCTCTGAGGAATGGAACTCATGTTGGGAGGCAGGGATAAAGAATGGTCTTTCATTTTTTTAACTTATCCATTTCAGTAATATGTGCATTTCTTCCCATTTCTTTTCTACTTCTTTTATAACCACCTACAAGAAATGTTCTTTTTAAATGGTATACTAGATCCTCTTCCCTCCACAGAGCCTCCAATATCCTGACCATTCCCACTGGTAACCATCGACTAAGTTTCCTAACCCCCCAGCAAATAACAAACCACCAATACATCCTTAGGGACACACACACACCCCTCCCAGCTACTGGATTTACAACACTTCTTCTCCCCATTAATTCCTCACTAAAAGATTTAGTTTGCTTAATCTCTTCCTATAAGTGAAAATATCTCTGGGAAGATTCTCCTTCAGAGAGTATATGATTTCTTGTAAAATAGAAAAAAATCACCACAATAAAATTCCATTACACAAAGCTGATCTGACTGTCCCAAACCACTTCTGATAATGAAGTTTGACATGAATCGACACGAGGGCTTCCTTCATAGCTCCAAAGGATTCCTATTTTCGCTGAAATTTATCGAGCCCTGATCATGACTGCATACTCAATACTTTTCCAAAATACAGAAAAGCTGTTTGGTCTAAGAGTTTCTAGGAAATTTTAAAACTAATAAAATACAACCTACATTTTCAGAGGACCTACTGTTTTCCAAGACCTAGAGTAGGCACTTATATCAATAATCTCATATAATCATCACAAAACCCTGTAAGTGAGGTGTCTTCAGTTGCATATGCAGGACTCTGAGACAGAAATGTGCATGTAGGAGGTAAATTAGTGTGGGAGTATCTGAAGGACAAACTCCTGTGTGGGAATGAAGGCTAGGCAGGAGTTAAGCTATACTGCAGCCATAACAGAGGCACATGCCCACCTATGGGGAGCTCTGCATCCATCCTTCCTTGAGACAAGATGGCCAGGCCTTTTCACCCTTGACATGGACACAGGCTGCCCCCAGGGAGTGGGATAACTTTGAGCTATGCAATCCTTTATATCTGAGTGCAGTTCCTAGGGAGAAGCTTAGCTGCCAATACTTAAAGCAGCTGGGGAATGAAGGCTTGTCCTGAGGAAGGGATCCTGGGGATGTACCTCAGCATCCACTACCTTCAAAACCCTAATATCCATGTTCTAGGAATCAGGACACAGCAACTGAGAGAAATAAAGTAACTGGTCCAAGGTGAGCTGGAGAGGTAGGATTTGAACCATCTGCTTCCAAAGCTCCTTCCCTAATACCCTGTCACTTCCCCAAACCAACAACAGCTCACTCAGGGGCCTGTCTCAGAGAAGGGCAGTTTCTGGCTCTGCATCTCACCTTTAAAACTTGGGCTGAATTTTATGTTGGTAAGCATGTCCCTCTGCCCACCAAGAAGAAGGGGAGAAAAGAATCCTTGAATCTAACGTGGAAAGCAATCTATCAAGCAGAAGACATCTGTCACAATCACAGGAGAGGGGCTTTGCTAACAACCACGCAAATCAAGGCTCTGTTTTTCTGTAATGATTTCAGCTATCAAGTGTCCTGCGTAGAAACCTGTACTCATCCTGTGTGTCTTGCTGAAGAGAGGTTTGGTTTCAAATGGATGCTTTAAAAAAATCTATTTTCTATTACATTTCCACTCCCCATGTCCTATAATAAATTACCAAAAATAGAAGCTATATAGGATAAATTGGATGGGAGAGGAATGCACATTTTGGCACATGGGGGAAGAGAACAAGAGAGAGAGAAGAAAGGTAAATAAAAGAATCTCCTCCTTGGATAATGTTTCCAACCTAGGGACTGACAGCAAATCTTGGATCCATCAATTACCAGCTATAGATCCCTGGACCTGTTATTCCTGAAGCCTCAGTTTCCTCAATTGTTAAATGGAGAGTGGTGGTACACAGACATCACAGGGTCATTGCGAAGATTAGATGAGACAAGGAGTATTCAGGGCTTAGCACTGTGTCCGTATGGAGTCAGCTCTGGGTTATTACTGTCAAGGTTGCGGTCATAATCCTCAACACCCACCCAAGAGCCAAAATGCAGCAGGAAAAGTCAGAATGAAAGAAAGTGCAGTATATTGGTTGGGTTTTTCTGAATTCTCTGCAAAGTATGTTGGCTTATAAATAGTTTTGCTTTTCTGTCTTTAAAGACATCCCCTAACATGGCAAGTCATCTCTCGGATACTCTCTATCCTCTGGTGCATTTCACAGCTCCCATGGTGTGGCTTGCTGAAATGCCAGCTCACCCTCATCACCTGTGTGTAAACCTCACACATCCGTGAGGGCATCCTCACTTTCCATTCCATACACTGGAGCTCAGCCAATCTGTCTCCTGGCTGCACAAGTGAAGGATAACAAAAGACTAGATTGATGCTTTCTCCTCTGCTGGGGAAAGCAAGGTTCCTGGATCTGCCAGCCCCACAGAGGCTACCTTACTGCTATTAAAACTATTTGTGAATCCCCTAAGAATTGCAATCCCTGAAGCTTATGTGGCTCAAAGAGGCTTCACTGTATGAGGAATGCCCCTGGGGTAGACTAGTGTTTCTAAGTGTATAGTCCCCAACGGACTCCCATCAAAAGTAAATGGGTAGCTTGTTAAAAATGCAGATTCCCAGGACTGCTGAATCAGATCTTTGGGCCAGCCCTCAGCAGCTGCAGATTTAAACAGATTTCCAGATGATTCTGATTCAACTGAAGTTTGAGGCCCCCAGAGATACAGAGTTTTCTCACTGGGTTGCAATGACAGCCCTGCTTAGAGAAGAGAGACATGCTTTTTCTTTATAGCCTAGACCACCAGACTTGGCTACCATGAATTGTTTCTGAACTTCCCCAACCCCAAGCCCTACTGCCAAATATTTACTCAATGGTCAACAAATTCTTATTTAACACTTGAAAATGTGTAGTCTATTAATGTCTCTGAAGTTTGGTGATCCTTGGAGAAATGTTTCATTTTCCCAGTTAGAGTGTAAGCTGGACAAAGACAAGAATGATGACTCATTCAACAAATATGGAGCACCCACTGTATGCCCATCCCAGTGCAGGCACCATGGAGAACAGAGAAGTATTAGGTTGGTGCAAGAGTAATTGCAGTTTTTGCCATTGAAAGTAATATAAGCCATGGTCCAACTTTGTAGGAACTGATTGTGTACATACAGAAAACTCAGTCCATCTTGTGCCCCAAAGCCTCAGAGACATTCTGCATCTAAAGCTGCCCTTGACCACTGAGGCACTGTGGCACAGACACATGACGAGAAGGCTGACAGTCAGTTTCTTTCCTCTGCTGCTGCAGGCACAGATCTCCCTCATCCATTCTTCCCTCTGTTATTTCTCCCCAAGGCCTCCCACACTCTGCATCCCCACTCCCCTTCCCCAACTGAGAAGGAAGGAGGAAAAAGGCTCAATCCCTTCCCCAGATCCTTGTTGAGATGATCCCATCTCAGAAAGGCTGCCAGGTTGCTGACAGACACCAGCCACAAGAGCCTATAGACAGTTACCTAACCCCAAATCAAGTCCTGATCAGCTCATGAATACCTGTATGTGTCCACATTGCAGGGTAAAAAAAAACAGACCCTTGTCTGGGGTGGAAGGTAAAGTATAAAAGGAAATCAAGCTTGGACAACATAGCAAGATCTCACCTCAACAATAACAAAAAATTAGCCAGGTGTGGTGGTCCACACCTATAGTCCTAGCTACTTAGGAGGCTGAGGTGGGAGGATCACTTGAGCCCAGGAGTTTGAAGTTATGGTGAGCTATGATCACACCACTGCACTCCAGCCTGGGTGGCAGAGCAAGACCCTGCCTCAAAAAACAAAAAGAAAAAAGGAAATCAAACACACATTATATAGTTCATTTAATTAACCAAAATGGACATATAAACAATTACATGCCACATAATAAGATGGTAAGGGAGGGACAGGGCAGCCAATTATTATTTTAGCATCTGCTCCATGTCTTGAGTTAGCAAAAGGAACAGAGAAAAACAAAGGAGGAGAACTGGAAGTGAATGTCGTCCCCAGAGCCAGGGTCAAATGGTCCAGACAAGACAGGGAAGATGAAAACTAAATGGCCCACATTGGGCGAATGAATCCGGAAACACTTCCCAGAAGAGGTGATTTAAAGCTTGGCCTGATTTTTTTTCTCTTTAGTTGGTGCTAATCCAGCAAAGACTTCTCTATGTCTGTCTCTTTTAATAATTTTGTTTTTTAGTTTTCTAAACCCACACAAACAACTTCTTCCAATCCTCCCACTGTAGTCTTTTTCATTTTCCTCCCACCCTCACCCCCATCATAGGGTGCCCAGCCTGGTTGCTAATGCAGTGGACTGGTCTGAGTCTGATAGGTCCAGGGGTCTCCTTGTCACCATGTGGATGGAATTCCTCCATTTGGTTGCTATGACACCATGGTGCTAGAGCTCTTCAGCCTTGTTACCATGGAATCCTTCCTTCCCCATCTTTTATTGCATGTCAGGAGGGCAACAGCACTGCAGGACAAGCTGCCCACGGGTGCTGGCAAAGCCCATCCCCCTGGACACTGTCCTAAAGTATGCAATGGTCTGAGCCTGAGCCAGCTGTAATCACACACCTGAACTAAGCCAAGCTGCAGAAGAGTTTTCCAGTGGACCCTTCAAAAGGTCAAACACATAGAAACAGCTTTGTAAAATCTGTATCCAAACACAAAGTGCTCTGAACACACATGGGGGCTCTCTTCCATAAAGGAAGCATTGAGTTATTGCTATCAGGGTCTTGCCTGGTCCCTCGATGCACAGTCAGGGGTCAGCAGACCTTCTTTGGATCACGGATCCATAGGAGAATGCCTGTTGTCCACTATCCTGAAACCCAAGACCTCGTCCTCATCAACTCAATGTTCTCATGATGATGAACAAGGAGGGAAAAGTAGGAAGTGAAAAAGAGGGCTTCTGTTTGTACAGTGAATATAAATATAAAGGTTCCTGCAACACAAAAGCCCACACCTCTGAATCTACATTCTGGATTACATGAAGGTCTGCCTATGCCTGAGGGTGAAGCACTCCAGGTGAAGTGGTAGGAAACCTGGGTTCCAGTCTTGCCTCAACCCTGTGACTTTGGGCAAAGCATTTCTTCTCCATGAGCCTTGGTCTCCTCATCTGTAAAGTATGGGACTCTGAGAAGATCATCTCTCCAGGCTGTTTCCAAACTGACATTCTTCACCGCTCAGTGGGAGACTCCAGAGATGGGGACTTCTGAGTCATCACTCCTGAGAGGAGCACGGCAGCAGAATATGGGTTACTGAGGACTGACCCGTCAAATCCACATCCCACACCCCCACCTTGAGGAGTCCCAGGGTCCAGAGAAGTGCTTCAACCCCAAGAATTATGCCTTTGCAGGTACTGCCATGCAGGCCAGATCTATGCATAAGGGAGTCTCCCAGCTTCCCAGCTACAGGCAAGGGATAAAGGAAACTTCAATTCCTCAGTGAGCCAGACCCAGAGCCGACCCAGGCACTGCAGCCACTCTCCCTTAAACATCCCTCATGCTTCCAGAAAATGACCCCTCCTGTTGGTTGGACAGCAACCAAACTGAAGAATTTCAAATATAAACATACATTAAGATTAAAGCATGCCAAAAGAGAGGCTGATGATGCTACACAATGGAAGTACCTGCTCTGGAATTAACCAGTTAGCCACAGACAAGATGGGATGGTACGGTTTACAGAGAAATCAGTCTGCAAATTCAGAAAATCCCGAGCTGGAATTCCTTTTCTCTAGGCCTTCGGTGTTTCTGTTCTCCATGCCTCACTGTCCAGCCCATCAGCAAATGGCACTGGGCCAGGTGTTGGGTATATGATGGTGAAGCAGCTGATAAGCCACCTGCCCTGCAAGATGTTATCATCCAGTGGTGAAGACTGACAAAATGAAAAAAAAGGTCAAGTTGTAATAAACCACTGAGAGATAAAACAGGTGCTAATATAAATAAAGTAGTTTTCCAGTGTAAGGGGAGTCAGGGAGGGCTACTCTGAAAAGGTGACATTTAAGCTGAGATCTCATGAACAGTGAGAAGATGAAAGTGTCCCAAGTAGAACCAACAGCTTGTGCAAAGGCCCTGAGGCATGAATGATTAAAAGATATAATTCATGGAACTTCCAGTCTACATGAAGAGACAGACACGCAAACAAACAACCACAAGTCCACACATTGTGGAATGTGGATGGCAACATGGGCAACGTAAGCAGAACTTAAGAGTAAGAGTCCTGAAGGCCAAGTTGGCCAGTGGCTGTCAGGAGGGCTTCCTGGAGGAAGAGGTATCTGAGCTGAACACTGAAGGATGACTGGATCTTGCTGAGTCAGGAGAGACACAGAAGGTACACAGTCCTGGAGGTGTGAAGGGCACAGAGCTTTCTTGGAACTACAAGCAGTTTTATTTACCTGGAGCTCCAGGTGGGAGGACAGGAGTGATGGAAAATGAAGCAAGAATGCCTAAAGAGGGCAAGTCATGCAGGGCCTCATATGCCGAGGCAAGAACAGGAGCCAAAGTGTGAGTGCCCTAAGTAGGTGGAGCAGCAGGGTGTTAACTGAGTAAGAGGCCACTCTGAGCTATACTCTACCTCAGGCACTTCTGGGTGGCACATTCTCACTTCCTTGGCATGCATGCCCATCTGAAGGGGCCAGGGCTCATCTCCCATGGGTCACACAGAACCTGCCCTGGGCATCTCCTTGTCAGTGAGGACTCAAGGACTTGCTGCCAATAACTGGCCACGTTGGGCAGGTTCCTGGGAGTTGGCACGTGGAGGGAATAGAGTCTGTGGGTATGGAACAGCAGGTAACTAAGGATGCGTCAGAATCCCACCCACAGAGGTACTTCCTGAATGGCTGGTGTGGAGGGAATCTGAGAGAGAGGGTGAAAAGAAGAGAAGAAAATGATAGGGGAGGAAGAAAAGAGGAAAGAGAGTAGAGAAAAAGAACAAGAAAGGGAGAAAACTGGAGTTGAGGCCGAACAATCCACCCATTAGGGGTGAGAACGCTCAGAGCTCCGCAGGCTGCTTCTTTCAAGAAGAAAACAGAAGCGGTCCCCACCGCTGCACTCCTGCACGTATCCACACACGCTGCTACTCTCTGCCCACGCTGGCTGGCAGGCGCTGGAGTCAACGTGCTCTGATTCACAACGCCCTCTGCATCCACTAAGCTCAAAGCTTCTGCACCACGGCTGGGTCCCCCCCTCCAACTGCCCCCCCACACACGCAGCCTCTGCCTGGGCAGCTCCCTTCACCCGAATCGTCCCTCCTTCAGAGCTTTCAGCCTCCAGGCTGCTGGATGAGTGGCCAGTCAGGGTGCAGGGCTTCCTTGCCCCCACAACCCTGCTTCACTGGAGACCTCCCTGACCCTGCAACTGTTCTAGTTTGGGACCAAGACGGAGGAGGCAATCCAGACCCGCTTCTGGGAGACTCAATAGGGTTGCCATACTAAGTACAGGAGACCCAGTTAAATTTGAATTTCAGATAAACAACACATAAATGTATTTGTATTTTCATTTACTAAATCTGACAATGCTATGATTTATGGTCAAAGTATGAAAATCCCTCTTCTTTTTGCTCCAAATCCTTTTCCCAAAGCTAGAGATGTGGATGATGATGATCACTAAATTCTTGGGCTGTTATGTGCCAGGCACTGTGAAAGCAAAGCACAGGCTTTATTTCAGCAAATCCTCATGAAAACCATATGTTTTCAGTACTATTATTGTCCCCCCTTTACAGATGAAGAAGTTGAGGCTTAGAACTTAGGGCACACAGCTAGGAAGCAGGGACTGAGACTGGAACTACCAGAGTCAGACTCCAGAGCCTGTGCCTTCCAGCCCTCCGCTCCCCACCACCCTCTTGACAGGCAGTGGATCCAGACATACCAGTCCAACAGAGTTCTCATGCTCAAATTATTGCCCTTCAGCTTGAAACCTGGGGGCTTCTTCTCTTCTGCCCTGCTCCTGCATGGTACCCACTCACACTTCAGGCTGTCTCCTATCCCCTACCCCTACCCCCAGTGCACAAACACACTCAGGGAAGAAATTCACATAGATCATTTACACCTTAGTGTGTATTTATGTTTGGGGTGGCCTCTCCTAGGCATTTGAATGTGGGGTTGTCTCATTTTAGAGAATAAAGATGTTGCTCATCATTAAAGGAAGCTCAGCCACTGGTATTTGGTATCAGGAAAGGGTTTTTCCATTCATCCAGTTGCCTTCTACATGGAGGCAGCTGCAAGAGGTAAGGAGCTCAGAAAGCATCAAAGTATATTAGGCAGCACCCCATTCTCCAAGCCAGATTGGTTGGATGATTTTTTAAAAGTCTGAGTCATGAGCCCTCATCTAAGGAGCTTACTGTCCAGTTGGAAAGACAAGGCCACCTTGGTGGACAGGGGATGTAAGGCAGGGCTGGAATGGATGGATGCATGGATGAATGCATGGATGTATGGATGGGTGGATAAATGGATGGAAAGATGAATGCATGGATGCATGGATGGATGACTGGATGGATGCATACATGGATGGATGAATTCATGCATGGATGCATGGATGGATGAATAGATAGATGGAAGGATGGGTACATGGATGGATGGATAGATGAATGGAAAGATGAATGCATGGATACATAGATGGATGGATGGATGGATAGATGGATTGACAGATGGAAAGACGGATGCATGGATGCATGGGTGGACTGACAGATGGATGCATGGATGGGTAGGTGGATGAATGAATGGATACATGGACAAACAGATGTATGAGGATCCTGAGACGGGGTGGGTTTGTGGTTCTAAGAGGGACCACCAACTACACAGGGCTCCTCCCAGGATCCTGGATCTTTTCCATCATGTGCAGTGAGAGGTTTTGATGACAAGGAGGGAAGAGGGAAGGATGGGTACTGGACAGATAGGAATGCATAAGGAGAAAGAACAAAGGAGGAAAAAATGGGGGAGAGAGAAGACTTGTGTGGCCTTCTGAATCCAAATGGCTCTCCCCCAGGGTTCCTGAGTCTTCCTGGCTATTACCTCAGAGTAGAACTGGTCTCACAGGGACCTGGCTTTTCATCTCTGCAATTTACCAACTGTGGGTGTCCAGAGCTCACGACGATTGGTTGTTACTTTATTTATCCAGGAGGCTGGTGCAGGGGTGAGTCAGGAAGCTGAAGTCACTCCAGTCTAAGCCTGCAGCAGTTGGTGACTCCCTTCCACCATTCCCTGTGCTCCTGCCCCCATGCCCCAGCTGGTCACCACTGCTCCTGTTGTCCCACTCCCCCAACAAAAATTACCACCCTCCCAAAACCAAGACCAGAGAACATACCCACAGAGCCCCTGGTTGCCTCAAGGAAAGCCAGGCCCCTGCTCAGAGCCTCACTTCCAAAGAACAGGCCATACCCTCCAACCTGACCTTCTCCCACCGCAGAGATAGTGATGGTGGCCTGCGAGAGAAATTAGAGTAGATGTCCCTAAAGAGATGCCTGTGCTACCTACTTTCATTCCACTTCATCCACTTCCCCCACCACACCATTCCTCCCAGGAGCTCCCTCTCTCCCACCCCAGGGCTGCAGGATCTCACTGCCAGTAAGGCACAGACAAAAGGGTCAGGCAAGAGGGAGCCGGGCAATCCCAAAGTCGAAGGAATGTCAGCAAAGAAGCCCAGAATAGAAGCAAAAACTTATCCTATCTCAGTTCTACTGGGTCTCACTAGGGGATGTTCCACTCCCTAGAAAACATTTGTGGGGACAAAGGGAAGAGGGAACCAATGACATTTAAAGGGTAGAACTAGGGCTGCTAAGTCCTACAATGCACATGATAGTCCTGCACCACAAAGAATGTTCTACCTTCCCAAAACACTAATCGTTGCTCCTACTGGAAATCACTATACAGAACGGGGCCTTATTTCCAAGCATATGTAAGTTTTTTTAAGGGCTTAAAGATGGGGAAGGTGGGCCAGGGCTTAGGCTAGAAAACTAATGCAATTCAATAAACTGGGAGAGGCACTGCTTGGCTGAGGGGTTTAGAAACTGTTCAAACAGACAGGAGGGATGTGACCTAGGTCAGGATATGCTAGAGCACCTCATGCAGGCAACCTTTGCAGCTGCTGCCTCTTCCTCCTGGGTGGGCAGGGAGAGCTGATCCCAGGTTCATGGCCCCATGATCTCACTCCAGAAGAACACTGGTAGATGGTCCCAGAAGCTCCTGCCCACTGTAGGATTCCAGTGGAACCAGGGAGTAGCAGCCTGGGTGTTAGAAGCAACCCAGGGTGACCAGTGAGCTCATTCTTGGACACAGAGCAGCATCCTTTCTCTTTGCCTTGTAGGCAGAGTCTGTGCTTCCTCTGTGCTCCTACAATGCTTAGTTCAGTCTTCTTTCAGGGCTTTTTGCATTGCATGTCTGCTATCTATTTATTTGTCTATATTCCAGCTATTCATCAACATCAATATCTATTGAGTACTTTCAGGCCAGGCTTGGTGGTACACACCTATAATCCCAGCACTTTTGGAGGCCAAGGCAGGTGGATCACTTGAGGCCAGGAGCTCGAGACCAGCCTTGCCAATATGACAAAACCCTGTCTCTACTAAAAATACAAAAATTAGCCAGGTGTGGTGATAGTCACCTGTAGTTCCAGCTACTCAGGAGGCTGAGGCAGGAGAATTGCTGAAACCCGGGAGGCAGAGGTTGCAGTGAGCTGAGATCATGCCACTGTACTCCAGCCTGGGTGACAGAGTGAGACTGTGTCTCATAAAAAAAAAAAAAAAAAAAAAAAAAAAAAAAAAAAAAAAAAAAAAAAAAAAAAACACTGAGGACTTTCCAACCAATACCTGACATTATGTTCTTTATATTTAGTAGCTCATTTATTCCCCTCAACTATATCATAAAATTGATATTATCATTATCCTCATTCTTCAGTTGAGATATCTGAAGAACAGAAGCAGTGAAAAAAAACTGCCCACAGATCCCACGAGTGGCCAGTGGTGGAAGAGGGCTGAGCAGCAGCAGGGTCCACTGAGGAGCCACAAACACACCGCAGCCCCTGCCAATGTTCAAGGGCAAGGAGTCAGCCTTACCTACATCTGTGTCCCAGGGGTGGCTCCCGTGCCGGGCACACAGTGGGTGCTCAAAAAATGTTGAAAAATTGGAGGAATTAACTGAATGAATGAATGGGCTTCCCCTATTCTGTATGTCACTATTCCAGAGAATGCAACCAAATCACCAATTAAAGATAGGAATAAGAAATGAAGCAAAGCACCATAGTGCTTACAGAATGATAACAGCTCCATTCCCTGCCACATGCCAGGCATGCTTTATGAATGGCACCTCCTTTAATCCTCGCAGCCACCCTATAAGGTGGTACCATGCTTCCTGGGTTACAGCTGAGGAAGCTGAGACTCACAGCCCTTTACCAGTCCAGGGTCACATCCCTGGAGAGTGTCAAGACCAGGGGTGCCTCGTGCCAGAGCCATCCCTGAGCCACAGCAGAATTACCACCTTGATTCCTGGAAACTTCAAGATACAGTAACTGTGTCACTTCTGTGAACTCTCCTGGTGGAGGTGATAGCATGTAAATGTAGACAACATTCTCTGTTACTATAGAGCTTTCTATAGACCCCTATTAGAGAGCTTTGCAGGCTTTCTAAGGCTCTCCTCTGAGATGGTTATAACTCAATGAGAGGGCCTTGGTCTTACTATCTTGTATCCCCAGCATAGAGCCCTGAGCCCAGCATATAGAAGATGCTTACCAAACACATGCAGCAGGAATAAGCAAATTGTTTGTTTGGCTGGACAATAAGACTTTTCATAGATGTGGAGGGACCCATTCCAGACCTTGCCAGCCACTGGTGCTGCCAGGGAGCCAACTGGCGAGCCTGTCACTTCTAAGTCCTAAGGCCAATCCCTCCCATACCTAGCTTCCCCTCTCCAAGCTGCTGTTTGGCTGGGACAAAAATCAGGTGACAAATACCACCTGGCACTAAAAATTACCCACAGCATCTATACAATGAGCCATCATGATAGCATCAAGGCAAAAGGGTAAAAATACCTTTCTCTCCTGGTCACTCCTCTCTTACTCAAGGCTTCATGCTGAGGGCAAAAATCATCCTGGAAGATATACTGACTCACCAGATAGGTCTTAGCTGGCCACTTCTTTTATCTTCCCCATAAAGAACAATTATGAGGAACAGAAGTGGGCAGTGAGGATTCATTTCAAAGCATCTGCTCTATCTGAATCCAAAGTACGTGGAGTCTTGGGCACTTTAGCCCTGAGAAGTGTATCCTGTCTCTAAGACCAAGAGGCAAACACAGACTTGTACTCAAACTTCCTATTTGAGTACTGTGCCCCAAATTTAAAAAGGCTTTCTCCTTCTCAAAGTCTTCTTTTGTTCCCTGGACTCTTCATGACCCAGGTCCAATGTTACCTTGACTTGAATGGTCCACTGTAAAGTTGGCTGGGGATGCACCAGGTTGAGGACAAGTGTCCCTACTCCTAGGACATTTAGGGCCTGCTTCTGTGGTCTGTGAGGCCCTGAGCCAAAGCATGCTTAGATGTCAAGGGTAGGTAGAGATCCCAGAGTACTGGCTAAAAGCCAATGGCCCCCACAATGGCCATGATGCCAGGGAAGAGCTGAACAACTAGATAAAATCCTGGACCAGGCCTGAGCAAGACTCAGGAGCAGAAAGCAGAGAGCTTCAGGGGCTGCTGCATCTGCCCTCAAGAGCAGTTCATGGTTTGCTTCAGGAGCCAGGGCCAGACCCCTCCATCCCAACCTTCCTCCTGGTACCAGACCCACAGCCTCCAAGTTTCCTAACGCAGGTGTCATTTTGGAATACTTTTCTGCCTAGCTGTGTTTCTTCAATGATTTTAGCAAAATAAATATGCTGGAGAAAGCTGCATCTCCTGCAATTTGACCAGCAGCCCCCAACCTCTTCCAGAGCAGCCTGGGAGGCAGGATGCATTAACCATCCTATTGCCTACATAAGTTATTCCTTAAGGACTTGACCCAAGTTCCATAGGAGGCACCCCTCTGCCTGGAATTAGAATGTTAGAGCTGAAAGTACTTTTAAAAATAAAAGCTAACCTGCTGAGGACTTATAAGGTTCAGGCCTTATTCAGATTCACACAGAGTCCTCCAACAACCTTACAAGGTAGTTACATCATTAACCCCTTTTTACAGGAAAGGGAGCCAAAGCCAGAGAGGCTAAGAAACTGGCCCAGCTTCACAAAGGTGATACGTGCAAGAGTCCAGGCCATGCAGCCCCAGGACCTGGCCTCATATTCATTCATTCACCAACTATTAGACACCTACTTTGGGCCAGGTGTGCCAGGTGAGATGCTCATGAACTAGCATGAAGATTTTTTCCAAGTAAACAAACTGCTTTCTGGAGAGGCCACTAAATTTCACAGCTCTGGAAATAAAAGAGAACCAGAAAGCACACAATCACAAAATGTTTCTACCACCTTGCCTTGCTAAGTTTCCCCACCTCTATAATACTCCCCCCACCAGCCCCTTCACAGTATCACATGGCAGCCTGGAAACAAAACAGACAAAATCTGTCTTCATGGAGACTGCATTCCCACCAGAGGACAGGCAATCAATAGATAAATCATTAAAATATACAATATGCAGGACATTTACAGGAGGAAAACTAAGGCAGGAAAAAAAAGAGAAATATGTGGAGGGGAACATAGTATTAGACTGGGTGGCCAGGACAGGACTGAGAAGACACATTTAAGTAAAAACCAGAAGAGGAGAGAATGAACCATGCAGCTATCAGGGGACAGAGCATTCCGAGAAAGGGAGCCGTCCATGCAAAGGCCCTGGGGCAGGAGCTTTACTGGGGTATTGGAGAACAGAGAGGCTAGTGTAGATGGACCCAGGAAGCTAGAGGAGCAGACAGGAATGAGGTGAGGGTGCAACTGGCCATGGGAAAGACTCTGGCTTCAACTCTGATCAATCCCCTAGTGATGGAGAAAGAACCTAGGCTCAGAGAGGGCTGGTGATTCCCTAAAAGCCACACAGGGCTAGAGTGCAAACCAAGGCCCCTAAGCAAAATCAACCTGAACTGTTCATCCCACCAAGCCTTGCCCCAGAGCCTCTTCCTCAGCCCACAGCCCCTGGAAGCCCATCTTGGACTTCAAACAGCTATTGGGTGAATTGACGCAAAAAGACGAGCCTGGTGGTGTTCCGTGGGAGGGCTGGGGCCTGGGTTCGCTCAGCAGCCCCCACACTGCAGGCAGGGGCGGGCGGGGGAGGATGACGGAGTCGGCCCGGGAAAGGACTCCAGGGTGCCAGGAAGCCTGCGGCACTGCTGCGCTCTCCAGCTCTCTCTCATCTCTCAGGCTGGAAAAAGCAACCGCCTCTCCAGAAAGTGGGTTTGTTTACTTGGAGAAAATCCCCATGCTGATTCATGAGCGTCTCCCCATGCCTGCGCTGCAAATAAATAACGTACATTTCCCGTTTTAAAGTGGGAAAGCAGGGAGACCGGCATGTGTTACGCCCAAGCGCATGCGCAAGCTGGTCCTCTTCCCGGGAGAGAGGGGAACCGAGGCGGAGCTCTGCGGAAGGTGGGGTCCTAGGGAGTTTGCTCTCTGCCCTGGCGCCTGTCCCTCCTGCTCTCTGTTCCCCGCAGGGCCTGCCTGGCCTCCTGCTCCTTCTGAAGGCTGGTGGTCTGGGAGGTATTTGCTAAGGCTTTTCGTTGCCTCCTTCTTGCTGGTGCTTGAGAGAAGCTCTCAGGAGCGATTCAGAACTCTCCACAAGGGCGCACCTGCAGCTTGCCTGCTTCCTACAGAGCAAAACCTCACAAGAGCCCTCCAGAGAACCTGGAAGTCATGGGCCAAGGCCTCGGCACAAATAATAATAACGCGTGTCAGCATTTTGGCACTTCGAGTGTGCCAGACACTGGTCTGTGCCCCTCACGTGCAGTTACTAGTTTAGCCCTCACAACAATCCTATACAGTAGGTTCTATGAATTATCCCCATTTTACAGATAAGGAAACTAAGGCATGGGGAGGTCAAATGACTCACCCACGGTTATGCAGTTGGGAAGTGGCAGCGCTGGGATTTGAACCCATGCAGCCTGACTTCAGAGTCCACACGGGGGACAGCCTCTCCAGGGAAAGAGGAGAAGGTCGGTGGCCTGCTTCTGGCACACGCCTAGAGATGAGACTCACTAGGTTGAGAAAAGATGCACTGAAGGCAGGACTAATAAAGTATTAAGTCCTGATGGGGACCACCACCTCTACAACACCACATCTACCACCCCAGGCAGCTGCTCACTGCCCCCGTGTGAATGCTGTTTTATGTGCTTGCTTGTATTTACTATGCAACTCTGGCATGGCTGATTCATGCAGCTGCCTCATCTAGGACTCAACAGTGAGCTCCTTGGGGTCCCTGTTCTAGTCTATTTGTATCCCTCTGAGAGGCACTAGGAAGGCTCATGGTAGCAATCAGTAAATGTGTGCTGAGTGAATTAATGAATAAATGTGTGAATGAATGAATGAATCCAGCCGGTCCAGATGTTTTAGAGGTCTCCTTTACATACTTTAGGACAGAACACTGCAGCACCCAGGTCAAGGTTTCCTATCGGCCTCCCATGCAGTCTCACAGCAGGACTGAAATAGATAACAATATATGCTCTCTCTTTTTTTCGTTTTATTGCATTTAATCCCATGTTTCAGTTTAATTAAAAAAACACAATAGCTTAAAGTGTTGGATCTTGATACACTGTGCTTTTCATGAATATTTATCACTGTGGGCTATATAAAATTGAATAATTATTAGCAATTAAAAGAAGGTCAACAGAAGGCTCTCTGAAACCCTCCACCAAGGCAGAAGGAAAGAAATGGAATGTTGCAATCAAGAGCCCTCGGCAAGGACTCTGCAGGAAAGAGAAGAAGGTCTTGACTGACAAGGCAAAATCCAGTACTTAGAAGGCCATCCAAGTCCCTGAAGAAAGTTCCAGAACAGTTTGAGGCAGGGATATTCTACCCAAGAGTCATTTATTTCGATGAAGAAAAAGTAGATTTGGTGTAAAGGGGATCCAGTTGACAACACAGTATTCCAGGAGAGGATTAAGACAGGAAAAGTGAGCCCTGGACTGGTTACTCTACCTCTGTGAGTATGTTTCCTTCAATACTAACCTCCCAGTGTTATGAGACAAGTAACTCTATGTAAAGAAAGCATCTGGTAATATTCCTGATTCATAGTAACTGGTGGGTCCCTTCATTTCTCTTTCAAGGTAGACAACGTTCTCAGCAGCCCTAAGTGGTCTACCTGGGCCACTACAACAGCTTTTACTTCCCTCCCCACAAGAAAGAGACCCCAGTTCTCATCTTATTTAATTTCTACTTTATAAGAAATTCTGAAGGTAGATTCCAAAATCTTGCACACACATTAACCACTCAGCAGGTACCCAAACAGATCCCAGGACTCTGCCAACCACTTCTCTCCATGGCATAGTTCCTCTTTATGGTGCAAGAAACTCTACCTCCTTGCAACTTCTCATCCGCATTCTAACTTTTGTCCTCTGAGGCCACAGAGAACAATTCTTATCCTTCTTCTGTATAAAAGCCCTTCAAATGTTTAGAACTTTCATTCCCAAAGTCTTCTCTCCTCCAGAGTAAATGAACCTATATTTGTAATGGTTTATTTTACAATAGGGTGCCAGTATCCTTCCCTGTCCTGCTTTCCCTCAGTGAATGATTCTCTTGTTTGGCTTGGGCTCCAAGAGCTGAACATAACACTGGGAGGGGAGGAAACAGAGCAGGGCTTTGTGATGGGCATGTTCCTATTATTTCTTTAAACCTCCATAGTATCAACTTTGAGGGATACCACAGATGTTGCTGACTCATTTTGAAAATATCATTCAATTATTGCAACAATATATTTTGAGCATATCATACTCTACTGGCTAGGAAATACTGGGACAGATGTGGTCCCTGCCCTCAGGAGGCTAACAGTAGGGGCAGCAAGTCCTGAGCACATGCCCTATTAGGTTAGGCCAAGAAGAATCATCAAAGAGGCAGGTAAAACATTTACAAACATGTGGACACATCCAGTCTAACTCACTTTCCAGCACTGGCCAGTGTCTTTTATCCTAAATGAAAGAAACTCTGAACCTAGGGATTTGGTTACCAGACTCAGATGGTTTTTAATCTTTACTTCTGTTTCATCAATAATAGTCATATTCACTAATATTGACAGAACACTTACTATGTGCCAGGGATGTGTACGTGCTTACACATAGGAACGCACTTAACAGCTGCTTTCTCAGCTCTGAACTCTCTATAAGTCACTTGTGTGAACTGGGTCTAGTTCACCCAACCAGTCTATCCCAAATAACGAGAACCTCCTTGATCAAATAGGGCTTTTTATTACTAAAGCCTAAAGATGTCTTCCATGTGTATTCTTAAAGTACACTCCCTTTATTGTTGCTTCAATGGGTCTATGCCCAGGTAAGAAATTTAACTTCGGCAACCTCACAATTGTTTAATTGTTTGAAGGCCAGACCATGCACACATGTGTCTAACATTGACATGGATTATGTCATTACTAGAATGCAAGCTCCTGGGAAGTGGGTGTGCCTCCTGCTTTAAACAAATGTCTGGTCATCATCCTTCATACTTTAAAACACTGCAAAAGGGAGGAAACAAATATTTTAAATGTAATAATGAGATTGGTCCTCTTTGCTAAGCATATGCAGTCAGTCTCTCTCTCTCTCTCTTCACCCCCTATGTTTCCAGGAATGAAGATGGATGATCTTGATTTATCCACACTTTCTCCAGAAAGTCACACTGAGAAACAACTGGCTACTGGGGTGGGATATAGGTGGGATATAGGGATATCTTACAGAACAACAGGATAATGGCAGATAATGGCCTCATTCCTGCCACATTTCGTCCTCTGAGCCAACTGCTCTGATAGCAAGCCCTGGGGACCAAAGGGTGTTTAATGTTTCAATAATGAAGATGATGGTTCAGGAGGCCTCAGGCAACTTCTCAGCCCAAACCTCAGCCTCTTCTTCAGCAACGTTTTCTGCCACACAACAAATGCACCAGGTTCCTGGGCAGGCTGCGACAGGCTGGCTAATGTTAGAGGAACATCCCGAATACATTAAAACACTGCAAAACACATTTGCATTCAACCTCTCTTTATTCTGTTTCTTCTTCAGTCCTTTTTTAAGGTTGTGTTATATTGTTTTCACTTTAAATGGAACCATCCTAATTCAGACAAGGCTAGAAAACCAAATAATAGCCTCAGGATAGACTTTGCAAAAGAGAAAGCAAACCGACAGGGGAGCTGGCCCAGCTGCCAAAAGCTCAGGCAACAGGGGAGCAGCCTCTCTCCCAAACATGCCCAGATTGGGGTTGAAATGGAGTCCACAGCCACAGGAGATAAATGTGACTGTCACCACAAAAGGTTGGACTTCTCAGGGGTAGTTACAGCCTTCACTACAGCCTGAACCTTGCTCAACCCGCTTATTCTGTGTGTCCCAGTGACCACTGGATAACCATGATTTGCAGAGTGCTGACAATGACACCAAAGACATGACCATTAATCTCATGCCCCAGCCATTGTGATCTGAGTGACCAGGGTGAACTGGCATTATGTAATGGGTATCTCAAAAGCTGAATTAAAATAAGAGATGTCTCAGAACACAAGAACCTCATATGATCTGGATGGAAGTGGAGAGAAGGCACACACTACCATTCGACCACTGGAGACAGAATGAAATCAAGTTAAAATTCAAGATCAAGGCCAAGACCTAGAAATCACATGACTGAGAAAGAAACAGAAAAAAAAAGAGATGGAAGAGACAGAAAAAAGACACAATGCCCTAGGCTTACAGGAGGATTTGGGAGTAACTGTTCTCTTCCTTACAAATCTTCCCCTTTGTTTACTCTTCCTCTGAGTGCAGTAGAAAGAATAAGCTCTGATTCTCAGAAGATCTGGGTTCTCCTCCAGCCTCCAGTCCTCACTAGCCCTATGTCCTATCACAAGTTAACTTGGCTCTCAGAGCACCTGGAACATAGGAGGCACCCCAAAAATTCTTTTATTCTCCTATTTTACATACTCCTTTACCTCATTTTCTCTCTTGCTTCTCTTGTTCTTACCCATGTTATCATCATTATTCCTTCTACATATTAGCTTTTCCTTTTTTCCATACAATTAGATGATGTCAACAAAAGTTAGACTTGAAAAAGAGGCTTTTATCCATAACCTAGTAAAAAGCATCCATAACCACCTATAGCAAACATGATGATTCATAGGGAAATATTGAATGTTTTTCCCCTGAACTCAGGAACAAGAGAATTATGTCTACCACCACTTCTATTCAACACTGTGGGTAGGTCATAACCTGTTCAATAAGGCAAGAAAATGAAATAAAAGGTATAAATAAAAGATATGAAGACACAAAACACCTTTGTTCACAGATGACATAATGAAAATCCAATTTAAAGATTATACTAGGAACAAAAATTAGAAAATGAAAAATTTTAAATTCCCACTTAAGGTATCACAAAGCATCAGATCCCTGGGAATAAATCTACTGAAAGATGTGCAAGACCTTTCAACTGAAAAGTATGAAACACTGCTGAGAGAAATTAAGGAAAATTTAAAAAGGTTCCTCTTCCCCAAGCTTACTGACTGATATAATCCTACCCTAAAATCCTAGCAGGATTTTTTTGTGGAAATTGGCAAGTGATTCTAAAATGTTTATGAAAACACAAACAGTCCAAAACAGCCAAGACAATTATGAAGGAAAAAAAGATAAGATTGGCAAACTTAGATTACCAAATAATAAGATTGATTATAAAGCTACAGTATTGACACAGTGTGATGTTGGTATTAGGATAGGAAAATAGAGCAATGGAACCAAATAGAAAGTTCACAAATGGACACACAAGTAAGACGCCTGATTTGCAACAAAGACATCTTTCCAGTAAATGGTGCTGGGCCATCTGGAGTTCTATATGAGAAAAGAAAATGAAATTGGCCCCCTTCGTCACATCAGACACTCAACACATAAAACAAATTCTGGAAGAATCACGAGCCTAAATGTGAACATTAAAACAATAAAACTTCTAGAATAAAACATAGGAGACTATCTCCCTGACCTTGGAATAGACAAAGATTTTATAACCTTAAAAGAAAAAAACACTCAATTGTATTTCATTAAAATTAAGAACAGACTGTAAGAAGATATCTACAATAAATATATCTGACAAAGAAGTCAAGTCCAGAAAATAAGGAACTTACAAATCTAACTTAAAAATAGACAATGCAATATAAAATGGACAAAATACTTGAACAGGCATTTTACTAAAGAATATATCCAAATGGCCATTAGGCATATGAAAAATGCTCAACATCTCAGTAATTGAATTAAAAACCACAATGGGATTTATCACCATACCCAACAGAATGACTAAAATGAAAAACGTTAAAAAAAATTAGGCATTGGCAAGGAAGTGAAATGATTAGAAATCTCATCCATTGCTGGAGGGAGTAGAATCGGTACAACCACTCTGGAAAATTACTTGGTGGTATCTACTAAAATCTACTTTATGACCCAGCTAGTCTACCCTTGGGTATATATGCCAAAGAAATGAGTACAGATGTCCAAAAAATGTACAGGAATGTTCATATAGCCAAAAATTGGAAACAAGTCAGATGTCCATGAATTACAGAATAGATAGATAATTTGGATATATTCCTATACTATGGAGAAATAAAAAGAACAAACTAAAGTTATATATATCCACAGGGTTAAATCTCACAGACATAATGTTAATTGAAAAAAACCCTTAACAAAAAAGAGAATACAAGGATTATACATATTAGCTATCTATTGCTGTGTAACAAATTATTCCAAAACTGAACAGTTTAAAACAACAGATATTTATTGTCTCACAATTTTTGTGGGTCAGGAATGCAGGTACATCTTACCTGGGTCTTCCAGCTCACAATTTTTCACAAGGCATTACGAAAGATGTCAGCCAGGCTACCGTAATCTCAAGGCTCAACTGAGGGAAGATTTGCTTCCCTCACTCACTATGGATATAGGGCCAAGGGCCTTAATTCTTCATTGGTTGTTGCCAATAAGGCAGCTAAAAACACAAAGGCTTTTCATCAGAGCAAATGAGGAGAGCCAGAGACCACAAAATCAAAATGAAAGCCAAAGTCTTTTGTAACCTAATCTCAGAAGTGATACCCCATCATTTTTGCCAAATACTATTCACTACAAGCAAGTTACTGAGTCCAGTCCACACCCCAGGGGAGGAGTCTGTACAAGGATAGGAATATTAGAAGGCAAAGGCTGTTAGAACCACATTAGAGCTGCATATAGTGGCCATCTACCATGCTATCTTATTCCATTTATATGATTTTCAAGAACAGACAAAACTTAATAGAAGAAAGAACATTGATTATTCCCAGGGGGAGAGACTTCTGGTCTACAGCAAACATAAAGGAGCTTTCTGCGGTGCTATAAATTGTTCTATGTCTTGATCTTGTTTGGGTGGTGAGTAACATCAGCGTAATCAGGTGTTGAAACTTCATTGAAATGGACACCGAAAATGTATGCTAGCTAGCTAATGTATTTCAAAGAATTATTAATTTACATTTTTGGGCACATGATGTATAAAGATGTAATTATGGCATCACCAACCAAAAGGGGTGAAGATAGAGCTGCTAAAGGAGGAGAGTTTTTTATGTTATTGAAGTTAGGCTGGTATAAATTTAAGTTAGTTGTTATAACTTTAAGATGTTAAATATAATCCCTATGGTAACCACAAAGAAAATAGCTATAGAATATATACAAAAGGAGACTGGGTGCAGTGGCTCATGCCTGTAGTCTCAACACTATAGGAGGCCAAGGCAGGAGGACTGCTTGAGCCCAGGAATTTGAGATCAGCCTGGGCAACATAGCAAGACCCTGTCTCTACCAAAAAAAAATTTAAAAATTAGCTGGGCATGGTGGCATGCACCTAGGAGGTTGAGGCAGGAGGATCACTTGTCCCCAGGAATTCAAGGCTGCAGTGAGCTATGATCACACCACTGCACTCCAGCCTGGGCAACAGAGTGAGACTCTGCCTCAAAAACAAATGAACAAACAACAACATCAAAAAATACACACACACACACACACACACACACACGGAAATAAGAAATAAACTTACATTTTTTTACTACAAAAAATATCAACTAAACACACACAAAAGAAAATAGTAATGCAGGAAATGGGGGGCAAAAAAGCTGTAAGGCATATATAGAAAACAAATATCAACATGTCAGAAGTAAGTACCTCCTTATCAGTAATTAACTATAAATGTAAATGGAATAAATTCTCCAATCAAAAGCAGAGATTGGAAGAATGGATTGTTAAAACATGATCCAATTATATGCTGTCTATAAGAGACTCAGTTTAGATCCAAACATGCAAACACACTGGAAGTCAAAAGATGAGAAAAAAATTCCATGCAAACATTAACCAAAAGCGAACAAAGGTGACTATACTAATATCTAACAAAATCGACTTTAAATCAAAAAAAGTTGCAAACAAGAGACAAAGAAGGACAATATACATTAATAAAAGGTTCAGAACAGCAGGAAAATGCAACAGTTATGAATACTTAATGACAGACCATGAAAATATATCAAGTAAAAGCATTACAAAATTGAAGGGAGAAATAGCTTCATAATAACAGTTGAAGATTTTAATACCTTACCCTCAAAAAATGGATAAAACAACTAGACCAAATATAAGGAAATGAAAGAATTAATACAATAATCCACTTAGATATAAACATATACAGAACATTCTATTCAGCAGCAATGAAAATTAAACAACACACTCTTAAACAAACAATGCAGCAAAGAAAACATCAAAACAGAAATTAGAAAATACTTAGAGATGAATGAAAACAAAAACACAAAATATCAAATCTTATGGGATGCAGCAAAAGCAGTCCTAAGGGGGAAATTTAGAGCTATAAACACTTACAATTAAAAAACAGGAAAGATCTCAAATCAATAACCTAACTTAAGAATCTAGAAAAAGAAGAAAACTAAACCCAAAGCTAGCAGACAGGAAAAATAAAGGTCAGAACAGCGATCAGAGAACAGAAAAACACTAGAGAAAATCAACGAAACCAAAAGTTGGTTATTTGAAAAGATCAATGAGATTGACAAATATTTACCTCACTAGACTAAGAAAAAAAGAGAGAAGACTCAAATCACTAAAATAAAAAATGAAACTGGAAACATTACTATTGATTCTACAGAAACAAAAAGGACTATAAATGAGTACTATGAACAATTGTATGCCAACAAATTGGAAAACTTAGATAAAATGGACAAATTCCTAGAAACACAAAACCTACCAACACTAAATGATGAAGAAGTAGATAATCAGAATAGACCTATAACAGTAAGGAAATTAAGTAGCCGAAAATCTTCCAAAAAATAAAAACCCTGGACCTGATGGTTTCACCAGTGAATTCTACCAAATATTTAAAGAACTATCACCAATCCTTCTTAAACTTTTCCAAAAAACTGAAGAGGAGGGGAAGCTCTTTAACTCATTCTATGAAGCCAGCATTAATTACCCTGATACCAAAGCCAGTCAAAGACACTATAAGAAAAGAAAAGTATAGACCAGTATCCCTTATTGACACAGCTGGAAAAATCCTCAACAAAATACTAGTAAACCAAATGTGGCAGCATCTTAGCAGGATTATACGCCATGACAAGTGGTATTTATTCCTGGAAAACAAGGATGGTTCAACTTATGAAAATTGACCAGTATACCACATTAACAGAATGAAACGGAAAAAAACACACGATCACCTTAGTTGATGCAGAAAAAGCATTTGACAAAATCCACCAACCCTTTCATGATAAAAACACTCAACAAACTAGGAATAGAAGGAAACTACCCCAGCCAGGCATGGTGGCTCACACCTGTGATCCCAGCACTTTGAGAGCCTGAGGCAGAAAAAATGAGCCCAGGAGTTCAAGATCCTGGGCAATATAGTAAGACCTCATCTCTACAAAAGAAAAAAAAAAATATTTAAGTTAGCCAAGCATGGTGGCACAAACCTGTAGTCCCAGATACTTGGGAGACTGAGGTAATAGGATTGCTTGAACCTGGAAGGCAGAGGTTGCAATGAGCTGAGATTGTGCCACTGTACTCCAGCCTGGGCAACAGAACAAGACTCTGTCGCAAAAAAAAAAAAAAAAAAAAAAAAAAAGGAAAAGAATGAAACTACCTTAACATAATAGGAGCCATATAAAAAAAAACACACAGTTAACATCATACTCAATCATAAAAGACTGAAAACTTTTCCTCTAGGATCAGGAACAAGTCAAGGAAGCTGGCTTTTACTAATACTGTTCAACACAGTACTGAAAGTTCTAACCAGAGCAATTCGGCAAGAAAAAAAAAAGGCATACGAATTGGAAAGAAAGAAGTAAAATTATCTCTGTTTACAGACGATATGATGTAGTATGTAGAACACTTAAAGTTTAAAAAAAGATTGGAACTAATAAATTCAGCAAAGTAGCAGGATACAGACAATAATCAATTGCATATCGTTACATTAACAAGGAACAATTGGAAAAGAAAATTATGAAAACAATTTCATTTATAATAGCAGTAAAAATAATAAAATACTTAGGAATTATCAAAGGACAGAAAAGAGTTGTCAATGAAAATTATAAAATACTGCTGAAAGAAATTAAAGACATAAATGGACAAACCCCATGTTCATGAACGAGAGACTTAATATTGTCAAAATGTCAATACTATCCAAAGCAATCTACAGATCCAATGCAATCTCTATCAAAATCCCAATGATGTTTTTTGCAGAAATAGAAAGGCCCATCCTAAAATTCATATGGAATCTCAAGGGAGCCTGAATAGCTAAAACGGTCCTGAAAAAGCAAAACAAATCTAGAAGACTTATACTTCCTGAATAAAATCTTACTACAAAGCTACAGTAATCAAAACAGTGTGGCACTAGCAAAAAGACAGATACATAAACCAATAGAATAGAGCCCAGAAATAAACCTTCATATAAATGGTCAAATGATTTTTGAGAAAGGTGCAAAGACAATTCAATGGGGAAAGGACAGTCTTTTCAATAAACGGTGCTGAGAAAACTTGATAGAAAACAATTAAATACCTCACACCGTATATAAAAATTAACTCAAAATGAATAAAAGACCTAAATGTAAGACCTAAAACCATAATGCTCTTAGAAGAAAATTTATGGGAAAAGTTTCACTACATTGGATTTCTTAGATACAACACCAAAGGCATAGCCAACAAAAGAGAAAAATTGGAGTTTGTGAAAATTAAAAAAATTTATATATCAAAAGATGCCATCAGCAGAGTAAAAAGGCAACCTGCAGAACGGAAGAAAATATTTGCAAATCATACATCTGATAAGGGGTTGGTATGCAGAATATATAGAGAACTCCCAAAACTCAACAACAAAACAAGCAACTCAATTTCAAAAATGGGCAAAGGACTTGAATAGACATTTCTCCAAAGGAGATATACAAATGACTAATAAGCACATGAAAAGATGTTCAATATCACTAATCATTAGAGAAATAAAAATAAAAACTACAATGAGCTACTACTTCTTCCATTCAGATGACTACTATAAAAAAAAAAACAGAAAGTGTTGGTGAGGACGTGGAGAAATTGGAAGACTTCTGTTCTATTGGTACAGCTACTATTGAAAACAGTGTGATGGTTCCTCAAAAAACTAAACGTAGAACTACAATATAATATAGCAATTCCACTTATGGGCATTTCCCCAAAAGAAGTGAAAGCAGGATCTCAAAGAGATACTGGTATACCATATACCCATGTTCATAGCAACATTATTCCCAATAGCTGAAATATGAAAGCAACCCAAGTGTTCATCAACAGACGAATGGATAAACAAAACATGGTAAATACATACAATGGAATATTATTCAGCTTTAAAAAGGGAGGACATTCTGACGCATATTACAACATGGATGAACCTTGAGGGCATCATGCTAAGTGAAATATTCCAAAGGCAAATGCTATATGATTCCATTTATTAAGGTAGCTAGAGTAATCAACATCATAGAGACACAAAGTAGAATGATGGTTGTCAGGGCTGGAAGTAGGGTAGAATGGGGAGTAATTATTTGATGGGTATGGAGTTTGTTTTGCAAGATGAAAAGCGTTCTAGAGATGAATGGCGGTGACGCTGGTACAACATTATGAATGTACTTAATGCTACTGAACTATACACTTTAAAATGGTTAAGATGGTAAACTTTTATGTTATGTGTATTTTGCCACAATAAAAATAATAAATGTTTTAAATCTGTGCACTCTAGTACATGTATATTATACATCAATAAACATGCTGAAGGGAAAAAGCATATAGTAGCTACTACCCTTTCCCCTTCTATACTGAAGATTTGGAGGCCCAGAAAGATGAACTGACTTCCTAAAGTCACAGAGCCACTTTTGAGTGGCAGTGCTTGTTCTTAACACTTCTCTCTGCTGAAGTGTATGTGCATATCAACACAGACACATGTCCAGCTGAACTAACTTCCCCGCTGGAAGATAACTCTTTGCTCTCAGAGGGAGGGGACTGCACCTGTTTAATTTGCTTTAACAGTCCTAATGTCAGAATCGCACTTGGGGAAAATATCTCTAATATCTGATAAGGCTCTCGGGAATTAGTTCCAACTAAGAGTTATTCTTCCTAGACTCCCTTCACCTATGGTGCCTGTAAATGGTGAACAATTAAAATGCCAATTATTCTGACCCTTCTAATTCAAACTTGAAAAAGTCTAGATATGATCTGTGCTATAGTTCAAGTTTTATTCTGAGTTCAAAAAGTATTTGCATAATTTTGGGGGAAAATATGCAAATGGTACATTTGACCCACTTAATCACAGTTAATTTTGATGAGACAGACATCATGGTAAGACAATACAAGTGTATCTCACTGAATCTGAATATCAACATTATGAAGTAGGTACAAATATATATTCATGCCTATTTTGTATATGAAGACATTTAAATGTAGGGAATACAGGTAACTTGCCCAAGACCATATAGCTAGTAAGAGGCTAAACCAGGATCAAACTCTTGTCTCTCTCACTCCAAACCCTGTGGTCTTAATTAATTCACTATTCACTCCCCATGTAACACTTAACAAAGAAAAAGAGGAAAAAAAGGCACTTAGTAGTTCTACATGTGCCCGTCATAAATGGTTCTGATAGAATCCATAAAGCAGGTCCAGAAGGGCCCCCTTAGAAGTCAGATCAAGTTACTGTAGGCCCTGGAAAGAACAAGGTTGGATAGTAAAGGCACTTAATATGGTTTACTATTGCGCGTGCACACACATGCGCGCACACACACACACACAGCTGTTGCAATAAAGTCTAATTGCAGACCTCCAACCAGCAAGGTGCTCATCTGAGTTGGGCAGCCCAGACACTGGAGACCAAATTGAGACCAACCTGCCCACTTTAAATCCTAGGAGTGCCACGAAGGCGCCTTGAACTCAAGTGGCAAACACTCCTGAAACTCAGATGAATCAAGGAAAGCTCAGCAAGGTGACACAAATGGAAAGTATGAGGCCTCCTTACATCCATCTATTGCCACATGGGGCACCAGCACAGCAGCTCCCAGAGGAGGTCCATGGCAAAGCACCCCCAGCTCTTAGAACCCTGTGAAGCACTAAGCTGACACCATCCTACAGACTTGGACCAGTTGTATTAAGAGAAAAGGTGGCCAGATCACATGAATACAACTTGAAATCACAATCATAATGAACCTATGCAAACAACGACAAACAAGCTGTAGAACAACACAGGATTGGCCATTTACTCTGGGGTTTTGTTCCCTTTTAATGCTCACTTGTTACTTGTTCATTCATTTATCAGCCAGCGTTTGTTAAGAAAAGTCTACTAGACAATATTTTTTAACTGTGAAAAATGTAGTCATTTTTTTTCTTTAAAAAGGGACATTGCTCATTTATTTCTGTAGCAGACCATAGAAGCAGTCCTAGATCAGGCTAGAGCCTGATCCTTGGGTAAACCAAGATATAAAACAGGGGAACAGTTTTCTCTCTCTTGAGGAGTTTATAGTCTAGAGAAAGAGAAGATCAGAGATCAGTAGGAAGAAACAGGATCAAGAGAGGAGGGCAGGCAGGAAGATCTCAGGAGAAGGGAGAAGACAAATGGAGAAGCAAAAAGATGGGGCATAGGCAGAGAAAAGCAGCTGAGGAGAAGGGTATTGGTTGTGGGGCCCAGCACGTGAGCTCGGGAAAGTCAGTACATATGTGAGCACAGTGCCTTGCACGTCTAAGTCCATACCAACTAGGTTCAGAGCCTTGTCCCAAATTTAATAACATACAAACATAAGTAGTTCCTATGCACACTCCAGTATCTCCTCACTGAAAGCATCATGTCTGTTCTCTTCATGACACCTACCACAATTTTAACTATGTATATGTTATTAACTTGATAATTGTCTCCAACATATTCTCTCTCTTCTCTCTCCTCTCTCTCTCTCTCTCCCAACACTAAGCTGCATGAGAACACAGTTTACATCTTATGCCCCTAATAATTTTCAGCTCTGCCATTTTCTAGCCGTGTTACCTTAGGCAGGTTATTTAACCTCTCTGATCCAATAGTCCAAAGAGACTTTGTGAGGATGAAATAAGAAATGCATATAAAATACAGGATAGACCAGCCTGAGAAACACAGTGAGACCCCATCTCTATAAAAAATAAAAAAAAATAGTTGGGTATGGAGGCATGCACCTATAGTCCCAGCTACTTGGGAAACTGAGGCAGGAGGATCACTTGACCCCAGGAGTTTGAGGTTACAGTGAGCTATGATCACATCACTGCACTCCAGTCTGGGCAACAGAGCAAGACCCTGTCTCTAAAATAAAACAAAATACAGCATAGCTCTCATTAAAATTATTCCATTTCCCTGAAGAAATACTGCACAGGAACAAAAGGTCCCAGGTCTACATTCCACAAAAGCTCTTCCTCCTTATGCTAGATAAGGTTTATTCCTGTGGCTCATGGTTAGATTCTCCATTCAAGGATCCGGACAGAAAAATCCTATTTCTGTGACTGCGTCCTATTTTATTGGCATTTCATCCCTCCAGGCAGTTTCAATCCTCTCCCCTTTCCTCTTCTCCTCCTCCTGCCTGATGCTATGATGCCACAATCCAGTCTCTGTGACTCGGAGGAAATGTTTCCATGGTGATGAGCAGTGATGTCATAAAGGGGGGATTGTTACAGGGTTGAATAAAATCTGGCACTAGATGCACCCTGCCTCCTTATATAAGAGGGGGCGGGAGACAAGCCCTATCAGCACATCCCAGAAAATGGGAAACCGAATCACCCAGGGGATGGCAAGGAATGACCAGAGGGAAAGTTCCAGTTCTGTCCAACATGCACTACCAGCCCCATTTTGGAAAAGAACAGATTTAATAGACCTCACCAAGACAAGAATTGTTTTTCGTCAAAGGAAATCAAAGGAACAAACAAGAGGCAGTGACCACCAGAGACTTCACCTTTTGGTGTAGGAAAACCCAAGCAGACAGTGTCTACATCCATCAAAGCCCAATGTATTAAATATTTATTGAATAAGAACCCACGGACTCTTCCTTACCAGAGCCTTAGATTGCCATGTGCGTCTGATTGCTCCAAAGACAAGACTATTGTGATTTTGGCCCCATATGCATTTTAGAGTAACAAGTCTTACCAGAAAAATAATAGCCAGCCCCAGCTTAATTCCTAGAGAAACTCAAACCACCTTGTTAAGAACAATCCCAGAGGAGAGTTTATACTAAGGAGCACTACACAATGCTGTTTGCCATCTCTGGGCCCTCTAAAAGCAAGCCCAACCTTGGAAAAGGAATGTCTGCCACCAGGGAAACGTGGCTGCACTGCTGGAGGAAGAACTTGATCATGACGGGCAATGCTTGGAAGTAAAGAAGCATCTGCTGCCTTGGAAAGGCTTGGTCAGGGCAATCATTGTCACAGGCCATGTTTTTTCTCTGACTATCTCTTGGAATTTCAGAGTGACTAAGTGATTACTACAATTGTGAGTGCCGTGGAATAGACCCTGTTCCATAAAAGGTCTCCCTTGGTCCTACAGGAGGCTCTGGGAGCCCGTGCTTTAGCGAATGTATAGTCCCTCATTCTTTCTCTGGGCAGCTGGTTTTCCTGAAGGTTCTGCTCCCAGCAAGCACAGTCCACAGCAGTAGCTAAATGTGTGCAGTGCATGTGTACTTTTATGGTCTTCATCATTATTTATGAACTAACTTCAAAGGGAAGTCATTTCCATCCGGGAATCCTGGCATATGCTTTTTCATACTGATACATGCATAGAGATAACTGTGCTTTCTTATTATTCCAGAGAGCAAGAGGCGGTGTCTTCCAGAAGTCGGTGTGGGCAGCACCAAACCATCCACCATGCATCAGAGAAAAGCCAGACAGCTGGAAGGCTCTATTCCCAGGCCACTCTCCAGTCCTCAAACATGTCACCATCTCTCATGCCTCCTTACTGGGCCCATGCTGTCTCCTTGACCAGGAATGTCCTCCACCCCGATCCCATCCCCATAGCCCCCTTCACTGTAAGATCTGGGCCCAGCAAATTGCCCAGCTCCTCTTCTCTGAATGCTTCTTTAATGTCTCTGAGAAGGAGTTCCTTCCTCCTTTACTGTCCATCTCTTCCACCACATGAGGGGTTTGGGGGAGGTCTTTGAAGACAAGGGACCCTTCCTCATTCATATTTGAATACTGAGCCCAAGCACACGCCCCTAGCATCTGCAATACACACATGTCAAGGTGAATGGGGAGATAGATGCCAAGATCCTTGAGCGCTGCAAATCTTCACTGCCAACTTCAACTACTCCAAAATAAAGTCAAAATTTTAAAAGTAAGCTTTGATGACTCAAGTGACTAATTTTATGGACAAGGGCCCCTTAATGAAATCTAAGAGGAGGAATGTGGTGACATAAGCAGGACATGGCTGTGAGACACTGAGCAAACAGTTTATCCTCCCTGAGCTTCGATTTTCTCATCTGTAAAAACGAAGAATGGTGGCAATTTGAGCTCAAAGTCCATCTCTAACATTCTAACTCAGTGAAGCAGCCTGTGGCATTTTCACATCCTTAAACGGAAATGTGTTACACGTCAAGGATGATTCCTCAAGGCATTTTGCTGCCCTCCTGGGTTGATATTTTTCCTTTCATTTTCACCTTAAGCCCCGCTCCTGTTTATTGCTCACAATGCACTCCAGACTGGGGATGGCTGACAATTCCCCCATGAAGGACACACTGTAAAGACAGATGGAACTGCTGCCTAGTCAAGCTGCACTTAATGCAACGTCACCCCAAGACAGCCTGCACCTTCTTCCCCAATGCATCTGAGCCTACCCTTAGCCAGCCCTCACCCTCGCCTCCCCCAGCAACCAGCAAAGCTCTTCCCAAGTCATGCCTGAGCCCAGATAATTTCATTATTTTACAGAGGCATCTCTGTGTGCCCATATATCCTGTCATTCTCCTTGTCCATGACAAATGCTTGGCATAAAAGTTACCTTTGGAAATGTGTTAAGGCAGGCAGCATGCACATTCAGAGAGGCCGGGGTGGGGAAGGCGAGAAGGATGGGGGATGATAGAGATCTTCTTCTTTACTGTGCACCAGAAAAATAAAAGAAGAAAGAGGAGTGGGGGGCTGCCAGTGTGAAGGAAAAAGCTCCTGGTTCATTCAGCAGCAGCATGCATGTGTTCAAAGTCTGTCCTAGTTGCTCAGCAACCTAGAAAAAGCATTTCAGAGAGCAAGAGGCTAATTGGATAAATGAATTAATTAAACATTTCTGAAGTCATTGCCGTAAATGACAACAGGCTTGTGTGGCCAGTATTTTGCTAGTGAAAATGTCTCCCATCCCTACCTAAGCTTTGATCCAGAAAATGTGGGGAGCTGGGGAGCGAGGGAGCCACCACATAACAACATATCAGAGATGCCATGCGGAGAGAGGAAAGCAATGGAGGAAGCCCTGCCTTGGAGGAGAAGTTGAACTAAATGGCCTTCGAAGTCTCTTTCAACTTTTAATATTTGATCAGTTTTGCACTGCAGGGTAGGGAGTACAAGAAAAGGAGTAAATCCCCCCTCTGCCAGCCTGAAGGCAACTTAATAACCTGCTTTCCCACACCATCCTATGGGGTTTCCCTCTGCTGTACTTAAAGCAAGCAAGTGCCCATGAAAGGCGATAGACAGCAGTTGTTACGGAGTTTGTGTGGTGTTGGTGGTTGCTTTTTTCCCTTGCTCTGCCTTGCTTCTCCCTGTTGGCTTCCTTTAATTACAACAGAACCCCACTGGCTGCTGTAATGATGGAGAGGACTCCACTGTGCCAGGAGGGAGCGGGCAAGAGGTGGGAAGGGAACAGGCAGAGTGAAAGGAAGGCAGCCGGCAGCTCCCAGAGCTGGAAGGAGAGACGGCAGTGTGGGCTTCTGCTGCTCCTTCCACTAACAAGTTGCTGACTGACTCCAGGCAAAAACTCAGCCTCTCTGAGCCTTTCTTTTTCCTCCCATGAAGTAGGGAGAATGGATTTTGTGGTGTTTTGAGGACAATTGATGCCACTGCTAATTACATGTTTCCCTTGTTTAAAATTACTAAGAGTTCCCAGTGCCTATAAAAATAACATGCAAGTTTGCCAGTGGGCTATGCAATGCCTGTGTGATCTGGACCCATCTCTTCCTGACTCTCCTAGTTCCGAAAAACACCCTATTACTTCTCACCTCCAAGCCTTTACTCATCTTGCTCTTTGCCTGGAAACACCAGAGCTTAAGTACAAATATTCAATGAAGGCTTCTAGAAAAGAACATGCCAGTCTAATTGCAAAAAGGCCCAGGAGCTGAAAACCCATCTTAGCCCTCATGGGGTCAGCAGTTCAACCTTGCATTGCTGAGGCCTTGCTTCCCTGGCTGGTATGAATTGGAGAAGTGGGCTCTGTAACTCATCAAGTAAGGAGCTCTCAAGTCAGATGGTCCACGTGGGACTTGCAGCTCTGTCACTCACCAGCTTTGTGACATGGGTCAGGTATTGAGCCCCACCATGCTTTTATTTACTCATCTTTACAATGTGGCTCATAATAGTAGAAACTTCATCGAGTCACCATGAAGATTAAACAAGATGCTGAATGCAAAAGTTACAGCTCAATGTTTGGCACACAGTAAGAGTATCCTAATTGTGGTCTATTATTTTTGCAAAATTATGTCATTTTAAAATGAAATAAAAGCTGATGTCTTTACCTTCTCCCACCCTTTTGCTCTGATACTCTCAGCCTATCCGCACTCACAAACTCTGTAATATCCTGATTTCAACATCAATAATACAGTAGACTCAACTACCTTACATCTGTATTTTCCTCTATTTCATTACCCACTCTGAAGCTTATTAGCCATGTGAGCTTGATAATCTAACTTCTCTTCATCACAGTTTTCTGTTAAAGAGAGATAGTAATAACCTCCAACTCATAAAGTTATGAGGGAAAAATGAACTGACACAAATAAAGCACCCAAAACTGGCACCCGGCACACAGCAAACCTTCAGTAAGTGCTGGATCCCATCCCCAGATGCTTCACTTTTGATTCCAATATTGATTTGGATTTCCATCCTTCCACCTACACATACTTCTCTTAGATTTTAAGTTCCCAGAAGGCCGAGATCAAGTCTGAACTGTTTCTTGTTCATCATCGATCACAGTACTGAAGTGCAATTAGGAATTTGTTCAAGATATTTTAAAAACTATTTATTGCAGGATGATATGTATCTATCTATCTATCTGTCTATCTATCTATCTATCTATCTATCTATATTCCCAAATCATACTACCTTAAATAACAATGATATTAATAAATATATAGGTAATAACAACTCAACTATGAAGTGTGTTTGATCTCAGCTATGTACAAGCAAGTCTCCTCTTAAAAAGGCTTAGCCAAAACTAAGTCACAATGTCAAGACTGCACTGGACAAGGGCAGCTTGCCTGTTGAGGTATGTCACTGATTGCTAGGATGCCCATGATGGTCAAGGAGCAGATAATTTGGCATTACCATCCCTGCTTCAGGAGAACAAGTTAGGGTGGTGGAGCAAGATACATATCTTTCTCTGGGTGATAGCAGGTATGATTATCTTTATAAATAAATAAATAACATAGCTGTCAAGGGGGAGATGAAAAATACTCCCCTATTTCTTATCCCTGAATATTACAAGACTCGTCCTCATTCCCAACTCCATGGGCCCCTGTTCTGGGAAGAAAGAAGAGAAAATGGTTAGAGACGGAACAGGAGAAGGCAGAAGAGGGGAATAAACTAGAAATCCCCATATTTGCTCAGATGCTGAAGAAGATAATTTAATTGTGTAAAGAACAGAGCAAGAGGAAGTCACTGTTTAAGTGGTTCTTCATTAATAGGCACTGAGTTGTAGCAGTAAAAATGATTCTAATGGCAAATTTTATGTCATATGTATTTTAAATAAATAAATAAAATTTAAAAAGGAAAAAAGGTACAGAGCAAAGCTCTCCCCAATTGCCCCTCCGCTTAAACCAAGAAAAATCCATCATTGTAAGTACTTGACCAACACAGAGAGAAGAGCCAGTCTTTGGCCAGAGCCCATGGCTCTCCTCTCATGGGAGCTTTTTGAGGCTCAGGCATGAGTCAGACAGGAAATAGGCATCTCTGGACCAGAAAGATGTCTGGACTGTCCTACCTCTCCCTGATGCCAGCCCTAAAAATTGGAAAAATTAGGCAAATAGCACAGGCTCTGATTTCAAGAGTCACCATCCCTAAAACGCCTTCCCAAACCATCCCCAACTCATTCACCATTAGGATATCAGATTTGAAATGTGAAGGGCTCAGAAAAAAAAAGTGAAGACACAAAGGACCAGTATTAGACCATTTTCCCTAGGTCAGAAGGAAAGTGGAGGGTGCTGGGTAGAGGGGAGGGTGAGGGCCACAGGAGCTCACTTCCCTGCATCCCTTGCTCTTATTTTATTTCAGGTAAAGGCTGACCCAGCCCCCATACCTGAGAAGGGACTCAGACTCTGGGGTGTTTCCTGTTTTCTTCTGTCCCTAGAAGTTCCTCCACTACCTAAATGTTAACCCATAGGTGGTCATGCTTTACATGCTGTAAGTTCACTAGAAACAATAGGTCCTACCCAGCTCACAGATCGGCAGGATGCACAGATGCAGGATAATAAACTCTCAGTTAAAAAACTGAAACCCACTTTTCAGGAAGCCACCTTGGTAACTTAAAATAAGAAGCAGAGCCACCTAAGACACAGCGATGTGCAGCTATAGATGCAGGAGCTTTGATTTGTCTCATTTTTAGAGTCACCTGCCGTTCTTTCAAGATGCACATCTCCACCCTCCTATCATCCTCAGCTCCTTTAAAGGAAATTTAAATCGGGCTGGAGCTGCTGCTGTGTGAGAAAAAAGAGAAAGGAAGGGCTATTGCTAAGTCCCAGCTCATCCTCTGGCCAGTGCAGGAGTGTCCCCCACTGTGCAGGCATCTCTGCAGGGGCCTTTCACATAGTCCTCCCTCCCCGATCCTGGGGAAGGGAACCAGCAATGTTGGAGGGTGCAGTTTCCTCTCCTCTTAAAAAATACACACCCTCACAGGAGAGTGAAAGAATGGCTGGCAAAAGGCAGACCAACTGTGAGGGAGATCAAGCTAATCTCCAGGACCTCTTATCTAACAATAACCATTTCCTACTCATTTTAGAGTATCTTCTACCACAGGGCAGGCGCCTTGGCAAGCCCTTTAAACTCACTAAATCCTCACAAAGACCAGGCAAAATGGGATTATATCCTGATTTTATAAAGGAGAGAAGTAGGTCTCAGAAAAGTAACTTGCCCAGGTCACAGCTACCTAGTCAGGGGTGGAGCTAAGATTCAAGATCAGGTCCTTCCGATCCAAGCACTACTCTTCCACCTAAAGGAATCCCAAACCTGATATCTCCCCACTAGTCATCTATTTATTTATTCTTCCCAAGGCTACATTCTGGGGGGAAATTCTCTGGACTAAAAACTTAATGGAATACGAATGGGCATCAGAGTGTTACAGAAAGAGCACTGGACTAAAAGTCAGAGAAGTGGACATTGATGTGGGAGTTTCTACTATCTGGATGAATTTGGGCACTATACAATCTCGCTTGCCCACATTTTCTATGTCAGGAAAAAGATGTAGTTAGGTCATTATGTGTTCTTTCCAGCTCTAAATATTGTCTCTGAATTATTTATATTTTAAGAGGACCTTAGAGGGAACAATGTTCAACATGAAAAATGGTCCTCTAATTGTGAAGATTCTGGAAAGGAAAAAATAAAATCAAGCAAAAAAGTCCTCCTTGCTCCCCTTCAAAATCACAACATGAGTATGAGCAACTTCTTCCACAATTTAATACCATGTTGTGATATTTCCTTAAAAATATCTGTACATTTATAGTTTATAATGCCCTTTCAAATACATGATTTCATTTTGATCCTTGCAACTATTAAACAGATGAGGAAACTTGAGTCTCAGATGTTGACCGACTTACACCATTTCATAAAGCTGGCAGATATTCATGTGAAGGCTAGTCCTCCAATTTCAGTTTAGTCACAACCAAAAAAAAAACAAAAACAAAAGCAAAAAACAAAAAACAAAAGACAAAAAAAAAGTGCTTATTTATAACCCTGCACTCCATCCAGAGTCCTATTGCAGCATGAGCCCACTCAGGTAACAATTGTAAGCTATCACCATCATCATCATCATCATCATGCACAATAATCTCATTTGAGCACATAATAGACACTAAGTAATCACTGTTAAGGCAATTAAGAAAGGGGACTTGAGGCCAGGTGCTGTGGCTCACACCTGTAATCCCACCACTTTGGGAGGCCAAGGTGGGTGGATCACCTGAAGTCAGGAGTTCGAGACCACCATGGCCAACATAATGAACTGTTGCCTACACTAAAAATACAAATACAAACTGAGCCAAGTGAGCCAAGATCATGCCATTGCATACTCCAGCCTGAGCAACAAGAGTGAACTCCATCTCAAAATAAAAAAGGAGACTTGTGCTGTTTCATCACACATGCCTAAACACCTACCAATTTCATCTACAGGTAGGACCAGCTCTGCTTAGAAGCATGCAGACATAATACTCATGTGCATACATGTGACCTCTCTGCTATTTTTCTCTCCTCATCTCAGCTCCTGAAAAAAACACATGGATGAGCCCTTTCTCCCCAGACATGATTCTTTCAGCATCCCTCAATCTGCCACTGCAAACCGGTTTGGAAGAAGCATATATTCAGTTAGCATGTGACAACAGTGTTTCATACAATATAATTAACACTGCCCTACCCCATTTCTTTAAAAATTAGTAAGTGCACAAGAAAGAAAACACAAAACAAAACCAGAAGGGAGAAAGGCAATTTTAAAATGAATTCAGCTGCAAAGCTTATGTTCCTGTAGGCATAGTAGATATTAATAATTCAACAAAATATTACAGTAATTACTATACTTTGCAAAATCACAACAGTGCACTTTAGCACAACTCCTACCAATCTCCCTGCAACTTCCATTAACAAATAAAGTACAATTCCCTATATTAAATTTGTTGTTTAAAAGCTAAATATTTTATCGGAACTAATATATTTTAAATAATCAGTCAAAACCAAGAAAATCCCTGGCCCTGTATTTCTCACCCCTTCAAGTGAAATTCTATCTTCACAGTCAGAGCTAAAATTGATTTCAACTCCAACAAGAATACACTAAATGTTAGAGTCTGAAGGCCCCTATTGAGGGAACTGAGGATTACTCAGCTCTCAGGCTCTGCTGGAATCTGATTAGCCTGCCAGAAGGAGAGTGAGAAGGAAAAAGAGTAGACAATTAATTCTTTTGGACTATAAATCTGGCCTACCGCATTCAGCTCCAGAAAAAGAAACCATGAATTGTAAAGAGAGGCAAGGGGCAGGCAACCACGAAAAAAACACTCCTAAGTCCATCCCTGAGCATGTATGTAGCAGGCTAATGATCTCGAAATACAGGTGAGCCTCACTTTATACCGTAATTATGTTCCCACACATTTGCTACATCCAATCTCTCAAGTTCTATTGATTTTACCTGCTGCAAAAACGCTGCAAAATAAACCACCTAAATCTCAATCACTTATTCTCACAACAATCAATCACTTTATTCTCAGAAATATTCAGGGCAGCTTGGGGTTGGCTGATCATAACTGGGCTCAGCTACGTGGTTCTAGCTGGACTGGGCTGGGCTGATCTAGCGTGGGCTTGGCTGGGAATGGCTATGTACTAGTTGTCTCTCATCCTCCTCCTGAGACCAATAGGCTATGTTTTTCTCATGGCCACCCCAAAGGCACAAAAAAACAGGTAGAAACACACATGCTTCTTGATAACTGAGCTTAGAACTGGCACACTATCACTTCCAACTCTCTATTGGCCAAAGCAAGTCACAAGGCCAAACCAAAAGTTAGAAGATGGGGAAGAAGGTCCCATTCAGAGAGAGGGCACTGCAAAGGTCCCATACAAAGGGAGTTATAAAGAGAAGTGAACAATTGGAGCTAATGACACAATCAACTACATCTGCCAAATATTTCTTCAGTGGACTCCTTCTTATCTACCCCCACTACCACCATCCAAGCCATCAACCTCTCCAGCTACATCCTCTTAGCATTCATCCTTTTTTCCCTCTAACCCACAGGGTGATCAGAGTGATTTTTTAATGTACATTTAATTTTATCATTTTATCACTCTCCTACTATAAACCTTTTCATGGCTCACCTCTTTACTTTTTTTCTTTTTCTTTTTGTTTTTTTTTAACAAGGTCTCACTCTGTCATCCAGGTTAGAGTGCAGTGGCATGATCACAGCTCACTGCAGCCTCAACCTCCTGGGCTCAAGTGATCCTCCCACCTCAGCCTCAGCCACCTGAGTAGCTGGGACCACAAGTGCATTCCACCATGCCCAGCTAATTTTGTTTGTGTGTGTATTTTTTGCAGAGACAGAGTTTCTCCATGTTGCCTCTCAAACTCCTGGGCTCAGGGGATCTCCCTTCCTCAGCCTCCCAAAGTGCTAGAATTGCACGCATAAGCCACCAGGCCAGGCCACCCCTTTGCTGTTGGGATAAAGAACTAAACCCTTGCTTAGTCCTGCCCATGCCTGCCTGTCTAGCTTCATCTCATCTCTCACCATCCCCCAGCCCCTCTGCTCCAGCCACACTGTCCTTCCTTTCCCCTTCAAATACCTTGCTCCTCCCTGCCACAGAAGCCATATGCCCAGAACACTATGCCCTCACCTCTGCACCTAATCCACCCTGCACATCTTTGCAATCTCCACTCATCTGCATCTCCCTCTCTGCCCTTCCTAAGTTAAATGTCCCTAGTGTTGTCATGTACCTCTCAATCAGAGCACTGCTCACTATTACAGACTCAGAATCCAGCAGCACCTGGCACATAGAGGGGACTCCACAAATATGTATTGAATATTGATGTGTTAGTCCATTCTCACATTGCTATAAAGAAACATCTAGGACTGTGTATTTTATATTTAATAAAAGAAGTTTAATTGGCTCATGGTTCTGCAGGCTGTACAGGAAACACATTCGCTTCTGCTTCTGGGGAGACCTCAGGAAACTTCCAATCATGGCAGAAGGCAAAGGGGGAGCAGATGTCTTACACGGAAGAAGCAGGAGCAAGGCGGAGTGGGGGCAGGAGGCACTGCACACTTTTAACCAACCAGATCTTATGAGAACTCACTCACTGTCACAAGGACAGTACCAAGAGGATGGTGCTAAACCATTCATGAGAAATCTGTCTCCATGATCCAATCACCTCCCACCAAGCCCCACCTCCAACAATGGGGATTACAATTTAACATGAGATTTGGGCAAGAACACAGTTCCAAACCATATTAATTGGCTATTGCTGTGGTTTTTAAAAATGATTTTAAATTTTTTTAAAGAAAAAGAAACCAAATACCACATGTTCTCACTTACAAGTGGGAGCTAAATGATGAGAACTCATGAACACAAAGGAAGGAACAACAGACAATGCTGGCTATTTTTTCTGCAGGAGCAGAAAAAATAACTATTGAGTACTAGGCTTAAATACCTGCATGACAAAATAATCTGTACAACAAGCCCCCATGAAATGAGTTTACCTACATAACAAACCTTCACATGTACCCCCGAAGCTAAAATTAAATAAATAAAACTACTCCTTTTTTTTTTTTTTTGAGACGGAGCTCTGTTACCCAAGCTGGAGTGCAGTGATGTGATCTCTGCTCACTGCAACCTCCGCCTCCCCGGTTCAAGTGATTCTCCTGCCTCAGCCTCCCAAGTAGCTGGGACTACAGGTGTGTGCCACCACACCTGGCTAATTTTTGAATTTTTACTAGAGACAAGGTTTCACCATGTTGGCCAGGCTGGTCTCAAACTCCCGACCTCAGGTAATCTGTCTGCCTTGGTCTCCCAAACTGCTGGGATTACAGGCATGAGCCAATGCAACCTGCCTAAAACTACTTCTTTTGGTTGAGTTTTACATTGAAGGTATTTGGATAATGAGTGTAAATAGCAAATGGCTCTGCAGAGTGTTTAATCCCCCACCTTATACTACCGATTTTGTGTAAATCCAGTTTTAATGCATCAGGCTTCCTCAAGGGTTGCACATCACTAATTTGAACAAAGTCAGAGGTATCTTATGTTATGTACCTCCTTTTCCCACCTTCATCAGTCCATGAGTAGAAGGGGAGACACATATAATGCCAAATAGCACATGATACAAAAGCATCAAGTAACCTAAGTACTTCCCAAATCCAAGAAAAACTTTTTTGACCCTAGATTTCTATGTCCAGAGGAACCACCAAGCCAATGTGAGAGCAAAACAAAATTTTAGACATGCCAAGAATCTTTTTTAAAAGTGGATCTCCTGATCATCAGAGAAATGCACATCAAAACTACAATAACATATCATCTCACCCCAGTTAAAATGGCTTATATCCAAAAGACAGGCAATAACAAATGCTGGTGAGGACATGGAGAAAAGGGAACCCTTGTACACTGTTGGTGGGAATGTAAATTAGTGCAACTACTATGGAGAACAGTTTGGAGGTTTCTCAAAAAACTAAAAATAGAGGTATCATACAATCCAGCAATCCCGCTGCTGGTTATATACTCAAAAGAAAGGAAATCAATATATCAAAGAGATATCTGCACTCCCATGTTTGCTGCAGCACTATTCACAATAGCCAAGATTTGGAAGCAACCTGACTGTCCATCAACAGATGAATGGATAAAGAAAACGTGGTACATATACACAATGGAGTATTATTCAGCCATAAAAACGAATGAGATTCAGTCATTTGCAAAAACATGGATGGAAGTAGAGGTCATTATGTTAAGTGAAATAAGCCAGGCACCAAAAGACACACATGGCATATTCTCACTTATTTGTGGCGTCTAAAAATGAAAACAACTGAACCCATGCGCATAGAGTAGAAGAATGATTACCAGAGGCAGGAAGGGTAGTGGGGGAGAGGGGGAGGTGGGGATTATTAATGGGTACAAAAAATAAAATGAATGAATAAGGCCAAGTATTTGATAGCACAAAAGGGTGACTAGAGTCAATAATAATTTTAATTGTACATTTTAAAATAACTAAAAGAGTATAATCTGGATTATTTGTAACACAAATGATAACTGCTTGAATGGATAGATATCCCATCTTCCATGATGTGATTATTATGCAATGCATATCTGTACCAAAACATCTCACGTATCGCATAAATATATACGCCTACTATGTACCCACAAACAATTTTTTAAATTAAAAATTTTTAAAGCATTAATATCTCCCAAGCACTGGGTGACCATATGATTCATCATCTAAGCCTGGATCTTTTGAGAGTCAAAATACATCTATTCATATTCTATCAGGACAAGAGGTATAAACCAAGACATTCCCATGCATTCTCTGAAAAAGATTACTTGAGGATATGCCACAGAAAAATGAAAAGCAGCCCACAACAGAGGAATGGGATCCAAAAAACAGAGGCACTAATCCAAGAGTAAAATAAATAGAAATCTCAAGATGACAGAAGGGAAACAGGCCTAGAAAGAAAGAAATCAGTACAAATTAGAATATCTAATAATAATACAACTAAAAAGTTGGAATATCATAGTACTATGGTGAAATAGCATATTCTTTATCTTCCTATAAAGAAAATAAAACAAGTAGAAACACACGGTAAAACAGAGTTCTCTGTAAGCAATTTATACACCACACTGACATGGCAGAATTCTGAACAATTGTCAGAACAACAGGTAATCTATTTGACCTCAAAGCTCAGGACACTCCTTGTCAAGTGACCCAGGTTTGGTGATAGCATCTATTTCTTATTGTGCTAGTAGATTTTGTTGCAGATAATAAAAACAACCAGAATTTTTTAATAATTTCATTAATTTTCATTCACTGTGGTCTTGATTATGTTCAAGTTATTTCCTAAGCATGCTCCAATTAGCACATGTCTTATGCTATCTCACACTGTTCTCTGCAATATCTGTCCAACATATGTTTACCACACACAAAATTGTAAGTTTTCTTGGGTGTCCAGTCTGCATCACATAGATTTTTTTGCACATGCTGCCTCACTAGGCATATACTAGGTGCTCTGAAACACTTCACATGATCTGAAAAGAGTAAGGCAGAGCAATCAATACAGGTCACAACCTGGGGCAAATGTTTTGTTAAAACATCCAAATTACACTCCCATCTGAGAATTTTATTATTATCAGACGTGACTTGAAAAAAATTGTACAACACGCCTGGAATAAGAATCTTGGGGTTTTTACTACCATGGTATGCGTGTTAATGGAAGTGTTCATTTGTACTGAGAGAAGGCAGAAGAAGGCAAGAGCTGCATCTGGTCTCAAATCTGTTGTCAAAGGGTCTCTAGCTCCTTAAGGAATGAAGGAGAGGTGAGGTAAACTAACAACTTGAGTTCATATCACCCCCTATTCTTTTCAAAATGCTTCCATGTGCACCATCTCATTTTTTAACTGTGACATAAAGGGAGTAAACAGGATTGTGCCCATTTTACCCATCAAGAAATGACTGACCTAATATCACATCTACTTTGTGGTGAGATGGGCTGCACCAATTTTTGCAACTTTTTCATTTTATAGGTGACGAAACTGAATCCCAGAAAATTCAAATAACTTAACTGGCATCATACTAAGCAAACAAATTATTGAATGAATGAGCGAAAGAATGAATGAAAATATATCTGCTTGAAGTAAGACCAAATCTAGGCATGCTTGAAAGAAGCATTTTCCATTTTTTTAAATCATACTTGCAGGCTCTCTCCTTACTAATAATGCACCCATTTAAAACACACACACACACACACACACACACACACACACATTTAAAATATATTTAAAACTGGGGTTTAATCCCACAGGGAGCTCTGGGAAACCATGAAAGAAACATGTCTCAGAGTTAGCCAACCCCAGTAGTCAAGGGGGCTAGATATTTATCCATCAACTCCTACCAGTCATTGGTAGTGGCTGCTCTCTGCTCCCTCACAGGCATTAACTCCTTGACTCTTCCAGCCTGTACCTTGTGTGATCAAAGCAAGCTACAGTGATCAGGGAAAGCTGGTCCCTGGTGCTGGTGGTTGGAAATCAGGCCAGCATGCAGAGCAAAGGAACACCCCGGGAATACGGGTAGAGTACCAACAGATCTCCAAATGAGAATTAACATTCTTTTTTTTTTTGAGACGGAGTCTCACTCTGTCACCCAGGCTGGGGAATGCAGTGGCACCATCTTGGCTCACTGCAACCCCTGCCTCCTGCGTTCAAGAGATTCTCCAGCCTCAGCCTCCCGTGTAGCTGGGATTAAAGGCATGTGCCACCAGCTAATTTTTGTGTTTTTTTTTTTTTTTTTTTTTAGTAGAGCCCGGAGGTTTCACTATGTTGGCCAGGCTGGTCTCGAACTCCTGACCTCAAGTGATCTGCCCGCCTCAGCCTCCCAAAGTACTGGAATTACAAAAATTAACATTCTTATGTTAAAATAGCCTATTATGCTAGGCCCTTTATAGGCATCATCTCTAAGATTCACAACAATCCTGCAATTCCAGTATTATCATCATTTTACAGCCAGTGAAACTAAGGCTTAGAGACTTGTTCAAGATTGCTGTGGCTTAGGGACCTTCTCATGACAGAAAAGACGCTTTAGAGTTTTGAGAAATCTTTCAAACAAAAGTTTGCTTTCAAGCATGAATAACACTGAAAGCAACACAGTGAGATAAGCAACTCTTTCACCACTAAGGATACCCTCCTCTTCCACCACCACTCTGGAAAACAAGTTTATCTGTGTCACCAGCTTCATTGTCTCAGAACTCTTATTGTAGACAAGTTCCCCCACTATGTGTAATCACATTCAGATATGGCAGCTTGAGCTATTTTTCTAGTCTTGAAAATGTTCAACTCAGTCATTGTTCTTCATCTCCCACTGAGAACAGATTTTTAAAAGAAAAAGTTTATTTCTTATGCAGCAGTGTAATCTGTAACCTGATTCTAACCATCTGAATGAGAAACTGCCTACCTCACCATAGATGTCAAAAAGGCTTCTGGGAGGATGTCAGGCACGTGGGACCTGAGAGCCTGTGAGAGACAGCCGCAATGTCCCAGAGTGCAGATCCCAGGCCAGCAACAGCAGGCCAGACACTACTCCATCCCCAAGACACTTGTTCTTTACCCAGGCACTTTTAAGTATTTAAGCAAGTATTTATTCTGTTCAACTCAATAAGCACCTATTGACTTAACCACCAGATACAAGAGAGCAAGGAAGCAAAAAGGAAGGAAATACAGAAGCAATGGGAGAACCTAGCCTAAGCATCACTTCCAGCTGAATCTATTTGTAGAGTGTTAGTTTGGTCATTAATGGTCTGAGTATCTAACTGCTGAATGAACGTGTTTGTATCTATTCCCCTTTTTTCTGTAGGAAGAGGCTGAATGATCAGCCCCCCCCAGGATTGAAAACTGTCCTGCTGCCAAATGATTATTCATCTATGGATCATCATACAACCCCTACACAATTCACTTACAGTCTACTTTTCATCTTCCCTCCTTCGGAACAATTCCTGGTACAGCATTGTCTTGTTATTTCATCCTATTTATTTTCACTTCTTTCCCAGGGCAACACTCCCTCTAGTGTCTATGTAGGGCTCTCAGGTTCCACTCTTGGTACACAGGGTGAAGGCAAAAAGGGAACTCAAGCCTACAACTCTATGGGTATAGATCACCACAAAGTAGTGGATTGTACCAGTGTGATAATTCTGGGGAACAGGCTGCAGATATTCTACAGATAGCTCCAATCCATGTGATATGCCCATTTCACAACAGGCACAAATACAGAAGAGGAAAGGAAAAATGTAACATTGAGGTCTAGCCCATGACTTTGGCATACATGAGTCTTTGGCACAATGGGATCTGCTTGTCAACCAGCCCCAGCAACCCAGTGTTCTCCAATGTTCTAGTAGCTACACACTTTACTCACTTCCCTCAAGAAGTCTCCCTTGATTAGCTGTGAGTTGTATCATGGATGCCAATTCTGAGAGAAGCTACTCTTCATCTTTCTGGATCCCTTAACTCTCCATGCAATAAAAGCCCCGAAATAATGTTAAATTTATTCATAGCTTATTAGTGTAATCATCTAATGAATATTATTCTGTTTCTACTACAAATTCTGAGTATGAATTTCAAGAATACAGGTCCCCAGTCATTCACTTCTAGATCCTTTTCAATGTCTACTTTAGCACGACATAAAAGATAGACATGGCAAAGACTCATTGACTGGGGACATGAACTATGGGAGGTGGTTGAAATGAGCATCTTGATGAGAACTGGGTTCTAGCCAAGGCCTTGCCATCAGCTCACTGGGAAACCTTGAGCAAGTGCCTCCTTCCTCTGCTTCAACATTTCCATCTGAAAATTAAGGGAAGGCCCCTTCCAGATATAAAAATAACAACTAAACTAAAGTATCTTGAGTGCTTGCTACAAATGGGTCAGGCACTTCTTTTAAGCACTCTGCCCTGTACAGTCTCACTTAATTCTTACAACAGCCCAAGGTAGAGATACTATATCATCACTCCCTTTTTTCAGATGAAGAAACAGCAGAGAGGGTAACAACTTGCCCAATGTCACACAGCTATTAAGAAACAGAGGCAGGACTTGAACCCAGGCACCTGGCTGCAAAATCCATTGATCTTATTTAGTATGTGGCCTGTTTCAGGTTCCCAGTCTATCTGTTCTCAACAAATCCAGAAGAGGATTGCATTCATGATGAAATCTCTCCACAAATATGAATTCACACAAGTTGTACCATATACCCATACTAAATAATCCCACAACCCAATATAATCCTTGATTATCCTACATAGCTTTATTTCCAGTTTTTCCCCTAAAGAAGGTTTTTTCTCTTTCCAGTGCATGCCAAGTAACAGTCCCCTACTTAGCCAAGGGCACAGTTTTACTGACCAAGAACCCTGCTGGCCCCACTCTGCTGCAGGTCCCTCTCATCTCAACCAAGCAGGGATGGCTTCCTCTGATTCCCTGCATGCACTCAATAGCAGAAAACAATCTGTGCAATCCTGAGGTTCTTAGACTCCATTATTTTTTCCAAATTTACTATAGAACATTTATTAGTGTACTATAAACAACAGTATTTCTATAAATAATTAAATCCAAACTACACTGATCAAAATAAATGAGCAAAATATTCCTGGTTGTGATGTAACCAGGCTTGATTCACTCACTAACTCAAATTACAAAGTGACTCACAAGAGGCCCCCATTAACAATGGTTAGTAAGATACAGCTTGTCCAACATTAACTAGCTTGTTATTCATTGTCTGCAGCCACCGCGGTGGGTGGGCAGGTTGACTATAGAGTATGGCCCCAGAACAGAAGGAAAGAATCTATTCCTAAATCTCTCTAACTAGCCTCATACGATACCCATCCTGGGGCCTCAATCTATCCTACCTATAAAATGGGCACCTCATCAGAGTGAAAACACACAAATCCTCTTAGAAGGAAAATGCTCTGTTAACCTGAGAAGAAAGGAGAAAAATGGGTGTGAAGAGGGGATGGCTCTTCCAAGAGAAAAAAAAATAAGCAGGGTCCAAGGCAGGCTGCCATGTTTCTGTCTGAGCCTCATATCCTCATCTCTATCATGAGTGATTTGATGAAGACAATTCCCAAGTGCACTTCCAGTCTTGACATTCTGCAAGTCTCAAATTCCTGTAGTATGTCCCACAGGGATCCTCTCTTCTGCGAGCTCATAGCCTGAAACGATCACTTGACAATTAACCACATATCACCCCATGGCATCTGTCTTGTTGTCATGTGTTATTTAACTTTACAGAAGAGCAGTCTCACATCCAAAGCATGTCGGCAGGACCATGAGGCAAATGCTGTCTTATCCTTCTTTGTCTCCTCTCTATCACACTTCTACCAACCCCACAGTTTCTAGGACAATGCCACATACACAGGAAACACTCAGAAAATGGATGAATGTCTTATGGGGGTGTCCATCTGATCTCTGAAGTCCATGAGAAGCCAGGATTGTTAACTAGTCCTTATTTCTATCCTCTTACTAAGTAGTGTAGAGACCCCTCTGAATCTTATGTTAACATTCATACATGAAATAATACACCAGTTGTCTAAACTCAGTGTTATTAAGAGACAGTGTTAACCTGTTAGTTATCTTAGGGCAAAATGATCTTCTTTCCTCTCCTCTTACCCTGCAGCTAAGGCACAGTCCAACTCCCCAGGTGAGTTCAGTATTACTGAGCTATGTACTACCCTACGGCACATGCTGCCAGGCACGGATGAGAAGAACAGAACTCGCACTTGATGGTGATTGGAGGGAAGGGGTGCTGTTTTAATTATTTCAGCTCTTACCCTCAAATCACTCACCAAATAATATAAGACTAAAGTAAGTACTAAACTAAATATGACAAAATGTGTGGTGCACTCTGCAAATTCTATAAACAAGTAGGGGAAAAGAGAAATAAATGCTTCTAAGGAAAGTTTCACAGAGCCACTGAGTCTGAATGTTGAACTGAGCTATGAATAACAGGTGCCCTTTCATCAAGAAAGAAGGGTACCCCAAGTGGAACAGACCTCAAGATGCTTGGGACAATGAAGACGCTGCCCTGGCCAGAATGCAGGAGTCAATCAGGGAAGAGTCAAATCCAAAGTTGGAGAAGTAGACCCGGGACATACATAGCCTTGAATGCCAGGCTAATGGACTCTGGATCTGAATTTAAGAAACCGAAGTTCCTCAAGCCAGAATGTAGACACACTGGATGAAACACTCCTGGCTATGGTAGCTGTCAAGTTCTGAAATCATTGCTATCCCAGGCAACAACAATTTCTAATTCCTTTATAGCCTCTGCTTGATGAGACTTGAGACTGTCTTTCATTCACTCAGTCAAACATTATCAAGTGCCAACCATGTGTAAGGCAAAGCTCCCTCATCTCCACTGACTACCAACAAAGTCAGAGCCCTATCCAGAGCCTTTTCTCAGTTACCCACAACACCAGGAGAATAAACTTGGTTAGCCAAATTCGATCCATCCCACAGAGCCAGTTCTGCTTACCAGAACTGCCTAGTGACCCACTAGGCACTCACATTCTATATCTCCCACCTCCTCCTCCACAAGGCCTCTTTTCTCCTTCAAACTTACTGCAGAATCCTCCTTTGACATTTTCTCCCTGTAAGGGAAGTGTCTCAAACCAGCCAAGAGGCCAAAAGAAGGCAGAAAGCGGGAAATCAACAGGTAGGTCAAGCCACAGGCCTTAAGTGACTTAGCCAATCTATACCTAGCCTTGGATAAACCACTAGTCTCCAGCCAAATCTTTCTATCACAGAGTGTCTGCTTTGTTGCACCTCTCTGCTCCTTATGAGATGATTCAGGGCCCACAGATCATCCAGTTCCAGGATTCCTTCACTGACAATAGATTTACACAGCCCAAAGAAAAAGCAATTTTCCCTTCTGTCCACTGAGCCTTCCTGCCACTGAAGTCACCCTCCCTTTCCCTTAAATCCAACACCACTGGAGAAGCCACTCCCGGGCATTCCTTCTTTGCCAGCTACAAAGCAAGTTCCAGCCACTGCATTTCTGTAATCATTAAATCAGGCCTCCCAATTAAGGAATCTGCAACTTCTGCTCACCTTGGAAATCACTGAAGGATCTGAGAAGGAAATCACATCCTGTAATCCAGCCATCAGAGAAATCACTGAGCAGATAAATAGGCTGTGCCCAGCTCCTCCTCTCCCTACGGCCCCTCAGACCAACAATGACCAGGAGCAATTAGTACCGTTATGTCCCCATGCATTTCCCAGCTACATCTCAACTGAGATGGTTTCCCCTTGTAATACTAATTGAAAACAATTTTTTTGGCAAAACCCTGAAGAATGGCTTCTGTGGCAAGCTTCTTTATTAAGCCTCCAAAAAGGCAGAATGCATTAAGATATTGTGACACAGGAACTGTGAGCAGGGAGGATGAAGACAAGCAATCCAGCCAAAAGCTATTTGAAAAATCTGTTTGGGAGCCACAATTAGATGATCCAGTGAGTGAAATACAATTAATCTGATCAAATCTGTCACTATTTTGCACATTAGGAGTAAATATTTTAGAACACAGTCCAGCTGAATTAGTTAAGGGTAGGAAATCCTGCCTGGGAGAATCTGTGTTACACCTACTAGTACGCTCAGGGCAGGGTGATCTGGGAGGGCCTAGAAATATCAGCATCTCCCCATTTCTCTTCACCAAGATGCAGTGTTGGGCCCATTAATTGAGAACTACCTGGCAAGTATTCCAAGCAGATACACTGCAGGGGCAGCAGCCTGCAAATCGCTGCCACTTCGAGTGCGCTGCTGGAAGGAAATGAAGACCAATGTGAGGGCAGATGCAGTGTTTTCACCTTGGCACCAGGAATGGGGGCCCCATGAAGGGTTAATCCAAGAAGGAGGGGGTGTGGAGAAGTGGACTGTGCCTTCACAACTTTCCACTCTCCAGAGCCATTTGCCAACTCACTGAGCAAGCAGGGAGGCTTCTTCTTTCATTTGAAGGAAAAGGACAGAATAATGTGTTTTTCTGTTTCCCTGTAAGCCACGGGGACTGGGCTCCCTCTGGGTGTTTTTGAAACACTCTCTAACCCATTAATCACCAGGATTCCAGCTGGAGGCAACTGGAGAGAAAAAATAGCAAATCGCTCCTCCAGAGTAAAGGGTCCAAGGCCAAGTCCACTCACTTTCCAGCCAGAGCACCTGGCAGGCAACATGGTCAAGAGGTGGTACCCAGATCCCATGCCCTCCTGATTCCTTTGCCCAAAGCCAGTTGCACTCCTTCTCCTTTGTCCCCAAAGCCATCTCTTCTCAGTCCTGGGACCAAGGCAAATACCCAGCCCAAGCCTTGGTCAAGGGTCTCCTCCTGCACCCTCAACCACCTGGGGCACACACTGGACCAATGGGGTGGGCTGAAGGCCCTTCTCCTTCATGTCCCACCCTGCATCCCTGACTGTAAACTCAGTCAGAATGGAGTTCAATTTTCAATTTCATAGGGTTACTGAAAACGCTCCCCAAAAGGGAACTCATATCAAGCAATCAGGTGCATCAGAGACACTTGGAAGAAGAGCAAGGAAACCCTCATTGTGTTAAAAATTAAACTGGTGGCCTCCTGAATAAGGACATGTCTAATACTCCAGAAGCCAGAATAAAAGATAAAATTCTCTTTCCACGTCATAAGAGCCTGGAGCTAGGCCCCATGTTCTCTGTTTTACGGACATCTCCCTCCACTTTGAAACCAATGATGAAGGAATCTTCCCAAAGTGTCCTCATCCCCATCACTCTTCACCCTGGCTTTTATTTACAACACCTTCTTTTCCTGCCATCAGGAAAGGGGGACAGGAGAAAAACCAGCTGGGTCAATGTTGCTGAAACTGGTTTCCCAGTGACTCTCCAGGAGATTTCCTTAAAGTCTCAAAGACAGGGCCATGTGAGTATGCTTCTCCATCTTCTTTACACAGGCTCACAGACCTGATAATCAAGGATCTCTCTCTCGTATTGCCTACAAAATGTGGTCAGAAGAGACAGGTCCAGCCTAGGGGCTAAAGAGGCAGTTATTCCCCAGATTGGAGAGAGAGGACAGTGCGTGGCCCTACATCCACCTGTGGTGCTCTTGCATGGGCAGTAAGGCTGGCCAAGAGCACAACCAATAAGTCCCTGTGGGCTGTTCATACATTGTCCAATCTCATTGCTGTCACCAAGGTCTCCAAGCCCAACTGCTCCAGTCCCCAAGCCCCTTTGGCCGTCATTTGACTGAAGAGTCATTTCCCCAGGGAGCACGGGCCAGACCTGCCCCTCACCTCTTCTGCTGCACAACTGCTTTGAAGATGAGCAAAGAAGGCCATGCACAGTTAACTGCTATTTGCAGGAAGCATTTTCTCTAAAGTCCCATCTTCAGAGGCTTTGTAAATACTCAAAAATAATCCTTAAAATAAAAGCAGAGACACAGAAAAACTCTTCAGGGAGGGTGAATTTATATTGTCCTAATGTGGCAGTAGGGAAGCCACAGATGTAAAGACATTGCATCCTCCTCTTCCTAGGATATATTTACTTCCACACATCCTATCCATCCATCCATCCTCCTCACCAAGTAAGAACCCCAACACACACACACACACACACACACACACACACACACCCTAATTATCAAACTAAAATGAAGTTGGGATTCACAACCCCTGCTGTCAGAGAATCAACCCTGAGGTCAGAGAATCTCCCCCCAGCACACACATATCCAAGTCCTCTTGGAAGGGACTTGGAAGTCTTCAATCACCCAGCCCTGCAAAGGCACACATTGTCCACCCCTCTCGCCAGAGCTGTCAGCCCGAGGCTACGGGGGTCTTCATCCCAGGCAGATGAAGCCCGCCATCGCGCTGCTGCGAAGCTGGACTTCACTGGTCCTTCAAGACCAGCATGGGCTACCCAGGCTGGGCTGCCCGCGCTGTGCATCATTAGAAACCAAGAAATCTGCACTTTGGTATTGCTTATGTACTACCTTCTGCGGACCCCTCGCTTTCCTCTTATTAGATACCCAATCCTGGACATCCCAGGCTCTGTTAAAATAAGGCAAAAATTTCCCAGAGAAATTTTGTCAAACACCGGTCATGAAGAGAAATACAAAACGGCAGGGAGTTGCGGGGTGAGTTCCTATCAAATCAGTTCCCCAAGGCTGCTTGTACAGACACCCGTCATCCTCCGCCTGGAGCGTGCACCCTACCCAACGCCAGGTTCTGATCTGAACCATGGAGCCAGAGAAGAGGAAAGGATTTTCCAAATCTGGCTCTAGTAGGGACCGCGGGAGGGAGGGAAGTCGGGGAGATGGTGGGAACCTGTCCCCCGCCTTTTCTTTGCTTGGCTGCACAGCGCTGGGTGCCGGCGAGGTAGGGGGAGCCCCTCCGGGCACGCGCTGCGGGCCGCTGCAGCTGCCAGGCAGGCGCGATGCTCAGTCGGGCGCCCAGTTCGGAATGCCGGAGTAGGCCAGACCGGGCTCAACGACGCCACCTCTCGGTACATCCTTGTCCAGGAGAACCCGGTGGCGGGGAAAAGCGGGTGGAGAGGTGTGCAGGAAGCTCAGGCACCCAACTCCGCTCAGGGAGCCGTTTGTGGCGCAGGACGCAATGGTGAAGTCGAGAGTTTTCTGCTGAGCGACTTCCGTGTGCCTGTGCGTGCGTGAGGGCGAGCGGTGTGGCATGAGCGCTGGATGGGTGTGGAATTTCGCTTCACGCTTTAAACTTTTTTTTACGGCCTCTGCTACGGCTTTCCAGGGCCGCTCCCTGGACTTTGAAGGAGGAACCGGGGTTACCTGAAGGCCAAGGCTGGGGGCCGACTTGGCCGAGCCTCCCTCTTGGGCTGGAGGACTGCGCGCCTGGAGCGGATAGCAGCGACCCCGAGGCGAGCAGGAGGCTGGGAGTCCGAATGGCCTTCCGGGTTCCCTTTCGCGTGACGGGAGGGGGGGTGGGGGTGGGGTGGGGGTAGGGGGAGCCCGGCAGCCGCAGGAATCGGTCTGTTCAGCGGCTCCCGCCCCAAGTCAGCCCTTTTTCTCATCCAAGAATTCAAGCACCCCGCAAACAGGAAAACTGACCCTCCAAGCCAAGTATTGGAGAAAGTGAGCACAGATCCCTCCCCCACTCATCTTTAAGAAGCCCCTTCCTCCACTCCCCTCCCGGCGGCCGAAGCCTAGGGTCTCCAGTAAACAAACACACACAGCGTCTAACAACAAACTCCGTTAACCTGTTGGGGGCGTGGGGGGAATCGGACAAACCTGTTATCTCGAAAAGTCGAGGCGTCCCCCGCCTCGACCCCCGAGCAACTATCTGTCCCTCGCTCCCACCCACCCCCCCATTCCCCTTCGGTGTCAGGAAACAGGCGGACCCGCCGCCGGGTGGGTACTCACGCTGCTGTTGTGTCCCGACCAGTGCACCATGGCTTGGTTGTGGGCCGAGTCCCCGGTCAGCGCGAAGGAGGTGCTGGGCAGCCGGAGGTCTTCAGCCGCCGACCCCCCAGCCCGCGGCGCCTTCACCTCCTCCCGGGAACCCTTAGCAAGGGGACGGCTTCCTCTGGAACCATCGGCCGGAGCAGTGGCCCAGGCGTCCCCGCGTTCCTGGGTGATTGGGGGCTGCGCCCGGCGACTCCTCCTCGCGCCGCCAAGCTTGGCAGGAGCTGGGATGCCCCGGCCCCGCCGCTCGCCTGCCGGTGATGTCCCTCCGGCTTCCACCTGCATCTCACCGCCTCTGCCGCCGCCCTGCTGGGGCAGCAGCTCTGGTCCGGCCCGGCGCCCCAGCACGGCGGCTCTCCGCGCCGACGCCAGCTCCTCCGGCCACTGGCTGGCCACTGCCCGCGGCGAGAGTGGAGACAACGCCGGTGGCCGCGAAGCCGGGGCCGCCGGGCGTCCGGGACCGCCTGTCGCGTCCCAAGTGATCTCGGCGCCGGCCAGGACCCACGTCGACAAGAGTAGGAGCCCCGTCCGGACAAGCGGCGCCCCCGGCCTGCCTGCGGGGCGCTCCGTGCGCGCCGCCTCCATCCCGCTGCGGCTACCGCGGCTCGGGCTGCCGAGTGTGTGGCGCCCGCCGAGGTGCGGGTCCGGCGCGGGGGGTGTGCGCGCGCCGGCGAGCGAGCGAGCGTGTGTGTGTAGGGGGAGTGGGGAGGGGGCGGCCGGGAAGGAGGTGGCTCCGGCTGGCGCGCCTCGCCGGTCCTCTCCACTCTTCCCTCCTAGCTCCCGCTCGCCCGTTCTCTTGTCCAGAGGGTGATTCCAAACCCGAGGAAAATTAATAATTGCCCCTTCGGTGCTTTCTTTCTTAAAATCAGATTCCCCCCAATCCTCCCCACTGAGCTCCTCCAGAAATTTGGTAAAAAGGAGTAATCAAAGGTAATAAGAAAATCTTCTTAAAATATGAAAATCAAGCCGGATCCAGGAGGGGCCGGCAATAGACCCCAATCCCGAGTCTCTCCGAAATCCAGCCTCCAACGTGCTCCCGGCGAAGAGTTGGGAGCCGCTTCTGGACGCGTTTGGGGGTTTACTCTTCGGGCCTGTTATGAGGGGCGGGAGATGGCGCGCGGGGAGGGTACAGGGGTCTCGGGGGAGAAGGAGGAGGAGTTGTGTGCTCAACGCCAACTGTTCGCGTTCTAGAGCCGAGAGGGAGCCAGGTGCCTCCGCGCGGGGAGGCTGCGCACGGAAGCCAAGCGCGGGATGCACCCTGGACTCTGCTCGCCGCTCCCTGGCCCGGCCGGCTCCCGGCCAAACCCCGCCACCCAAGGCCTGCGCCCCCGCGCGGGGGCGTGGGGAATGCGTGCGTGCGCGTGCGTGCGCGCAGGCAGGCGGGCGTGAGGCGAGGGGTTCGCAGGGGGCCGGCGGGCAGACCGGGCGCTGCCGCGTGGGGGCACCTGGCTGAGCCGGGCCGGGAGCGCGGCTGGGTGTGAGGGGGCGCGCGGTTCCGTGCGTGCGCGTTTGCACGAGCATGTGTGCACGTTAGTGTGAGCGATGGCAAGTGGGGCGGGGGCGGGAGGTGTGCGCTCGGCTTTTGGTCGCGTGCGGATCACGCACGGGCTGTGTTTGCATTTCCAGGAGCCTGCGAGTGGTCAAAGAGGCAATGCTGAGAACTAGGCAGGCCGCTCTCGGCAGCCCCCTCCTCTTGGCGCCCCGAGCACCCACGGCCCCCACTACAAGCGGTTAGAACCTGATAAAGCCTCCTAGGGGATGAGGGAAAAGAGGCGGAAGGCCCCGGTGGGATCGGGGACTTGCCAGATCTTCTCGGTTGAGGGATTCTCCTTGCCCCGACCTCCCGGCCAGAGGTGGGGCGAGAGAGTAGTCGAGATGTCTGTTCTTCCAGGGAGGATCCAGACCTCATTTTGCTGCCTAGGATTTTGAGGTCGTGCCCTCACTCTCCCCAGTCCGTTTCTGAACGGACTCAATTGTTTCAAAGTGTCGGCCGCCAGTTAAGAGGGTACTCAGGCGGGAGCCGCGTGGGCTTATCTGGTCCCCAATCCGCTACTGCAGGAGTGTAGCCTGCGCGCTTGGTGCAGCTGAGATCCTTCGTGACCGTAGGAAGAAGGAGACTTCAGGTGGGCTGAAGGGAAATGAGCTAAACCCACAGACGACCTCGAGCTGCGGTTTACAGGCCCCAGGACATGTGGTGTAGCTCGCCGCCTCCGAGAAGCCCCTGGGATTCTAGGGGTTGAAAAGTCTGAGACTAGAGGAGCTAGAGGAGGAGCTATTAAGAAAGGAGGAGGCAGGAGGGAGGAGGCTTAGGGAGAGAGAGACAGCCTCCAGCCCTGCTCCTCCCCTTCGGGAGTAGATAGAGTTCCTCCTCTCTAGAAGATGGTTAAAGTGGAGCGAGAGGGAGGGGAATGCGCGGAGAGGAAAGAAAGGTGAGAGGAAGGAATGAAGGAGAAAATAGAGGGAAAAGGGGAGAGAGGAAAGACAAGATGAAGGAGAAAAGGGGCGAGAGAATGGTGCAAAAGGAAGAGGGAGATAGAAGAGGAGGCGAAAGGGCGCCAGGTAAGAGCCAAGAGGGATGGAGGAGGCAGAAGAGGCGACTGAGAATCTAAGCTGGCCAAGGAAGAAGACATCCAGCGATTCCCGAGAGCCCCCGCCCTCTTGAACTTGCCTTTCCACCCGGTGCCAAAATGGCAATTAGCAGCGGGGGAGGCTGGGCCAAAGAACCAAGCCAGCGACAACGTCCGGCCCAGAATGGTGCGGGTCCTGGCATCTGTGGGTTTCCAAAGACAGGGAGTAGCGGGTATTCCTAAGAAAAGTTCCAGCGCCGCAGGCCCAGGTGGGCGCGGGATCGGGCGCTGGACGAGAGCCGGCCATCCGCGAGTTCCCAGCGCCCCTGCCGGAGGAGGCCCGGCGCTGCAGCCCGAGCCGAAGCTCGGGGTTCGGGAGGGACGCGGTGCTGCTCTTCTCTTCAGGCTCTGGGCGGAGGTGCCACAGTATAAGAGATCTGGGCGGACCCGAGGCTCACACAGCCCGGAGGAGTGTGGTCTCCCAAGTCCTATGCGCACTGGGGAGGTGCACCATCCAGTCCCCGCAGCTTCCCGCGGCCTCTGAGCAGGAGCAGTCGGGTGCAAAAGAGGCAGACGCTCTGAGAGGGGCCTCCTTCTGTCTCTCCTGTCTGAAGAAGGCCCTACCAGATGGAACCCGGGCAGAGTTGGATCCTTGGGATGGGCTTGAGGAGATGTAGCTTAAAAGCTTTTGTTTGAAAACAAACAAAAAAGGAAAGACTCCCGCAAGTGTGACATTTTCACATGCCTCCTGCACCAGTTCGTTTTCTTGGCCTTGCTCCCATCAATTACAGTCTTCTTCCACCTGCAGCCTCTCCCTCCTTCACCCTTTGCCTGAAAATCCTTGCCCTCAGCCCTGAGCTGCCCCTGCCCCCACCCCCAGCCCCCTGCCTCCAACCCCCTGCTTCCGAGTCCCCATTAGCCTTCTCTAGTGCCCAAACTTCTCCCAGTAGTTCTCACCTGAACCCACAGTATCCTCTTCCTCACTCCTGGACTTTTTGCAATTTGACATCTGCTTTTAGGCGACTCAGTCAAAGGCCTACCCCAACACGCCTGACAGCCTCACTCAACAACCTCTTCTTCCCGCATGTGTAAACTTGTCCCATCTGAAAAGGTCTCCTTTGATCTACATGGTACTAGGATCTTCTGGGTCCTCCCTGGCCAGCCTCAGTCAAGCTTGTCCTCTTTTATCCACATCTTAAATTCTGAGCCCCAGCCTCCATCATTTTCCCCAATTCTCCGTGCTTGGCTCTCATTCTGTTTTCCCTTTCTCCTTGTCTGAATGAGCCCGGAGATCAGGCCCATTTCTGTCCTTCTACTACCATTTCCTGGTGTTGACTCCTGGATCTACAACTTCACCACATCCCCTCTTGAGCTTCACACCTGACTTCCTCATTGCTTCATACGTGTTATGTGTTCACCTTGAAACCCATATGCAGCAAAACCTAAAACCATCACCCCAACATCTTCTTAGTCACCTAGACTAGACACTTGACTTGCAAGCTTGACTCCCTCTTTTGGATCCCCACACCCATAACTTGTCTCGTCCTATTTTAAAAAGCCTTTTTTTTTTTTTTTACCACTCCTCTCCTGTTCATTCCTAGAGTCACTGCCTTATATCTGACCCTCAACATCTCTTGCCTAAGGTTTTGCAATAGTTTCCTCTCTTCTCCTGGTCTTCGGTTCTTTCCTTCTCCTAGCCAGCCTCCACACTGGCACCTTCAAATAGAAATGTAATGTAAGCCACACAGGAAATTTTAAACTTTCTAGTAGCTTTATTGAAATAAAAAGGAACCAATGAAATTAACTTTAATTTTTATTGAACTGAAGATACCAAAAATAGTTTCAATTTGTAATCAACATAAAAATTATTGATGTATTTTTACATATTTTTGTACCAAGTCTTCAAAATCCAGTGTGTATTTTATACTTACAGCACATTTCCGTTCAGACCACCCACATTTTTTCACTACCACATTTCATAACCACATGTGACTAGTGGCTACTGTTTTAAACAACACAGCTCCACACTGTTGACAGAAATAGCCTCTTAAAACATAAGGAAGATTATATCATGAATTGCCCTCCTCAAAATTTTTCAATGACCTACCATTTTTATAAAATCCAAACTTCTTAGAATGGTATCCAAAGCTCCATGTACTTGCCCCACCTCCATGAACTTTCTTACTGTATTCCTTAAGCCTGGAATGTGTCCTCTGCCACAGTATTCAACATGGAAGGGGCTTCATGGTAAGAACCCTTCTTCATGGAAGAATCCTCTTCCATGGAGCTTGCCTCCACAGCCTCATAGTACTTGTTATTATATCATTATTATTACCATCATCATGTCATCATCATCAAATTCTTTGTCTTCCTATAAGATAGGAGCTGTCCCATATCAATTTGGAATTTAAAAGAAAGGACAAAGGTTAAAGGGGGCTTCCATTTCCCTTGCTGACATAATACCTACTTCAGCTGGGAAAGGCAGGTTGAGAGTGAGGATTAGCTCTCACACAGTCCCCATAGGGTCGGCAACAAATGCCCACTGGGAATGCATTTTCTCACCAGGGCTTCTGTCCCTGTTAAAAACAACTGGAGAAAGCAAACTGTATACTGTAAGTTATCCATGAGATTACACTAAATGTCACCCAAATAAGTCTTCTTTCCGGTTTTTTGTTTTGTTTTGTTTTTTGTTTCTTGTTTTTTACCATCACAGTGAAATAACACTTTGGGAAACTGTGCTTCTTCTCCCTGACATCACAAATACACACAGACACATACACACACACACACACACACACACACACACACACACCCTTACCCTTCCAGACCCTCAATAATCTAATAGATATTTTGCCATCAGCACTCACAGCAGGCACAGATAGGGAAGCATTCAAATGATGCCGATTTCTTTTCTTTTTCTTTTTTTTTTTTTTTTTTTTTTGAGATGGAGTCTTGCTCTGTCGCCCACGCTGGAGTGCAGTGGTGCGATCTCGGCTTACTGCAACTTCTGCCTCCCAGGTTCAATTGATTCTCCTGCCTCAGACTCCTGAGGCAGCTGGGATTACAGGCACACGCCACTATGCCCAGCTAATTTTTGTTTTTTTGTTTTTTGTTTTTTTTTAGTAAAGGCGGGATTTCCCCATGTTGGCCAGGCTGGTCTCAAACTCCTGATCTCAGATAATCCGACCCCCTCGGCCTCCCAAAGTGCTGGGATTACAGGCGTGAGCCACCATGCCCAGCCCTATTTCCGTATTTTATAAAATGTTCAGCACCTCTTACATGAGGACCTAAAAGCAAATTTCTCTTAAAACGTGTATTTCTCCTGTGAAACTGACATCCTTTCTTAAAGGCTCTTTTAACTGGCTCTGTCTTCTCACTTTGTCTTCCTCTTGTCTCAATAATCACGCTGAGTACCGAGTTAACTTGTTCTAATGGTCTTCAGTCAAGATTTTTATCCTCTGCTCCCTTTTTACTAAATGCTGTTTTTATTGTTTGATACTCTTTGATCTTACTATATCTGCGTATTTTTGATAAGCCACTTCACATTCTTTTTAGAACTAAATAGGAAATTAATTAATTGATTAACATCAAACAACAGTCTACATTGTAACTCTGAATTTCTAAGGAGGCAAATGATTATGAAACAAAACCTGAAATGCAGACAAAGCCAGCCAGATGATCACTGCAATTAGGACTTCCTGTCACTGTGTGTCCATGAAGTGTCTGTTTTGCTCAATACTGTATCCTTAGCACCTGGCCCAATGCCTGGCACAGCGATGACCCTCAATAAATGTGCAATAAAAAACAAAACAGATGAATGTAAATAATAATACCTCCACTGCAGCTACTAACCACCTGTTCTTTTTAGCATGTCAACTTTCTAAAGAGGCAAAAGCTCTAGGACTTGATTGATACTACTTTCCACCACACCTTATTTCATGGTATCAATGTTCCTATTGCAAGCCACAGAAAACAATTCTCCAACACAAATTTGGAGAAAATTATCTTATGAAAAGCAGCCGGGCATGATGGCTTATGCCTGTAATCCCAGCACTTTGGAAGGTCAAGGCAGGCAGATCACTTGAGGTCAGGAGTTCCAGACCAGCCTGGCCAACATGGCGAAACCCAGTCTCTACTAAAAATACAAAAAATTAGCCAGATGTTGTGGTGAGCACCTGTAATCCCAGCTACTCAGGAGGGTGAGGCAGGAGAATTGCTTGAACCCAGGAGGCAGAGGCTGCAGTGAGCCAAGATCACACTACTGCACTACAGCCTGGGTGACAGAGTGAGACTCTGTGTCAAAAAAAAAAGAAAAAGAAAAAAAAGAAAATTATCTTATGAAAATGATATTGAGTAACTCCCAAAATTGCTGGGCGGGCTGGAAAGCTAGGCTCAGGGGTTCTGCAGGCGGAATGACACCTGAAATCACACCACGGAATTGGTCCTATAAGGACCCTATTACCAGCATCAATAAGCCTAGATGCTACAGCTTTAACAAGCACCACAAGAGTTGAATGCTGAATGTTGCTGCCACCTCCATTGTCACCAGCTAGCCTTCTGCTTGCTTTTTTGTATCACTAGCATTGATTGGCCAAGCCTAGATCACTAGCCCCTACTCTAGAGATGCAGTGAGGAAGCAGATCTGCCTCCTGAAGTGGGAAAGTCTCCCACACACACAGAAGGGAGTTCAGATGTTGGGCAGCCACAGGATGAAGCAAGATAAATGTCCACTACACCTGTCACCAAAAAAAAACATTTCTTAGAGAAAGAAAGTGACTCTGTTTGCCTTCATCTTGAACTTCTTGTAGAAAAACAAACTAAAACAAAATCCTGACGAGGTAACATTTAACATAACACCTATGTGGAATTCGATGCTTAACCAGGGAAACACTTCTCCCATGGAGAAGGGGAGAATAGAGGAGGGGTGACCATCTGCCCAGTGGTTATAGGTATAGGAAGTAACATTAAGAATCCTGTCCACAAGGCGCCAAATACTTTATGATGAAGGAAAAGTGGAAGAAAAAAAGGCAGCAGAAAGAAGAGGAGAGCAGAAAATAGCTACCTGGAAAACGCATTTAATAAGGACTTCCTTTAAGTCAGGCAATACGTCTCCTATGGCCATTGCTTCACTTAATCCAGACAAAGTCATTTCTTGGTTCCAATCAGTAGATTAAGAAACAAATACATACAGTTGAAGCAGTGATGCTAGAGGAGATAATGTAGAAGATAATGATGAATGATAATTTATGCTGTGCACTAACTCTTGACTAGAAATATGGTAAGGACCCACCATCATGCTATTGGAGTGACTGAGAGTCCATACTTTAGAGAAAAATTACCTATGTTTCAATTCCAGCCCTACCAACTACCAGTTGTGTGACCTTCGATAAATCAATCTCTCTATACTTCAATTCCTCATCTGTAAATGGAGATGGTGATAATACTTAATGTAGGGGGTCACAATTAAGATTAAATGAATCAATGGCATAAAGCACTTGGAACAAGGTCTAGCGAAGATTAAGTGCTAGATAAATTTGGCTATAAATGTTCTTATTCTCCTGAACAGTCCTGTGGAGGCTAGTACTTTGTCCCCATTTTACAGATGAGGAAACTTTGAGTGAGAGAGGTTGGATTGCATAGCTTGTGAGTAACCAAACTAAAGGATCTGTCTGATCCAGACAGCTCTCACACAGTGGTCTACACTGTCTTCCTGACCTACATCCCACAGCATGCCTCAGGTAATATTTACATTTTGGTCTATTTGGCTCTGAAGTCAGAGTTCTTCCTGCTGCATCCTCTGTCTTGGCACCCAGGAACATATCACCAGGACTAATACTGATGGCTGGTCCTCACTGGGCACATGGCTTCCACAACATGCCTTACAATTTGGGAAGAGGTTGGCGATTTAGTTGGTGACATCCATCTCTTTAGATGCCATTTACCTCCTAAAGAAAAGAAAATTATGGTTGGTGAATTCCAGGCCTGTGTTCAAGTAGCAAGGTTGGGCTAAAGAAGTAAAGTCAACAATGGAAACTTAACAAGTTCTGGGAAAGAACATACTCATTAAGCTGCCAAAAGTCATCAGCAACTTAGTTGACATTTTCCCTCTAGTCACATCTCCAAAAGAAAAGGAAGACATCAATCTAATGAGGTGGAGGTAGTTGGAAAAGAAGTTTTGCAGGCAAATAGGTTTTCATTTTATTCTTCTCCCTAATGATTCACAATGCAAAGCTGCATTTCTTAGAGAAAAGTTTGTCTTTTACAGCATTGCTCTTAAATTATCATGGATTCCCAGGAAGTTCTAAAAAGTTTGGCAAAGCTAATGGGAAGTTCTTGAGTCAAAGTCATTTACTATCCAAGGAGTCCCCTTCTGAGTCAAAGTCACTATCGGAAAAGTCCCCTGTCCTCCAGGAATGGGCCTTCCTGGTATCCCTGGTACACTCCATTGCTGGCTATGGAAAGCATGCCCTTGATACTAATGGTGATGGTCTTCAGAGGTTCACAGTGGGAGATATTGGTCAGTCCGGCAGAGAGAGATACATTATTCCATTTTCCCATACTAAAAGAAAGTATTTTAACATCTTCCCCATAATGTGGTTTTTGAGAAGTAAAGAATATATGCAAAAGCTTAACCTAATGGCAGATCCTCAATAAGTGCTTGTCAACTGAATGAAAGAGTAATGGAAAGAATGAACTTGTACAGAAGACAGAAAGAAGATTTGGGCAATTTAGTTAGAATATCCTTAATAAAAAGCAGGAGGTTATCTAGAAGAGGTGAATATGAAGATAGGGAAGTCTAGTCCTGGCTTCACCGGTGTTACTTGAGAGGTTCTAACAAGTCTCATTGTTGTAACAGGGTTATAACTGGGCTTGAGGATTAAAGGAGGCAGTTTACAAGGAAACACTAAGCAAACTTTAAAGAGCTACATAAAAGAAGGCATGGGTGTGTTGTTTTAGTTGCCATCAATATAGTTACACATTTGATCTCCTTCGATTTGGCATCTTCCTGACCCAAGCAAGCTACAGTTCTGATTTCTAGAAGCCAGTATATGCTGAAAATGAGTCTGTTGCACCCGGTCTCCCTTTCCTGTTCACACTCTTTATTCTGTGCTTCCCCATCAAAGTTCATAGACAAGGAAGCATCTAATTCATACCTAAATGGTGATGCCTTAATGTACCCTTCCCCAGGAGTATAATATTTGCATTTAAAAAGGCATCACCAACTTGCTACACCAAGTTTAACAAAGAGATTAGACAACCATGGGCAACTCCAGGCAGCAGTGACAGTGAGACCCAAGCAGAACTGACCTCTTCCCCCCGGGTGCCAGTGGCAGGTTAAGGCGTGCATAACAGAGAAGAAAATACAACTGGGGGGAAAAGTGGTTAAAGCAAAAGGAAGAAGAGGGAGGGATGAGAGAAGGAGAAAGAGTAGAGATACCTAGGTGGTGGTTATAGTTGTGTTGGGGAGAAGAGAGAAAATGCAGACAGTTGTGTTTTCAGGGAGTAGAAATGAGACATGATCTCCAGGGAGACTGCAGAGCCTAGTGGTCAAACACAAAGATTCTGGATTCAGAAAGAGTGGCGTTCAAATCCTAGTTCTGCCTTACCAGCTATGTTACCTGGTGTCTAACCCGTCTCAGCATCAGTTTCCCCACCTGTAAAATGAAGATATCGGTTGTCCCTCTCTCAAAGAGTCTTTTGAGGATCCAATGACAGAATGTTTGAATAGTGTCTGGTACATTTAATAAGGACTTAATAAATAATTATTAGACCCCCTTTTACCATCCATCCCTAACTCCACCACCCCCCCAAAAGAAGTATCTTCCTCTGCCCAATGATGCGGGATTTCCTTCATGAGAGAGCAAACCTTTTAATTTCCCCAGGTGAGATTAGACTTCAAGAGCAAATAACTTCATAGAAATCGCCTTGATGCCTGGCTTCAATGCTATGGCTCTGAACAAGAGGTGAATATGTGTCCATCTCCCCCATTTAATCTTCCCAGAGTCCTGGAGAAGCCCAGCGCCCGGGCGAGTATCTCTGTTCTACAGGCTGGGACTCTGATGCTCAGAGAGTTAAACCCACCGTCCAGGGCCAATGATGGGGCAGGGGCCGTTCCTAAGAGCAAGAAAGAGGACCCGGGGTGGAGAAACCGAGAGGAACGAGGAGCTCCCCATAGGAGCAGGAACAGCCAAGTAAAGATGGGTCTGCAGCTCAGAAGAAGCGTGGGACTGGGCAAAGGAACAGGACAAAACCTTCAGGAATGGCCCGAGGCCACTTCAGCAGCTGCAGGATGGAGAGGGAGATGTACCGTGGACGCGTCTGTGACCACCTGCGCACGCAGGTTCCGCGACCCCGACCCGTTCGTCCGAATGAGTCAGAATCCGGAGCACCACGGCGGACGTAAGAGAGATGGCATCCTTGGCAAGTTGTTCAAGCGTGGCAGAGAGAGCAAAGAGGAAACTAAATATAGCCTCAAAACAAACACGCGGTCTACGACGGAACACCCCCCAGTCAGGGCAGCAGAAGGGAGAGTGCGTCCAGGTCACAGGAATCAGAGCCAGATCCCGGATGAGGGCTTTCCTGCTGGAAACCACGCAGGGGCTTCTCGGCCCTGGGAGTCGGGCAGAATCCATCAGCAGCTCCAACTCCAAACTCCTCTTTCCACAGGTCCGGGCGCCCCTCTGGCATGGGACTTTTGCTCTTATTGCTCTTCTCCTCCACCTTGCGTGATTTACTGTTATCTTCCTTCTGGTCCTCAGTCTATCTTCACCTCCTTCAGGGAGCCTCCCTTGGCCCCACTGAATGAGTCAGGACGCATCTCCCTCCCCTATTATTAAGGTGACTGCATGTCCCAGTTTAGGTTCATTTTCCCAGTGTACTTACTAATAGCATCCCCTTTCACTCTCAACAGTATCCCATTTTGAGCACTAAATCATATGATCACCCCATCTATTATATGTTCTCCTGGTACTATACACCTCTTCTTAAAAGCATTCTTATAGTTGAATTTCTAAATATGTTTGCCTAGAGGTTTAATTAATGCCTCTCTCCTCCAGTCTATTATAAACTTCATCAGCAAAGAGGTCATACCTATTTTAATTAAACTTCTTGTTCTGAAATAATTGTTGATTCACATGCAGTTATAAGAAATACAAAAAGGCCAGGCATGGTGGCTCACACCTGTAATCTCAGACCTTCAGGAGTCTGAGACAGGAGGATCGCTTGAGTCCAGGAGTTGGAGATCAGCCTGGACAACCTAGCAAGTCCCCATCTCTACAAAAAATAAAATTAAAAAATTAGCCAGATGTGTTGATGCATGCCTGTAGTCCTAGCTACTCGGAGACTAGGTGGGAGTATGGCTTGAGCTCAGGAGTTCAAGGTTGCAATGAGCTATGATGGTGCCACTGCACTCCAGCCTCAGCAACAGAGCAAAACCCTGTCTCTTAAAGGGAAAGAAAGGAAAGAAAGAAGAAAGAGAGAGAGAGAGAAAGGAAAGGAAAGGAAAAGAAAAGAAAAAAAGAAAAGAAAAGAAAAAAAGAAAAAGAAAAGAAACAAAGAGATCAGATGTACCATTTATCATTTCCTCCAGCGGTAACAGCTTGCAGAAATACAGCGCAGTATCACGACCAGAATATTGACAAAGCTACAGAGCCCTCCCATCATTTCAAGAATCCCTCATATGACCCTTTTATAGCCATGCCCACTTCCCACCTGTCCCCATCTCCTTAATCTCTGGCAACCACTAATCTCTTCTCCATTTCTATAATTTTGCCATTTCAAGAATGTTAAATAAAAAGAATCATACAGTTTATAACCTTTTGGGGTTGGCTTTTCTCACTCAGCATAATTCTCTGGAGCTTCATCTAGGTTGCGTGTATCATTAATCTGTTCTATGCTATTGCTGAGCTGGATTTTATGGTATGGATGTTTACCTGTTGAGGGACATCTGAGATGTTTCCAGTTTTTAACTGTTATGAACAAAGTTGCAATAACATTTACAGACAGGTGTTTCCATGAATATGTTTTTATTTCTCTAGCATAAATGTCCAAGAGTGTAATTGCTAGGTGATATGGTAGTTCCCTGTTTAGTTTTTTTAACAAACTGCCAAACTATTTTTTTCAGAGTGGCTGTACCATTTTGCATTCCCATCAGCAAAGTATGAGTGGTCAAGTTTCTCTGAATCTTCTTCAGAATTTAGTGTTATTACTTTTCTTCAATTTTAGCCATTCTGGTGGGTGTGTAGTGAAATTTCATTGTGGCTTTAATTTGCATTGTCCCATTGGCTAATGAAGTTGAACGTCTTTTCATGTCTTATTTGCCATCCATGTATCCTCTTAGAGTAAAATGCCTCTTCATATATTTGACCCATGTTCTGATTGGGTTGTTTTTTCTGTTGAGTTTGAGAGTGCTTTATATATTCTAAAAAGTAGTCCTTGTTGGGTTTTTGGTTTGAAAATATTTTCTCCAGGTAATAACTTGTTTCTTCTTCCTCCTAATGGGGTTTCTCACAGAGCAGAATTTTTTAATTGTGATGAAGTCCAATTTATAAATCTTACCTTTTATAGATCAATGTTTGGGTGTCATTAAGAACATTTTGCGGCCTGGCATGGTGGCTCACACCTGTAATCCCAGCACTTTGGGAGGCTGAGGCAGGCAGATCATGAGGTCAAGAGATCGAGACCATCCTGGCTAACACGGTGAAACCTCGTCTTTACTAAAAATAAAAAAATAAAAAAATTAGCTGGGCATGGTGGCAGGCGCCTGTAATCCTAGCTACTAGGGAGGCTGAGGCAGGAGAATGGCATGAACCCAGGAGGTGGAGCTTGCACTGAGCCAAGATCATGCCACTGCACTCCAGCCTAGGCAACAGAGGAGACTCCGTCTCAAACAAAACAAAACAAAACAAAACAAAAACATTTTGCCTAGCTCTAAATCTTGACAATTTTCACCTATAATTTTTTTCTATAAGTTTTAGAGTTTACATTTTATATTTAAGCCCATGAACCATTTTGACTGAATTTTTATATTAGGTGTAAGTCAGGTCAAGGTTTATTTTCTTGGCCTATAGATTTCCAATTACTCCAGTACCATTTGTTGAACAAGCTATCTTTTCTCCATTGAATTACATTTGTACCTTCATCAATAATCAGTTGGACATATTTGTGATTTTGTGTGAGTTTATGCCTGAGTTCCCTTTTCTGTTGCCTTGATCTATAGTTCTGCCCCTCTACCAATACAACACAGATTTCATTATAGTAGCTATATATTAAATCTTGAAATTGGGTAGACTAGTTCCTTCCACTTTGTTTCTCTTTTCAAAACTCTTTTGGCCATTTTAATTCTTTTGAAATAAATGTTTTGCCTTCTGATATAAATTTTAGAGTAAACTTGTCGATACCTATAAAGAAAATCTTGTTGTTGTTTTGATAAGAGTTGTGTTGAACCTGTACATCAATTTGGAGAGAACTGACTTATTTACTATGATGAATCTACCATTCCATGAACAAAGTATGTCTCTTAAATATCTATATCTCTGTTGTGTTTTTTATCAGTGTGGTGTGATTTTTAACATGCAAATCCTATACATGTTTTGTTAGATTTACACCTAAGCATTTCATTTTTTGAGTGATTGTAAATGGTATTATAGTTTTAAATTTTTGTGCCCATGAGTTCATCACTAGCATACAGAAATACAATTGAGTTTTACATATTTGTCTTTTTTATCTTGTATCCTGTGACCTTGCTGAACTCACTTATTCCAGGATTATTTCTGTATAACATTTTGGGATTTTGTGTGTAACGGTCATGTCCTTTGCAAATAGGGACAGTTTTATCTCTTCCCTTTCAAACTGTATCCGTATTATTTACCTTACTTTCTAAATTGCACTGGCAAGAAATTCCAAAATATGTTGAATAAAAGTAGTGAGTGGATATCTTTGCATTGTTCCTGATCTTAGGAGGAAAGCACTCAGTTTTTCACCATTAGGTATCATGTAAATTGTTGCTTTTTTGTAGGTACTCTTTACTAAGTAATAAAGGTCTTCTCTATTCCTATTTTTCTGATTTTTTTTTTACCATAAATTGGTGTTAAATTTAGTCAAATTATTTTTCTGCACCAATTGACATATCAGTTGATTATTATTCTTTAACTTATTGATATGGATTGGCTTTCTAATATTACACCAGCCTTGCATTCCTGCAATGAACCCCACTTAGTCATGGTATATAAAATCCTTTTCATATATTGCTGAATTCTATTTGCTAATATTTTGTTAAAGATTTTTGTGTCTATATTCATGAATAATATTTGCCTGTGGTTTCCTTCCTGCCTGCCTGCCATCTTTCCTTGCTTTCCTTCTTTCTTTCTTTCCTTTCCTATCTATCCAGTTTTACTATTATGATAATTGAAGCATCATAAAATGAATTGGGCTATATTATATTCCCTCCTCTTATTCTGTCTGCAAGAGATTGTGTAGAATTTTTGTTTGTTTGTTTGTTTGTTTTGAGATAGAGTCTCACTCTGTTGCCAGGCTGGAGTGCAGTGGCGCAATCCCGGCTCACTGCAACCTCCGACTCCTGGGTTCAAGTGATTCTCCTGCCTCAGCCTCCCAAGTAGCTGGGATTGCAGGTGCGTGCCACCACGCCCAGCTAATTTTTGTATTTTTTTTTAGTAGAGACGGGGTTTCACCATGTTGGCCAGGATGGTCTCGATCTCCTGACCTTGTGATCTGCCCACCTCAGCCTCCCAAAAGAATTGGTCTTAATTCATTAAGTATTTTATAAAATTCTCCAGTGAAACCATTTGGGCCTGGAAATTTGTTTTGTGGGTTTTTTCAGTTATCAATTTAATTTTTTAATAATTATACTACTATTCAAATTATCCATTTCATATTGGGTAAGTTGAAGTCACTGGTGTTTTTTTTTTAAAGAAAATTGGTCTATTTTGTCTGTGTTGTCAAATCTGTGGTGTAAAATGCCCTAAATATCCTTTTGATGTCTGCAGGATATGCAGTGATATCTTCCATTCCAAATATTGCTATCTTCTTTTTACTTTGTCAGTCATGCTAGAAGTTTGTCAACTTTGTTTCTCATTTCAAAGAACCAGCTCTTCGTTTCAATGATTTTCTCATTTGTTTTTCTGTTTTCAGTTTCATTGATTTCAGCTGTTTTCTTTATTATTTCTTTCCTCCTGCTTGCTTTAGGTTTATTTTGCTCTTCTTTTTCTAGATTCTGAAGGTAAGAGCTTAAATTATTGACTTGAGACCTTTCCTCTTTTGTAACATATGCATTTTGTGCTATAAATTGCCCTCCCAGCATTACTTTAGCTGTATCCCACAAATTTTGATATGTTGTTTTCACTTTCATTCAGCTGAAACTTTTTTTTAATTTCCCATGAGACTCCCTCTTTGAACCACGAATTATTTTGGAGTATGTCTTTTTGTTGCCAAGTGTTTAGAGATTTTCCTATTGTCTTTCTGTTATTGATTTCTAGTGTGATTCCATTGCTATAGGAGAATACATTTTGTATGCTTTCAATTTTTTGAATGTGTTGAGGTTTGTTGTGTAGCTGAGGATATGGTCTATCTTGCATATGTTCTGTGAGCACTTGGAAACAAAATATATTCTACTATTGTTGGTTTGGATATTCTGTAAGTATTGACTAGATCCTGTTGGTTGAAGGTAGTGTTGAGTTCTTCTATATTCTTGCTAATTTTCTGTCTAGTTGTTCTATTATTTGTCAAGAGAGGGGTTGATGTGTCTAACTATACTTGTAGACTTTTTAAAATTTCTCCCTTCAATTATATCAGTTTTTGCTTCACATGCTTTGCAGCTTTTTTGTTCGATGCATACACATTTAAAATTGCTATTCTTAATAGATTGACCCTTTTGTCATTATATAATATCTCTATCTCTGGTAATTGTCTTTGTTCTGAAGTATACTTTATCTACCATTAATAAAGTTACTCTTGTTTTCTTTGGTTAATATTTGCATAATATATCCTTTATCATACATTTATAATTCTATTTGAAGTTAGTTTCCTTCAGATAGAATATAATTTAGTCATGTTTGTTAAACAACCCTGCCAATCTCTTTTATTTTGTATATCTAGACCATTTATAGTTAATGTAATTAATTATGTGTTAGAGCTTAATTCTGCCATTTTCTTTTTTGTTTTCTGTTTATCCTCTTTGCTTTCCATTTTTCTGTTTGGTTTTTCTTACCTCCCTGTGGCTTTCTTGAACATTTTTTAAATTTCATTTTTATTTTTCCATAGCATTTGAATGTATCTCTTTGCATAGCTTTTTTTTTTTTTTAGTGGTTGCTCTAGGTATCGCATTAAATGCATGTAATTTATCACAGCCTGCCAGTTTTTCATTTACCAGTTTGAGTAAAGTACAGAAACCTTACTTTCCTTTATGTTCTTTTACCCTCCCCGACTTATGATATAGTTATCTTGAGTATTTCCTGTGCATACGTTTAGAACCACATCAGATAGTGTTACAATTTTTGTTTCAACCATCAAAGATAATAGAGAAAACTAAAGAAGTTAAAAAAAATTTTATTTTATTTACCCATATTTTTGTTTACTGGTGGTTCTTCCTTCTTTCTTGATGTTACAAAGTTTCTTCTTTTATCATTTCCTTTATTTTTATAGTATTTCCTGTAGCCATTCATTTAGAGTAAGTCTGCTGAAAAATCCTGTTAGTTTCTCTTCATCTGAAAATGCCTCCATGTCCTCTTCATTCTGTTCATTCTGTTTTTAATTGAATATTGACAAATGATAATTGTATATATTTATGAAGTACAAAGTGATGCTATGATGTATGTATACAATATGGAATGATTGAGTTAAGCAAATTAATATATTCATCACCTCAAATACTTACTATTTATTCCTCCTAACTGAACCATTGTATGTTTTAACCAATATCTTCCCATATTCCCAAACCCCAGACTCTGGTAACTATCATTCTGCTCTCTATTCCTATTATTTTAGATTCCACATATAAGTGAGAATATGCAGTAGTTGTATTTTTGTGCCTGGCTTATCCCCTTCGTTCTTGAAGGATATTTTTATTGATGATGGAATTCTAGCTTGGCATTTCTTTATATTCAGCACTTGAAATACATTTTGCTGGTTTCTTATGTGCAGACAATGAGAAATCAGTTGCATTTGAATCATTTTCTTCTATAGGTAATCATTTCTTCTTATAGGTAATGCATCATTTCCTTCTTCCTGCTTTAAAGATATTTCTGGCCAGGTGCGGTGGCTCATGGCTATAATCCCAGCACTTTGGGAGGCCAAGTTGGGAAGATTACTTGCATCCAGGAGTTCAAGACCAGCAGTGAGATCCTGTCTCTGCAAAAAAAAAAAAAAAAAAAATCAGCTGGGTGTAGTTGTGTGTGCCTGTGGTCCTTGCTACTCAGGAGGCTGGGGCAGGAGGATGGCTTGAGCCCAAGAGTTTGAGGTTACAGTGAGCTATGATCACATCACTGTACTCCAACCTGGGCAACAGAGTGAGACTCTGTCTCTTCAAAACAAAAACAAACAAAAAAAAAGGAGATCTTCTGTGTTAAGTTTTCAAAAGTTTGCTTGTGACATGCCTTGCTATAGATTTTTGGAGAGATTATTCTATTTTGGAGATTTATAGATTTTGGGGGAGATGATTTGTATTATTCACACAGCTTCTTGAATACATAAGTATGTCTTTTTTAAACTAATTTTTCAACTTGAAGTATATTTGACAAAGACTGTATACATTTAAGGTGTATAACATGATGATTTAATATATATGTGTGTATATATATAAATTCACCTTAAACTAATTAACATATTCCTCACTTCAGATAGTTACCCCTGTCTTTCTTTTTTGTAGGTATGTGGTTTGCAAAATTTGGGAAGGTTTCAGCCATTATTTTTCCAAGTACTTTTCCATTCCTGTCCTTTGTCTTCTGTTCTTCTGGGACTCCTAGAACATTTATACTAGATCATTTGTTACAATCCCACAAGCACTGAGACTGTTCTCTTTATTGTTTTCAGTGTACTTTCTCTCTGTTGTTCAAATTGGGTAATTTCTACTTTTCAACCTGCAAGTTCAATTAATCTTTCCTCTGTCCCTCTGTTTTGCTGTTGAATATATCCTTTGAGATTTTTATTTTCAGTGATTATGTTTTTCATGTCTAAAACTTCCATTTGGCTCTTCTTTATATCTTCAATTTTCTTGCTTGAACTTTCTATATTTTCATTTGTTTCAAGCACATTTGTAATTACTCTTTGAAGTATTTTTACAATAACTGCTTAAAACTCTTCATCAGGTATTTCTAACATCTCTGTCTTCTCGGTGTTGGCATCTATTAATTGTCTTTTTGCATTTGATTAGGTATCTTCCTGGCTCTTAGTGTGTCAAATGGGTTCTGGTTAAAACCTGGATATATTTAGTATATAAGATGCTGGATCTTATTTGAGCCTTCTGTTTCAGCTGACTTCTGTTCAGCTCTGGCAGGGGAAGGAGAGCGTGTCACCTTGTTACCACCAGGTGGGGGTATATGTCCACATTGCCTCCTGGGCGTCCATTGGCACCTAGGTAGGTGGAGCTGGACAGAGGTGAGAGTCCTCTGTCCCCACCAAACCTCCATTCATACCTTTCTGGCTGGGAGGGGTAGAAAGGTGCTCATTACTGCTTCCCAACTGGCCTCCACTGACACAAATGGGTAGAAAGTGGGGGCTGGGGGGGCACTGACGCAAACGGGTAGAAAGTGGTGGGGGGCGTTGGTTTCATTACCACTGGGCAGGTGTGAAAGTCCTGACTCTCCACCAGGCCTCCTCTGACACCACCCCAGCAGGGATGCACAGGGTGGCTTCATTATTGCTGGGTGGGAGTACAGGAGCTTTCTACTGACACTGCAGGCATGGATGCCTCATCACCACCTGGAGCAGATGAAAGTCTCAGCTTTCTACCTGGTCCTCTCTGACACCATTCCTGCAGGGGAGTGCAGCACCTCCTTACAGCCTCAAGAGGGTGGAGGTCTAGCCTCCCATGTAGCCATTGCAAGTATGGGGGTTGGGGGTAGCCACAGTTTTTTCTGTGGTGTTTGGCTAGAGTAGAGCCATTAGTGTCTGAAAGTCCCCTGTCTTGTTAGGCTGCCTCTTTCCTGGTCCTTTGGCTACAGACAGCAGGAATTGTATTGTCTGCACCCATTGGCATTTCTTGGTCACTGGTTTCTTCATCTCTAAGACACCTCTAATGACACCACTGTGTCATTTCCTTGGGTCTTAAGGTCCCTAGAAAATCTGCCTTCTTTCCATTTTTCAGAGTCCTTTTATGTTTGTTTTATAGACAATGTCCAGGGGGTTTATTGTACACAGCAGAAGGAGTAAAGAAAAGTATATCTATTCCATCTTCCCAGAACTGATTATATCTATTTTTGTTTACCATTATATCTTCAACAGCAAACCAAGTTTCTGGTACAGAGTAGAAGACCCTGTGTAAATAGTTGTTAGATTCATTAGAATCGATGAACACAACTAAATCCAATTTCTCCCAGGATTTAAGTAAGCCTCTTCCACATGTAAGCCTTTGGTGGATCTAGGCTCTCTCCTAGTCTATAAAGGGGCTCCTTTAAGAATTAAGTGACTTTCATTTTCTGTAGCAGGTGCATCCCTGAAGATTTGTGTATCTGTCAGGTTGAGGTAATCATAGAACCAACATTATAGGTTGTGGTAAGGATTAAATAAGGAATCCACATAAGCACTTAGAAATACCTCTGTCAAGTTGTAAGCTCTCAATAAATACCATTGTTGTACAAAAAGCTGAATTTTTGTCAGTTGGATTCCATTTCTTACTGATTTGCCTTATCATTCTAGAGGCGATGTCACTTCATTTCTGACTCATTTTCAACTTAGCATGGTCCCCAATGCTTAGTTTCTCAGCCTTCCTCACGGTCTTTGTGACAAGCCATCGGTAATCTACAAATGGACTGGCAGTTGGTGCAGCTAAGGGTCTTTAGAATTCATTGAATTCTGCAGTTCCTTCTTTTGTTCAGCACTTACATCACTCCCTAATTGTTCCATTTTATAAACTCACATATTTGTTTCTTGAATTCTGCATGTTTGGAATTGAGCATAATTAGCTCTTACATCTACATGCTACATTTTATACAAGCTTTCCATTAGCTCTTACATCTACATGCTACATTTTATACAAGCTTTCCATTGGATCATTGTAGGTGGCACAGGTATAATAATATCCCTTTTCTCTGTTGATAACTATCATCATAATAATAACAAAAGTGTCTGTTTGTGGAGCATTTACTATATACCGGCCCTTTTTTCAAAGCTTTACCAGCATTTTCTCAATTAATCGTTATGAAAGAGCTGACATAGAGGCCCTCTCACTATTCCCATTTTTCTAATGAGAAAACTAAGGTTTAGAGAATTCCATAACTTGATTACGGTTATAAGGCTACACTGTGCTGGAGCCAGCATTCCAACCCAGGCCTGTTGGAGGCCCAGCCCAGGGCTCTTGCCTGGGGAGTGGGGCCACCTTCTTCAGCAACAACCACCACCACACAAATCAATAAGATTTCCCCAGAGACACCCTCTTTCTAGAGGTAAAGCAGTTTAAATCCTGAGGAAATCTGGCTCATGGAAATAAAAAATTCAAAAGGGCTAACAGGAGGAGATCTGAGTTCTGCTTAATTGACCTGGTGTAATTATTTCCATTGAATTGCTCTCCATCTGGGGATAGATATTTACTAAGCAGACTGGCCCAGTAGCTCCCTTCCGCACCTGCTTTAGTCTGGAGAAAGTTAATTGCATGGAAAGTTTTCATCTAAATCACTGAGTTTCTTATCCCCAACAATGCCAGGAAAACACACACACACACACACACACACACACACACACACACACACACACAAAGTGTCTTATGCCAATAAGAGCTTTGCCAGAAGGACTTTCCCTTAGCTCATGGCTGCTCCTGAATGAAAAGACTCAACCCATTTGGGTCTCAGTACCACAGTTATTCCAAATAGCCAGAACAGGCCTCTCTGCACTATAGAAAGCACAGTGCAATAAGCAGTGTGATCTCTGGACCACCCAGACCAAAGAAAGATGCCCCCATCTCCACCACCAAAAGAAACAAACCAGGAATAAGAGTCAGGAAAAACATGCTTGGCCAAAGTTGCCTTTTCCTGTTTGTGAACACAAGGAGAAGATAAATTATAGCTTCTGTTAGTAACGTAATTACTTTAATTAAAATTTAGGGGGTTGGAAATGTTAGTTCTGAATGTCAGATTTCCAGTGATGTGTGTGAAGCCTGGGAGAATAGAAATACAGCCCTATAAATAACTAGCATATTATAACTGGAGCAGTGTGTGCTCTTGTATTCACTTAGAGTTAGAACAGCAATTAAATGATAACCAGGATTCCATTCTCTGCTCTCCCTTGTCTCTGCCCTCATTTCACGCCCAGGTAACAATTGTATGCACAAGACTATGGTGGCTTTCCCCATTCCCCATAAGCAATAGTCATCCTCCAAAGCTCTTCTCAAATAATTCTTTGAATCCTTTCCTGAAGACTCTGTCCCACAGAAATCCTCCCATCCTAATCAGCCACTGTACAGTACTTGTTTTCTGCACCAAGTGTTTTCTCTCTTAATTGGACTGATTTCAGCTTTGTGCACCAGTCTGTCATATACAGCCTTCTAATTGTGTCGTGTCTCCCTAACAAGATTATAAGCTCTCAGGAGGCACTGTCCTATGAAAGCACAGGCATTTAGAGCTGGAGGGATCTCAGAGACTATACTGCAGGTGAGAAAACAGGTTACACAGCTAGTCAGGGGGCTAAGCTGGGACTAGTGCTCAAGAATTCTAACTCTTAGTTCATTGTGGGTTCCAACCCTGCCCCAGGTCTGTGATTGTTGTTGTTGTTGTTGTTGTTGTTATTGTTCATTTTGTTTGTTTTTTTATTTTTGTAGAGACAGGGTGTTGTTTTGTTGCCCAGTCTGGAGGTGCAATCCTGGCTCACTGCAGCCTCAAATTCCTGGGCTCAAGCAACCCTCTTGCCACAGCCTCCCAAGTAGTTAGGACTACAGGTGAAGGCCACCATGCCTGGATTTTTTTTTTTTTTTTGATAGAGACAGGGTCTCATTATGTTTCCCAGGCTGGTATTGAACTCCTAGTCTGGAGTGATCCTCCTGCACTGGTCTCCCAAAACACTAGGATTACAGGTGTGAGCTTCTGCATCTGCTCTGGGAGATTTTGAATGAGTTCTATCAAGTATCATTTTAGTCAGGCATGAGTGAGAGAGTGTTAGGAGGAGTAAGTTGTGGGGGACTTACCCTCAGACCACCGCCCTCCTTTAAGTAGCTTGGGTCCAATCTCCATTCCAGGGAGCTGGTACCATTAACAGGGTGGGAGGCAAGTATGTCCATAGAAGGAAGGTTAGACTGAATATTGAGGAGGGACTCCTCAATTGAGGCTGACAGGTGACTGGCCAGCTGCTGTTATCAGGGCAGGAAGCGGGTCTACTTTCTGAAGCACAATGAGAATGGCCAGGCTGGCTCGACTTCCCTGTAGCCACCTGATCTGGCAAAGGACCTGGCCCGTACTGAAGAAGTTTCTCCAGCACCTCCATCCTCTCTTTTCTCATCCTTGGTGTCTTAGCTCAGGCTCCTCAGAAGCAGGCTCTAAGTGGCTTATCAAAGATGGTGCAACGAGAGAAACCCATAAGGGAGGCAGGGAATCAGGGGAAGGAGGGGGAGGAAGCCAATCAAAGGTGCAGTTTCATGAAAAGTCCCACAGAGGGGAACTTCACCCAATCCCACAGGAATGCTCTGGAGGGTGTCACCCACACAGTTGTCCCAACCAGAGGACAGGCAGCTGAACCCTCACACTCCCACACCCTCCCGCACCGGCTAAGGACCAGCCAGGGAGGCCTGAGTGCCCAGGCTCCTTATCTTCTCGTGCGGTTGGGCAGAGTGGACTCAAACATATGCAAAAAGGAGCCACAGGTGCTGCCTGTTAGAAGCTCAGGAACACTGATGGGGTTGGGGCATACAATGGTGACAAGGGATCCAGGGACACCTGGGCAAAGCATCAAGAGCCTGTCCGAGTGTCAGTCTCACTAGGACACTTTTATGGAGTCAAAAAGCAGTTTAGACACTAAATAAACAAGTAGCTTTGGCCTTTGCTTTCTGGTTTTATAAATTGGTGGCTCATGTCTCATTATCTGGACCAGAGGAGGCAGGAAGCAGGCAGGGTATCCATGAGGGAAAGACCCTCAGGGCACAAGTAAAGGAATGTGATGGTTTAAGGAGGAAGGCATGCTAGTTAATACTTTGAAATATTCTCCCACCACACTTACTATGTATGGTAATGTGGGAGTCACTAGGAAGACTGGCTGACAGGCTTCCAGTAACTTCCCAGGGTGGCATTTACCTCGGTGTGTCAGGAGGCAGTGGAGTGTACTGTTTAAGAACGTACATTGATTTTGAAACCCAACCTTACAACTAGAGGACTGCAAGTCCCTGGACAAATGACCTAACCTCTCTGAGCCTTAGTTTCATCATCTGTAAAAACAGGGAATGATAAGAATTATCTCATTGATTTGTTGTGAGGAATTAATAAGGTGTGTGTGTGCGTGAGAGAGAGAGAGAGATTTAGTGAAGGCATCGCATATAAGCAGTGCTTGCAGCAGGTTGTATTTCCAAACTCCACAACATTATCTCCCATCCCATATGTTCTTTAAAACTTTGGCATTTTCTTGCCAAGAGGTGAAGTCTATTTCCCTTCCCTTTGAATCTCAGGATAAACCAGAAAAGTTGATAGATCTTACACCTGGTTCACTTGGAATCTTGCTTTTGGAGTCTTAGGGCCGCCATATTTGGAGGAAGCCCCAACCAGCTCACATGGAGGGAACATATGGAGGCCTCAAGTCTACAAAGGAGAGAGAGATGCCAGTAGCCCTCAGCTGCTCCAGTCATTGTCTGACTGCAACCCAAGCCAGAAGTGCTCAGCCAAAGCCCTTCTAAAACTCCTGATCCACAGAAACAGTGGGAAATAATAAAATGATTGTTTCTGATTTAGGCCACTAAGTGGTGATTTGCTATCCAGCAACAGATAACCAAAGCAATGCTCTATGAATGCTAGTTATTGCCATTATTATATTCACCACAGTAATAGGATATCATTCACAGCCTCACAGGTTGTGAAATATGATTTTGTTTTATTCCACTAAGAATGAATAAGGATCTCAGGGATGGAGTCTCACTAATCAAGGTCATGAGGGACTGATGTACAGCCCAGAATGCCAATTTATTACCATACTAGAACTGCAAGGGGTTTAAACATCCCATCCTGAGACCAGATTATTTCCTTCATGTAAGAAATTTACTTCCAAAACTAAAGTATAATCAGTTGTCTAGCAAGCATGAAATGAGAATAAGGAAAGTTACTTGTCCTACTAAAGTGATTTGATGGTATCAGGTCAAGGAATGTCTCTGGAAGGAATCTACCTGCTGGCAGGACCTGACAGCCCAGACCTCCGGCCAGGACATCTTTAAATGGTCCTTGGATGCACTCTGACAGCATTGGCTCCTCTGATTTTCTTTCCAGCTTCAATACAGACCAATTCCTTTTCTGATTAGTAGAGAATTTCTTTAGTCCAGTAGATATTGACAATGTCCTATGAAAAAATAAAAGTTTCATAGTGTTCTATGAAAAATAAAAGAACGTCATAAATTCAAGAAATATTAGATTCAACAAAGTGAAAAGGGCTCATTATTACAGCACTTCTCAGAGCCTTGAATAGGCTAACTCATCATGCAAACCACCAAAGGGAAGATATGATAGGATAATGAACTCTTCCAAACAAACACACCTCCCTCACCTCCAGATTACAGGGTGATGAATGCTGCTTTAAAAACAACGGCAATCAAGTTGCACTCTGAACCAAGAATTATTTTGACTACTTAAGTGGTCTTTGTATATGACTTTTCTGGCCCATTGAGTTGATTTGATAATTTAACACTGAGAAGATTCACCTCATTTTCCTCTTGTCCAAATTCTCTTGAAGGGGATGGCTCTGTGGCCCTTGAGAAGTATTGGTTCTAGTCAGGGAAGTGGAGCATGCACATACTAATTCAGGGAAGGTGCTAGGATAGAGATCCAAAGTACTGCAATACCTACTGGAAATGCCAGCGATGGCTTTAGCGACAAGCAGCATTCAAGGTGGGCTTTGATGTCAAAATCGGAGTTTGGCAGGAGTTCAACAAGCAGAATGGAGAAAAAAAAGGAACTCAGGCTGGAGAAGCAGGGTAAACAGAGACCTGGAAAGAAGCAGGGAACAGAATATTTGGGAAATTAGGCAGAGCACATGGTGATGGAGAGATGAAGCTGGCAATGCAGGAAGAGTCTAGAATGCCAGAATGCCTTGTCAAAGAGTCCAGGCTCCAGAGGAAGGCATGGGGACCCAGAGATAGACTGTAAGTGAGTGAAGCATGATTAGGCTCAGGATCTGGGAAAATAACTCTGAAGGTAGTGCATGGGCTGGGCTATGCAGATAAAATAAAGGCAGCCTTAGGAGTTACTGCAGCATCCCCCAGGAATGTCAGCAGAAATTTAGAAATATATGGTGGCTCCATCACTTCCTTTGTACTTTCCCATGCAATAAGAGACAGGCTATTAGAGCATCTGCTCTTAACAAACATAAAAACAACAACAACAACAAAAAAAGCAGCTCTGTACTGGAGGCTTTTTGAAAAATCATCATCAGATCATTTCAGACATGCAGCTTCACACAATGACAAAACAAAGAGAAACTGTTCCTTGGTGACAGCACATAAGCAAACACATGCAGCCAGCCCTGCAGATGGGAGGATGGGATTCATCCCAGCTCTCGCTATAGGTAGGCATGAGGAGTGATGGTTAATTTCATATGTCAACTTCACTGGGCCACAGGGAGCCCAAGATATGTGGTGAAGCATTATTCTGGGTGTGTCTGTGAGAGTGTTTCTGGATGAGATTAACATTTAAATCAGTAGACTGAGTAAAGCAGTTTCCTCCCCAAAGTAGGTGGGCCTCATTCAATTCATTGAAGGCCTGAATATAACAAAAGGCTGAGTAAAAAAGAATTCGCTCTCTATGCCTGATGGTCTTTGAGATAGGACATGGGTCTTCTGCTTTTGGCTGTAGACTCTAGCTCCAACTCAGACTCAGACAGTAGTTATTCATTGGCTCTCCCAGGTTTCCAGCATCTCTCTAGACAGAAAGATTGGATGGATGGATAGAGAGATAGATAGATAGATAGATAGATAGATAGATAGATAGATAGATAGATAGACATAGATACCTAGATAGATTGACTGATTCTTTTGGTTCTGTTTCCCAGAAGAACTGTGACTAATACCTGAAGGCACAGCCAAACATCTTTCCAGCTATTATATAACTCTGTCTATATATTAATATTATGTCTCTTAATCAATACTTTTCTCTGAACTCTCTCCCACATTGCTGGAGTGATATTCAGTTCTATAATCCTATAAGCCTGCCTTCTAATGCTGTTCAAAAGCACTAGGGTTCTTGCACACCCTAAATTTTTAGAGAGAAATCCCCGTGTCTTCTGTCTTCATTTATTACTGCTGAGTGATCCTGGTCTAAGCTAGTCTGGTCCTTTGAGGGAGACGATCCAGGCTTGAGCCCAGAGATCTTCTATCACAACAACCAAGAGCACAGTATCCGGTCTCTCAGTCATCCACAAGTCACCTCACAGAAGTCCCAAAGTGGGAAGTTGGACTCTTCCCCTCACAGGGCCCACAAAAATCAGTGGCTTGGAGAATGTGAACTATTTTCTCCCTAGCTGCGTCTAGCCTGAGTCAGAAACTTAAATACCTAAGAGGCCCAGCAGGTGGTGCCAATGAGCGGCACCTGCCCATTGGACAACATGATTAAATGGCAACTGACTCTCAAGTGTGGGTCAGGAAGACAAGAGGGAGTGGTAAAGACTGTGGCTAACCAGAAATGCATGCTTTTTTTTTTTTTTTGAGTCTTGCTCTGTTGTCCAGGCTGAGTGCAGTGGCGCAATCTCAGCTCACTGCAACCTCTGCCTCCTGGGTTCAAGTGGTTCTCCTGCCTCAGCCTCCTAAGTAGCTGGGACTACAGGTGCACGCCACCATGCCTGGCTAATTTTTGTATTTTTAGTAGAGATGGGGTTTCACCATATTGGTCGGGCTGGTCTTGAACTCCTGACCTCGTGATCTGCCAGTCTCAGCCTCCCAAAGTGTTGGAATTACAGGCGTGAGCCACCACGCCTGGCCAAATGCATGCTTTCTAAAGGGGACACCATTGCTGGCACTGGAATGTGGAACCAGTATTGACTGAGCATTCAATTTGCTGGTAAAACCCTGAAATCTGGGTTTATTTGTAGAATGTCTTCATTTTTAAATGTTAGCAACATTTAGACTTAAACTCTGTACTGACTAATACTGTTCAGACCAAACCAGACACATCTCTTTTCTGCTTTCAGCCCTGGGCTGCCTGTGTGAGGCACCTCTAACATTCCCCTTTCAGAGAGCCTGGGCTTTCCAATACAAGAGTCTGCTTTATTTTGGCAACACAAAAGTTCCTGAGGCAAAGGAACTCAAAGAGTTGGCTATGTGTTCTTGAAAGAGGTTTTTGGATGCTCTGTGGTAAGATATAACGAACTCTCAGTAAAGAATCCCAACACAAGTTATTTTACAGAGCAGCCTTGGATCTAGTAAAATGTCTGTGGGTCGCCAAAATGTCTGAAGAATTCCTGGAGAAGGAGGGTTATGAGCAGAGCTGACACTCAATTAAAACATACCAGGTTGGTGATGCCAGCTGTTTAAATGTTGAATTACAGAATTCTTTCACTGTTCAGACTCTTGCTATCCTGCACTCAAAAATCAAAAAGACAATTCTGTTCCCCCTCGTTACCTGAACCCACTATATAACTCACACTATTCACACTCAGGAACCAAGTCAAGACTTGCACTTCTGTTTTGGAAAAAAATGCCCCTTCCCTGAGCACCCTAAGTAGACCTCCATCACCACAGCTGGCTTGGCCTTTCCTTCAGGACCCCTCAGACCTTTCCATGCTCTAAGAAACAAAACAGTCACTCCTGGACCACTGGTAGTGTTGCAGGACTTTTCCTTAGTTCAGCTAAAGATGGGGTTCTTTGTACCACAGCCATGAAAATTCAGGCTCTCAGACAATTTGAATGGTGAGTAAGTCAGGGTTTTACTGGGTGAAAAGGATGAAAGGGGGAAACGGGGACTCTCACTAGGCCAGAGACCCTGCTAGAGCACTTCCCACCAGCCTTTCGAATCCCAGGTTCCACACAGGAAGAGGAGGGGCTATGCTCCTTCCCACTGCAAACAGCACAAACTTCGTGAAGCTCCACCCCAGTGCTCAGGCTGGCTGGAGTTTCTCTGGGGACCCCCTCCCACCTGGCTGTCTCATTACCCACCCTAAAGAAGTACATCTAACTGCTGTTAGATTAAGGATAAGGATGAAGTCCAGTCTTAACTGCTTCCTGCTGATAGGGGGCTCTGTTTTAGGGAAACGGCAGTCAGAGCTTCCCTAGAGGCCTATCTAAGGGTTCCCAGCAGAAGAGGCCATCGTCAGAGGCTCCGATTGCATGACTGTTCAGAGTCTGATGGCCTGAAGGCAAGGACAGACAAACCAGGTTATTAGAACACATGTATCAAAATGAAACAAGGAGCAGGGTAAAGACAGCTCAAAAAATTCTGAGGCCTTTTACCAGTTTGCACAGGGAGAGGGCAGCCAAAAGCCCGGCTGTCAAAAAAAAACTTTACCCTTTTGCTGGAATGTTAGGCTTCTGGATTCCCTTCCTCTGAGCCAAATCCTAAGCCAAGCAGTTTAAGGTTTGGAAAATTAACTCTCTCCAATTTGAAGGATGCATCTGAGGGGAGTGTCCCATAGTATAGGGACACAATTACCTATCTGTGAAGAGAGGACAGAGGAAGAGAGAGGGGAAAAAAGGGTATTTTTTCAAAGGAGCCCCAGAGGTTCAGGATGCATTCTAAAGGGGTACGGACTGAAGATGAATGGCTACCTATCTAGAAAGAGGGGAGCAGGCGTCCCTGGTTTCCTTCTCTTCCTAGCAGATACTCTTGGCAGATACCCAGGGTACATGAGGGAGAGAGGAAAGAGCGTCCTCTTTCACTCTTCCATCCTTGCATCCCTGAGTCCTGGTGACCTTGGCTGGTCCCGTCATGAGTGCTAAAGTGGCTTGCACTCATGAAGCAGGGAGGGCCTTGAGAATAGGAATTATTGGCTCTCACCTGTGCCTCTATCCTGCCTGCTGTCAGTAGCCTTGGAGTTCCCTAGACCTCATTTATGCCATGGATATTAACATGGCCTTTATCCATGAAGCAGGAAGCTTGGGCTTGGCTTAATCGGCAGCAATCAGCCACACTCACCTGCAGTGTGCCTTTTAACCTCTGTTGTCATCTGCCTCTGAATCCCTTAGATCCAGTTATCCTTCCTAGGGTTTTGACCCGAAGCTTGGAATTAAGTTTGGGACAAAAATGTGCCTCTAAGGGGGTTGCATGGACTCCTTGTCATAAGCCAAATGCTAAGGTGAAACTGTGGAAGTGAGTCGTCCTCCAACAAGGGAGAGGAAAGGAGGCCTTGTGATATACCCAGATAACTGGTGGCTATAGTTATGCTTGCTAAGATTTGGGTGCATGGTGCTTGGCTTTGATTAGCTCCCTTGGTCTTACTTTCCCAAAAAGGAAACCTCCGAGTGATGAGTATCCTATTTATTCCCGTCACCTGGCAGGATTTGCATGATAATTGCTCAGAACTAGAATATTGATCCAGATTTTTGCATTACCCATCCCTTTTGTTATTTTTGAGCTGCAGCCAGGGATTACTGGTTGGTTCACAGGACAAGCAGGGTTAGTCTAAAATGTAGGTGAAAATTTACAAACAACTAATTAGTTTAGGATTTAATGACAAATGTATGGTAAGTTTTGGAACATAATTTCTCTCTCTACAGTCTTCATGTTTGTTAAAAACACAAATCATCATAGAACTGAGTGGTTTGAAAAATAGATATTAGTCTTATACTTGGCCTGATTATTTGAATAAAGTGCAGCAAGAACAATTATTTCTACATAGGCCTTTTGGATTGGCTTTAATGGAAATTTGTTCCACAAGGAATCTCAGATAAGACCTTTTAAAGCTGAGCCCAACTATGGGTTTGCATCCTCAAACACCTATGAGTGGGTGTTTCTCTTCTCTTAAGGTCCCAAGGTAAAATTGGAGCTCCTAGACCTGTTAGAAGTGACATTCTTTACAGACCACAGGTCAGGAACCCTGTACAGGGACTCTGTAGGCAAGGGTATGAGGCCAGTTTCCCCACAGGGCTTTTATCAGCTCCGAAAGTCGAGCTTGACTCCTTAAAGGGAAGCATACCCTTCCAGTCAAAGCCTTGGCAAAATAACCACTTTCTCCAACTGTGTTCTGTTGCAAAAGAAAAATGGATTCTTATTGCACTGAGGCAAACAACTACATTGCCATAAGAATACTCACGAATAGTTTCTAAATTCTAGAGAAACCAGGAAGAGAGAAACAAAGATGCTCCAAATTTTAATTACAGGAGTGTATATACATTACTTATTAAAGGCCGTAAATAATTCAAAATAGGTTTCTTTGACTCAGAAAAACAAAACAAGGATCAGCAATATTCTAAGCAAAAGTCAAAAAGATTTGCTTCAGCTTCCTGAGTTCAGTCCATTTAGTTAAATCTTGTTTTGCTTGATATTTGTGAACATTTCAGCTCTTTATGAGTCCTGTACATTTTCCTTTATTCCAATGTTACAATCTCTAAAGTTATCAGAAGCCTGTACTTGAGAGCACCTGTTAAAGTTCTATAGCTCATTATAAACCATCTTCGAAAAGGATTAAAACAAGACAACAATTGTATATGAATAGCAAAATGTCCAGGGTAGTTACAGTTAGAAACACGATTGACAAGAAGTTTGGTTATCTCCATGGTTTACAATAACTTAACATAACAACCTTAATTATGATTGACAGCACATACTTTGGACATTAGAATTTTTTTAATCCCATAAAATTTTGGAACATATATTAGCCTTACTCACAAAAATACAGCCTAAAGAAGATTGAGCATCATTTTGGCAATCCCATGTACCTAAACATGTCAAATAATCCTGTTTACCTCTTTTTTCTGAATGTTTCAGGGGCCCTCTGAAACATCCAAAAAGCCAGGCATCAGGAAAGACAATTTCGAAACTGAAGTTTGATTTGGGGAAGCCTGTTAAATATCTTTGAAGTTTAAAACACTTGATATTATGAAATAGAATTACAGATTACCATAAGTTATTTATTTTGCCAAAATGATGACTCAGAAATTTTAAAGAAGAAAAAATCTTTTATAACCCTTTACAAATTTTGCCAAACAGCAGGTTAGCACCTTAAGAAAACCTTGTTATGCCTTTATTTTAATGCTCAATTAACAGAAAAACCATATAATACCCTTTTTTGAATTTAGTCAATATCTTCACACAGAGAACCTCTTCTGTAAGATTAATTTCCACAATTCTTCCAGCACTTCTTTGAATCTTCAGCTTTTTCGTAATTTAACTCAAAACAAACCTTTAACCCTAGGCAATAGTTTACATTTCCATGCCTTCTTATGACTGTTTACTAAAAAACACATTTTACTGTTCTTACACGCCTTGCATGTAAATCTATTTCTAGTAGTTTTAATTAACTCCTAGCAATTTTTAACTTTAAGGTAAAACTTGGTAAGTTGCTTTAATTGTGTGCCAACTGCAGCCAAGGTTTGCCTTCTTAGTTAAGGGCATGGTTAATTCCATATGTCCCCAGGCCTTACCAACTGTGAAGCCCAAAGTCAAATAGTTCTCAAAACCCAAAAAGCAGTTTGTAACCTCAAAACCTTGCATCTGACCTGCGTTTTACCAATAGTCTTTAGTGCTGCTTTTATTTCTCAAAATTTAAAATCACATGAACAGAAAGGTACCACATATTTTATATTCCCTTTAAAAAATATTAGATCCAAGCACTTGTTTTCCTTTAGGCCACATTATTAAAGCTCTTTTCACAGACATCACACACAGTACACACACAGGCAGGCAGAAGAAAACCCAGTCACTGGGTAGGGTCCCTTAAGAGACAGAGCTAGGAAAACATGCAGATATCGAACCAGAAAGAAACTTATTCCCTAAGGCAGAATTGCTAAACAAAGCCTTGCCACAGGAGTCACAAGCCATGCCCTCGGGATGTAAAACAAGATGGAGGCTTGATTTCACAACCAAAACTTTGCAGAGACTACACACAGTGATAGTTGAAGAGAGCTGGCCAGTAAAACATCTCCTAAAAAAAAAAAAAATCTAAAAGTTAACTGCCGACAGGGTGGAAAAGAGGAAAGAAAAGAAACAGTTTAAAAATGCCTGAGGAAGAACCTCTTATACTTATGCAACAGGTTCCTCCACCAGGGAGAAAAGTTTAAGCTTAATTACTGTCTGATGGAGTAAAACCCGTTGAATGGGGAAGGGGTAGGCTCTGGCAGCTTGTGGCTAGGAACCAGCCAGCCAACTGTGTGGGACCCTTGGGCCATGTGTCCTTGCACATGGAGTGGGAAGGGAGTGCAGGGAGTGGGAAGTGGCGACGAGCTGCTGCTTGCTGGTTAGCTCCTGAAAAAGGAAGGAAAAGGCCATGAAAAGGCCCAGGAATGACAGGGGGTCGGGGCATGGTTCCCTCACGTTCAGAAGTCCAAGGATGAAAAGGTTTAGAAGCAACAGTGAGAGGTTTTGAGTCCCCATTTCACTCACAGCTTCTCGAGTCCCACGTTGGGTGCCAAAAATGTTGCAGGAATTTTCCTTAGTTCAGCTAAAAATAGGGTTCTTTGTCCCACAGCCATGAAAATTCAGGCTTACAGACAATTTGAATGGTGAGTAAGACAGGGCTTTATTGAGTGAAAAGGAAGAAAGGGGGAAACAAGGACTCTCACTAGGCCAGAGTCCCTGCTAAAGCACTTCCTGCCAGCTGTTCTAATCCCAGGTTCCACACAGGAAGAGGAGCAGCCAGGCTCCTTCCTGCTGCAAACTGTGAACTTCCTGAGGCTCCATCACAGTGCACAAGCTGGCTGGAGTTTCTCTGGGGACCCCCTCCCACCTGGCTGTCTCAGTAGCCTCTAGGACCTATGGCCAAAATCTGGAAAACTGAGCCTCCGTTTCCTCAATAGCAGAAAGGCTTCAAATTCTTCTACTATAGCAAAGAAAAGGATCAAGATGAAGCTGTTAATTTTCCATGGGAAAGCACTCTCAATCTTTCTTTCTTGCTACAAGGAGGGTGTCATTCATTTGCCTCCTTGGTGTCAGATACATTCCTCTCTTTTGTACTGAAAATGACATTTTCCAGACTTCTTGACAGCTGCCTTCTGGACTAGCCAATGAGAGGCAATATTGGGAGATTGGAGGACTAAGAGAGAGCAGTCAGGGCATTTCTCCCTTATTTCTGCTTTGATTGGCAACTCCTCCATGGTCCTAGTTCACAGTAGGCAGTTTCTGTTGTCCATCCAGCTCCTGTTTGTTGTCCATTCAGCTCACTCTGTCACTGTTCTTTATTGTAGAGTTCACTGTAGTCCAAGCACTATGGTAGGCAAGTGACTAAGGTCAGGCCAATCAGAGAGTAATAAGCTCAGGGTCATGGTGATTGGCTCAGGAATGGCCACATGACATAATTCAAGCCAACAGAATCAAATACAGCTGACCCTGGGACTTGTGCTTGGGCAACCAAGTAAGAATAATTTTGTTTTTCCCAGGGCTTGGCACTGTGAAGATGTAATTCTGGAGCTCCTATGTGGAAGGAGACTTTCTCCAAGTGAAATCAGAGAGAGATGCACCTTAGAGAGATGGAGAGAGAGAATCCAAGTCCTGATGGTATTATTTGCATCTCTACAGCTAGCTGGGTTGCAAGCTTGTCTGATATTGAATCAAGTCGCTGTATACTTCTGTTTCTAAAAGGTTTTCTGGTTTCAGCAAGTTTGAGTTGGATTTCTGTCGCTTGCAATGAAAAGAGTTCTAATACACCTATAACAAGTAAGGCATGATGTTAGTCACTCTGGAGAATCTCAAGATGTGTGAGCTCTCAGGTAGTTTAGAGAGGGAAAAAAAATGGATCCATTACTTGAAGCAGAGGGTGTAGTGGGAACAGGAGATAGAGAGAAAACACAACTACTCTACTTCAACTTGTATTTTGCCTTGACCCTTTCAGGGAAAATAATCTTCCTACAAAGAGGGTAGAACAATGTTTTTGCAGGGTTCAGAAATCTGAGATAAATAAGATAGAAGAAAGCTCACCACTGCTTTGAGTGAGTCCAAATTGCTTGTCCCAACTGAGCCACATTGAAGTGAACTTAAAGGACTTAAGGATGAGAATGTCAAGCCACAGGGGCTACACTTTGAAGGATCGTGGGTAATTGGAAATGCATCTGGATTTTTAAAAATAGGTTTTGTTATCTATAGTCCAAGGGTATATATTTAATCACTGAAAAATTAAACTGTTGGTTTTTAAACACAATGGAAAAAGACAACAGCATGAATCCAAAAAGAAGTTAGGCCAAACCACCCCAATCTCTTTTCTTTAATAAAATTATGAGATGGACATAAGGGAACGTGACAGATAGAATGTATTCAAATGGCAAAATGGTTGGCAGTATTTTCTCCTAGTGTTGAAAATTCTCGTTTTCAAATGGAGAAACAGGTCACATGATAGTACTACTCAGATGATTAATTGATCAGAGCCAAAGAGTGTTTGATCAATGGAGTTATGAAACTTGGAGGGCAGTCTCCAGGGAAACACTAGGAGGCTCTATCCTATTTTTAATTATATAGCAGTGATTATAATACTTACTGATTTTTAAATTACATAAATCTGGGAAAGTTTTGTTGATAAAATCAGGACTTAAAAGGTTATAACCGGCTGTAATAATTTACCTTAAAAGCAGTAATATAATTTTTAACAAAAAAAAGGTAAAGTCATACATTTAGGTTAATTTTTAAAACTACGCAAGTACAGAATGAAGACAATCTGGATTAACTGCATTTCAACCAAAAAAGATGTAAGTGTTTCGCTTGACTGCAAAATATGATATGATGCCGCCACTACAGAGGACAATGTAGGTTTACTCATGTGGGGAAAATGCCCATACTATTTTGTTAAGTGGATAACAACCAGGGCACAGAATACACACACTTGTGCACAGATATTAATAGGAAAAAAGGCCAGAAAGGTAGCAGTGGTTAATTCTCAGTGGTGAGAATACAGATGATCTTATTTTTCTTTGTGTTGTTTCATATTTTACATGTTTGCTGCAATTACTTTTTATAATTAAAATGTCATTTTAGCTTGATATGGATCAAAAGTATAACATAGCTAATAAAAACAAAAGAAATGCAAACTTAGGCTGCATACGTAGAATTATATTTTCCAGAAAAGAGATGTTGATCAGTTCATTCCTCTGTACTGGAACAACTACATCAGGGATAATGAATCAAGACCTGAAAACCATGTTTTACATGGGACTTTGACAATTTGGAATGTATATGGGAGTTGGCAAGGATGTGAAGGATCTGAAGGTTAAAGGAACTGGTGAGTATGGCCTGTAAAGAAAAAATATAATGGTCTACATTTGCTTTCTTCATATACATTAAAGGCTCTCGTATAAAAGGGGCAATAGATTTGTGACAGATTGACGATGGCCACAAATTCTTTGACACTCATTCCCTTAAAAGGTGAGAACATATATCCCCTCCCTTTGAAAGTGGATGGTCTCTGATCAACAGACTGTGACACAAGTGACCTTATGCCAGTTTCCAGGCCCAGGCCTTAAGAGACTGGCAGCTTCCATATTCCATATTCCATATTCACTGGCAACACCAATTCTGATGCAGCCAGTGGCCATATTAGAAGCCTGCCTACACTATGACCTCCATGCTATGAGGATGCCTATGCTAGCCACATAGAGGTGCTGCATAAAGTAACTGATGTCTGACCAGCCCCAGATGATCCAGCCATCCTAGTCCAGGCACCAGACATGTGAGTGAAGAAGCTTTCAGATGACACCTTCTGGGTGGACCCATATAAAGGATTACAAACAAGAACCACCCAGGTGAGCCCATCAATTCCAGAATCATGAGATATAATAATAAATCATTATTTTAAGTTATTGAGTGTTAGGATAGTTTGTTACAGAGCAGTAGAAAACTGAAACTCTTGTTATATCTAGCTTGATCTTAGTATAACAAGTTATAGGAGACCCTTGGTGGGGTTTTATGTAAGAGAATAACCATTGATCTTGTGTGATAAGGACTCTGACAATACAACATGGGATTTATGAGGGGTTTGTGGCACCTGAGTCAGTTCAGGGATGACACCTCAAAGTTTTGTTACAAGCTGCTAGAAACTACCACCGGCAAAATAAGACCAAACCATAAAGATAATAGAAGTTGGCTCCATCCTTAGGGATTCCCGCATGGAAAGAGAATCATGAGGAGAAACAGGAAACATAGGGAAATGGTGGGTGAGTCTTCACTAGTGAATTGAGACTAGTTACTGGGCTAGTGTACCTGCTGAGGAAAGTGATGGAGCACTTCTTCCTACTTTGTCAGGAGCGTGCTATCCTACTTTTCTACTTCTATTGATATTTCTTCTCCTTGATATTGAGTCTAAGAGGCGTCAGATCCCAAGTTTAGGGGACTTACCTACCCAATGCATGAAAATGAGTTTCACTATAAGAATTCGGAGATAGTATCTAGGAGGAGGGAGAAGAACTGCATGCTTCCAGAGCATCCTGGCCACAGCAATCCAAAAAAGAGGAGTACCAGAATGTTTTTTAGCATTTTCCCAGGAATGTATTCTGTATACATATTAACTGTATACATATTACATATCTTCAAGACAAATTCTCTCAGAAAATTCACCATAAGAGTACAGTATATTTTACTTCTATATCTACTAGCATATTGTTGAAGAAGCAGCACCTGCTTCAACTGTGGGTTGGCCAAATACGTGGGCGTTATGTCTGACCTTTTCTTTCATCCACAACGCTAAGTTTTGGAGTTGAGTCATCATGGAGCATTCTCTAAGTTTTTCCTCCATAATTTTCTTTTGCAATACCCCTGCTTTTTTCATTCTAAGCATTTATTGCAATGTATAAAATGTATATGTCTTTTCTTGTTCTTTCACTGGCTTTTGCCCCACTAGCCTGTAAGTTTGTGAGGACAAAGACTATGTCCTTGTTCACTGCTATATTCTCAGCACATTGGGCTATACCTAAGACAGTTAAGACATTCAGTAACTATTTGTTAAATTAATAACCAGACTTTTTTTCTTGCTCTCCCTGTTTTTAAGTCCAAGATTCATTTACTGGACACATATTTGAGAAACTTTCCACACACATCAAACTCAGAGAGAAGGGAGAAATAATGAAACTGCAAGAAACCAATCATCAAATTTTCAAAGTTTGGGCTTGATACGTATTCACAAATAACCAAGGGACAGCCACAGAATGGTAGATTAATAATAAATCACTTTCACTGTGATTAATGTTGCTATTTTACCAAACATTGTCATTTAGTCTCTTTTGACGGGACACCACCAAATAGAGGAGAACAATATGACCACTGTGTAGCTGGACAAACTATAACAAGTTTACAATCTTTTGAGTGCTGGATATTTCTGTTCTAGGAATTCATATTTAAATCAGATTTTGAACAGATGAAAGGAATGTACAATTAAAGTTAGCTTGAAGAGAGAGACAGGCAATTTTGCCCCCATGGAAAACAACTGGGCCTTTGGCAGATGCCAGTATTTTGGGAAAGAGGGGCTAAAATTGGGAGGGAAGAGCTGTCAGTCTTTGTACCACTTTCAGATCATCAGTAAGTGCGATTCTGTGGGCTTATTACAGCCCAGAGGAGCCATGTAGCTCAAGATGAAGATTTCCATATGGTGATGCAAATTAAAACCCTTCTGCAGAGGTGTCTGAAAAGAGCCAATCACTTGGAGAAATGCTCGGAAACTGTTTGAAGAAAGGAAAGTTCGGTGAGAGGAAGGAGGTAAAATGTCTTTGGCTAAAATGAAGTTGCTACTGTTGTTGCTGAAGACGTTTTAACAGCATTGGGTTCTGAGCCGTGGTCACAGAGAACAAAGTGCTGGGTCTGTTACTTTTATCACTCAGCACATTTAGCACTAAAAGAGAAATGTTCCCTTCTTCCACTCTGTCTGGTTTTAAGATCCCACCTGATTTTCCTTTGCATCTCTACTATTTTATCTCCTCACTGCAAGGGTATGGGTCTGTCTTCTGCACCTCAAATGCAAGGTGAGTTTCTTCCTGTTTCCCCTCTAGTTCTTGAATCTAATTTACAAACGACAGCTTGTATGGTGCTTTATAGTTTGCTAAACATACCCACATACCTTGTCTCACGGAGCCTTCATGATAATCTTTTAGGAAACTCAATGAGGAAAGAGAAAAAACATGAATAACTCCTAAGGGTACGGTCGTTGGACCTAGAAAGAGCTGAGTTTGATCCCCTGCTCCCTTGCTTCTTAGCTGTGTGACTTCAGCAAGTTACTTAACCTTTCTGTGTCTCAATCTCCCTATCCCAGGCTTTTAGTCTAGAAAGTGATATGGAATTTGGCTAAAAAGAATTAGATTCTAGCACCTGACTTCTTGGGCAGAATCTCTACCATTGGCCAGACATTGACGTTGGGCAAGTTATTAACAGTCAACATTTCTGTGCCACAGTATCCATATCTGGAAACTGGAGATAATGATAGTATCTTTTAACCAGAAGCTGGTTGTTAGGATTAAAGAAGTTAATATGTAGAAAGAATTTTAAAAAAAAAACCTGGCATGCAATAATCACTGTGTAAGTTTCACTGTGATAGTCATTATTTCTAAAAATATATTTTTTGACCTGCTAATAAAAGTAACACATCAGCATTGTAGAAATCCTGGGAAATCTCTATCTTTCCCTTTCTAGTTAATTGTTTTTTTAATGAATTATAGTGAACACAGCTCTAAAATATTCAACCAATACCTCCTCTCAATAGTACTATGCTCTCTCCCACCAGGCTGTCATAAAGTTATACAAGTTAGAACACAGGGACAGATACACACTTCTCCATCAACAACCACACACAACCAACAGAGAACAGAATTGAAATTAAAGTGAGAGTTTTTTCTGTGGCACTGGTTGGTTGCTTGTTTTCTGGGGCGGGGGGTGGGGTGGCAGGGGGTGGTTGTTGTTGTTTTAATTTGGCCTCTCTGTGCTGCTCTCTCTCAGTAAATAGCCACTCACTTTCAGACTCTTCAAAGATGACAAAGTTTCTATAAAGTGTGATGACCTGGAAAAAGACAGAAAGAAATAAACACCTATAACTTTTCCAGGAGAAGGAAGGAGATGTTTTCTCCCTGGCCTTCCCTGTGTGACACCCCCTGACAACACCAGAGAGGCCCCCTTGCCCTCTCAATCCACAAGGTGCCAGGCACCCTTCCCAAACGCCAGATGTAGCCAAATGGCACTTGCAGCCACATTCCTTTGAGCTAGAGGGGAGTGTTTGTCTTAAGGAAATCAAGTATCAGGAACCATATAATTTAACATCTAGCCCAGGACAGTTTTCAGGTGAAAGGGGGGCACAGTTAAGAATATTGCCAGATGGCATTCAAAGACTGGGATGGGTGGCTACCCCAGAGGTGATTGTGGCCACTTGTCCATCAGCTGCAGTCCCAGGTCCTGGGTATGCAAATGCTTTGTTGCTGGGGCTTCTTCATGAGCATGGTGACTACTGGAGCCAAATCCCTGTAAGGGATCCCCCACCCCTCCTTACTCTCCTCCAGATTTTTGTACAATATTACAATGCTTTGCCTAGGATAGAGGAAGTACATGTTCCTCCCAAACAGAAAAGATGTGCACATTTCCTCATTAAAGAAGGAAGAAATTTTATTACAGTACCAAGCCTACACTCAGCACAGGCTTCAGAAATATTTGATGAATGAATAGTGTTCTCAAGATGATAAAATAGATAACGTCAATGAAGTGCTTTCTCTGTGATGGATACCATGCTAAGTGTTTTGCACATATTGTCTCATTTGACCCTCACAGTAACCCCAGGAAGTAAGAGACATCCTCAAATAACAGATGAGGAAATAGAGGCTTTGAAAAGTTGAGAAACTGTCCAAGGTCACAAAGTTAGTGGTAAGTGGCAACGCCAAGACTCAAACCAAAGTCTACACTTTTAACCACTAAGAGCAATAATAAGTAAATGGTAATGACAATAACAACAACAACAAACACTGTGCACCAGGCACAGTTCCAAGCATTTTATATATATTCTATAGACTTACATATTGTCCCTGGGGCATTAGTATTACCATTCTACCCCCTTTACAGGTGAAGAGACCACAGCTCAGAGAGGCTAAATGACATGTCCAAGATCACACAGCTCTTAAATACCTGAGTGAGACACCAACCCAAGCAATTGGGTTTGGAGACTCATCCTATGCCACCCTTCTGCTGTCTCTCAACCTTGCTGCTCTGTTACTTATGATGGCCCAAGACAACATTGTTTGGCTGGGAATTCTCTGGCAGGACTCTGATCAAATTAACATTCAAGCAGACACTGTCTTTCATTCAATGTAATAAACTCTTATTATACTATTACTTATTTGGCCCATGGTTTCCTAGGAATTGTCAAGGACATAGCAGGAGACAGGTACCTTAGCCTTCTAGAACCTTAAAGTCCATTCAGGGCTGAGATTCTGTAAGTGCTACATGTCTACTGAATACCAGCTAGACCCTAGTAACTATGCAGGGTCCTTCCACATTCCCTGCTTCCTTTGATCTGCACATTTATCCTGAGATGTAGTATTATTTTCCCCTATATTCAAATAAAGAAACAGTGACTTTCAGCAGAGAAAGAGATCCCTCAGCCATTGGCCCTAGTTCTACCTGCCCAGGAATTCTCTCCAGGCCACATATATGGGTTAACCAGCTTCACACATCACAGAAGCACTCACCTTTAATTTTTTTCTTAATATTCTGTATGCGTGCACATGCGCGTGTGCACGCACACACACACACTCGGCCTAGCTATTAAGAACTAAATATAGAACTGATTGCTGGGTTCAGTGTTTATTCTAATTCGTGCAGGTTCATAAAGTCCACTTTAGACAAAAATAAGGCTGATTCACATATGTAAAAAAAATCAGTTCATATTTACAAGCTCCATAAAGCCTGCTGGAAATACTTAGGCTAAAAGATACAGCAAATGCATTTACAACTTTACCCAAATGTCTCACTAGCAGTGATCTGGAGGAGGTTCAGAGAGGGCTGAAAACCAGGAGCTCAAATAGTCTATGAGGATAATATATTCTAACTACCAAATGAACAGGGCAATCTGAGAATATTGGATTCAAATGGATTTTCCTGTGTTTGCAAAACTGCTGCAGAACACACCATAAATGGGGCTTATGACATATTTAAAGGACCAGGCTTCCTGCTTCCAATATTCTGGCAATTCTTGAAATTTCTGGGGGCAGACACTCTCCTTGCAACCAGCGTGGTACTACTCAGGCACGTTATTCATTAAACCAACAAATACTATGCCTCCAGCATTACTTGTGTGTTCAGGGGAAGATAAGAACAGAAATGTGGTTCCACTCTCAAAAAACTTACCATGTGACCCCAGTGGATTTAAAACAGAAGTTAGTTGGAGCCTATTTATTGACAGGTACCAAGGCCCACCCAAATTGATTCAAGGAGAAAGAAGATTTGTTGTCAGGAAGGGAAGAATCTTAAGGAACTTAGGTGCAGGGAGCACAGCCAGGCTTTTATCCACTTTTCCCTCTCTCTGGGAGCACCCTTATCTCCATTCTCAAGGCTTTTCTCACCACTTCTTTCTCCCTCCACCTGCTCCCTCTGAATCTATACAACCAATTGGGCATAAAGGGAGCAGGTGCTCTTGATCTGACAACAAAACCTTCTGCAAAGGAATCAAGAGACTGCCCAAATGCTAAGAAACACTGAAAGTCACCCACAATCATGGCTTCCCTGGGAAGGAAGGAGATGCAGCCCTGGGGGCTCTTGCCCCATTGACTGTGCCCACAGGGATGGAGCAGACTGGCTCATTTTGCATGGGCTTTGAAGTTGGTTCCCTGAATCTTATTCCCTCTTGGGAGAAGGGCCTTCTGCAAAGAGGCTACTTTCCAAAGAGGGATCATCATTTATAGAAATGTCGGGCCAGGCGTGGTGGCTTATGCCTGTAATCCCAGCGCTTTGGGAGGCTGAGGCAAGAGGATCACGAGGTCAGGAATTTGAGACCAGACTGGCCAACATGGTGAAACCCTGTCTCTACTAAAAACACACAAATTAGCCAGGCGTGCTGGTGTGCGCCTGTAATCCCAGCTACTCAGTAGGCTGAGGCAGGAGAATCGCATGAACCTGGGAGGTGGAGGTTGCAGTGAGCAGAGATCACGCCACTGCACTCCAGCCTGAGCAACAAAGTGAGACTCTGTCTCAAAAAAAAAAAAAAATCCACCTGTATGGAGGTCAGAGCTGCAGTCACTATGCCTCCCAGGACACAGAAGAAAAAAGGCCTCTGAGGACCTGTACTCTTGAGCCTGCAAGAGAGTACATGGCAATTACACACCTGCCTCAGACCAGAACTTAATGACTTACAATATTATCTACTCTACAAGCAGTAATGGAGAGCCTGCAGCAAGCCTATGCCTGGCACAGGGGGATCCCGAATTAGGAAACATAGTCACCAACTACGGATTCTGGATCCTACTGAAGAGCACAAACATGCCTGGAACCAACCACAATGTAAGGCAGAAGGTGGAGCATGCCTCTAAACAAGAGAGGAAACTAGCATTTGTTAAAAGACAGCTCTATGCAGGCATTTAAGCCTCCCACTCTCCCTGAAAGACACATGTTAGTGCAGAGAGTTAACTCAGGCTCAAAGAGGCAAAGGACTTTGTCCACAGCCACACTGTTAGTAACAGGATTTGGGCCCTGTTCTTCCCAAAACAGTAGGTTGCTTCCTTCTAGAACAATGCATTGTCCACAAGGGATACAGAAGGCCCAGAGAATGCAGAAGAGAAAGTGGCTCCTCAGGGGGAGCGGGCAAGACTGCATTGGCAAGATTTCTAGAGAGTTGGAAGAAGTGTTACATAAAATTAAATTACTAATGTACTTTCAACAGTGTGTGGGGAAGCAGATGTTGGAAGATTTGTTTGAAGCAGGCACAGTACGTGATTGACGATGATAAAGACAGCCTAGGAAGTACCAAGAGCAGACCCCAAAATAGCACTAAATGAGGCCACTTAGCGTAGAAGCAAATAGATCTATATCCTCACCCAGCCCCATATTACAGTGTTATATGGTTAGTGTTTCTAATGATACTTCTGGATTATGAAGAACTTGATGAATTGCACTGACATGTTGTCTAAGGTAACTAGAATGTGCCGTCAGGACTCTCTTTCTTGGCTCTGAATGGATCTTGGGCTAGCTGTGTGGTCTTGCACAAGTCAGTTAATTCCTCTGGACTTCAATCACCTCACTGAAAAAATAAGAGCTGTGACAACTCTAAAAGTCTTTCATTGGAAACAGAGTGATCCTGGAGGGAGAAATCATTCCTGCCCATCCCACCACAGCAGTGCCGACAGCCCCTGTGGGAGGTTGCCACATTCTTCCTTCTGGACCACCCAATCCATATATGGTTGTAGGCGCTAAAGACAATATCTTACTGCTTCCTCTTTCTGCTCCATTTCCCTAAAGGCCTTTCTTCTTTGCAATGGCTCTCTTTTGCCCAGGTTGTCACTCTTGATATCACGACCATACATGTTTCAAAATCAGGGGTACTTTGCCACTTACTAAAAAGGAAAAATATATATTACTATGACAATTTTTTTTTTTTTTTAGATAGAGTTTCACTCTTGTTGCCCCGGCTGGAGTGCAATGGCGCAATCTCAGCTCACTGCAACCTCCACCTCCCAGGTTCAAGCAGTACCCCTCCTTCAGCCTCCCAAGTAGCTGGGATCACAGGCATGCACCACCACACTTGGCTAATTTTTTTGTATTTTAAATAGAGACAGGATTTCGCCATGGTTGGCCAGGCTGGTCTCAAACTCCTGACTTCAGGTGATCCACCCACCTCGGTCTCCAAAAATGCTGGGATTACAGGAGTGAGCCACAGCACCTGGCTGGCAAATTATTTTTACTTAATATTTTTAAGGGCACAAGTCATGCTGTTTTTATACCAAGCTAGTTTTGCTATCTATAGGCAACGTGATTTCTACAAAAATGAAAACATGTAGCAGAGAAACCACTGATGCCCCTGGCTTCTACACTGCAGAATGTCAAGACTGAATGCAGGCCTGAACAAGCCATTCTTGTTGTGCTAGAAGCCTTGGCAATGAGGGGAGGGTCTTAGAGTTCATTTTAGTGCCCGTCCCCATTGATTGCCCTATCTCATGTTCAAAGGTCAGGCCAATCCAGATCAGGAACTGTGATTTGGCCTCAGCCCCCAGTTCTGTCCAAGGAGGGTACTTGAAGGTACAGCAGTAGAAGTCCAGTTCCTGGAGCCCTGGAGGTTCTTTAACCTTCAGAGCACACTGTTTATAACCAAATATCCCTAAGGGAGATAAGACCTTAATCCAGGGGTGATAAATAGGTTTCATCTAAAGTACCAACTTTGATCAATTCAGTAATGTCTTCCTGGAGCCTTGTACTGAGAAAGATTCTTAAACTGTTCCCCAGAGTGATATTCAAAAAGGTTAACAATCCACCAATCAGCACAAATGGCCAGCTGCAGTGCTGGCCAACCCTGCCCTGCCCAACCCTCACCCTCACCCCAACCCTTCTGGGATCTTCCAGGTGCCCTGCTGGTTTGGGTGTTAACTCTTTAGTTGCTGGGTCAGCATAGGGAGGTCCAAAAGGAGCCCTCCAGGCCACAGCTGTTTACCAGCTGATGCAGAAATGGTTCGATGTCTGAACCATCTGATTCTAAGCTCAATATCAGCTACAGCTGTCTCTCAATCCATAGGAAGTGCCAGCGGTGAATTAGTAGTGTCAGCCTTTGAGGGGGGAGGGGAAGAGAGTGCAGCATCATGTTGAATATGTATTTTACCTTTTAAAGAATCCATGTTTTTCTCAGTGGATCATGGGACTAGAAACTATTGTGTTGGCATTGCGAATTTTGACTGGACACAAATAGAGAGTTGAGAGGATGAACCTGAAACATATTCATTATCATTAAAACTTAGTAAAGAATCATATGTCTGAAAAAAATTTAAATTTGCGAAATCAAGCCTAAGGAAATTGAACTTAAAAACATCATTATGGAAAAAAAAACAACCTGAGTGATGACTGAATTCTACCAAAAATTTGAGGAACTAATCCTTTCAAACTCTTCCAAAAAAAACTGGTTATATGGAATAGAATTTCTCATAATGAAAATGGAAATGAAAACCAAAATGATTGAATTTTTTTTAAGAGACAGGGTCTTGTTCTGTCACCCAAGCTGGAGTGCAGTGGCACAATCATAGCTCACTGTAGCCTCCAACTTCTGGGCTCAAGCAATCCTTCTACCTCAGCCTTCTGAGTAGCTGGGACTACAGGCTAATGCCACTGTACCCAGCTAATTTTTAAAACTTTTTGTAGTCATGGGGTCTCAATATGTTTCCCAGGCTGGTCTCAAACTCCTGGCCTCAAGAGATTCTCCCATCTCAGCCTCCCAAAGTGCTGAGATTGCAGGCATGAGCCACCAGGTCCAGCTTCGGCTGGAAATTTTTAGGTGCATCAGATAAAAAATGATCAAAGAATTAAATTTACTTATTAGAATTTACCCTATAAAATCATCTTAACAAAAAAATTAATGTTTTTATTATTCTAATACAAATAATTTTATTTACAGACCTGAAATCAAAATGTACTTGGGGGTCAAAATAGCAAGGAACAAGCTTTCAAAAAGTCAAACTGGGCTAGGATTTGTCAATGTTTCCTATCATTTTGAGCAGTACCCTGGGTCCTCTCTCACAATTAGGACTTGTGTCACAGTCACAACATAAACCATGTGGCAATTGCTGGGGTGCAGGCGTAGGGCATGCCCCCTACATTCCTCCAGCAACAATATGCTGTCACATCTTCCGGGGGAACCCCAATTTAGAATCACCATTGAATTGATACACTGTTCTTGCGAGTGCATGATTTTCCCACTAGAGCAGGAAAAACTGTTTAAGAAACTGTGCTTTAAATATTGAGCCCTTCCCTTATCTCCTTGTGTGCCTCTCCCCTACCCTCTCTACCCTGAGTGATTAAACACCTGTGCCCTGTTCCCCACCTGCTCCCTCACTAGTCTGCTCCATCACTGTCTCTCATCGGACCACTCTGCAATAACATACTCACCAGGCCTCCTGTTTCCACTCACCCTCTTTACAATCATTCTTCAATCTGTAGCTGGAGAGATCCCTCAAAAACCTAAGTCAAATCATGTTGTTCCTCTTCTTAGAGCCATTCAACGGTTCCCTATTGCATGTAGAATTAAGCATAAAATATAAAATCCTTATTCTGGTTTATGAAGCGTTTCACAATCTTACCCCTGCCTACTGTACCAGATATATTTTGTACCCTCTCCTGCCTTTCTCCCCTCTTCTCCTGCGTTTCTTTCATTCCTGTAAATTCCCACTGTAGATCCTCAGCACTGGCAGTTTCCTCTACCTGAAGCATTCTTTCCCTGATCGTGCCCTGTTTGGCTTCTTCTTGACTTTCAGGTCATAGCTTCTCAGTCTTCTGAGAGATCTTTTCTGACCATTACCCCCAAACCGAAGAAACCACAGTTACTATTTCATCCTGCTTTAATTCTCTTCATAGCATTACACCACTTTTTTAATCTGTTTAATATTTGTCATATCCTTCATTACAATGTTAAGCTCTCTAAGAGTAGGGACTAATTTGATCTTGTTCACCATATGTAAGCACCCAATATATATTCATGAATAGGTAGATAATGAATGAATGAATGAATGAGCAAATGAACATAGGTAGTACCTTAAAGACTGCTGAAATTTTAGGAGCCAGTGCTGGGACTATCAAAGAGAAAAGAAGATAAGCTGACTCTTCCTTCTCTCAACCTAAGATGCTGCTCAAATTTGGCCTTTCCCTCAGGAAGCTTACGCTACCCACAGAGGCCTCACGTCACTGCTTCTATAGAAGTAATACACATTTGCAGGTAACCGTTTTCTCCACGGTGATATCACTGATGCCACCGTACTGTATTATCTTCCACATTGTTTTGCTCTGCCTCTTCATCTGGTTTCAATCTTCCCAACAAGAGTAATCTCCTTGCAGGCTTGAACTATATCTTTTGTGACCTTCAGTTCCTAATAGGCACCCAGTAAGTGTTTTATAAACCATATAAGTTCAGGCTTGGGGGTAATCTTAAAGATCACTTTCTTGCAATTCCCATTGTGGTGATAAAAGAGAGCAGAGACCTAGAGACTGAAGTGACTTTCCCAAGGTTATGTGGCCAGCTAGAAACAGGACTGGTCCTCAAACTTGGGTTTCCTGTTCCCAGGCCAGTGTTCTTTCTACTGTGTCAGTGGAGACCTTGTTAGAAATGCAGATTTCTAGGCACTCCTCTCAGATCTTCTTTAGGGACCCGGAATCAGGTACCCAAAGTAACTGTGGTGATTGTGACTCCAGGGACCCAAAGATGACACTGCTTCTGTGCAGGTTGAATCGTATGAAACACCTGACAGTTTTTGACCTCCAAAACCACAATTTCATGTTCGATGTAATAATATTCTCTTGGGTATAAAGCACTAAGTATGAAAGAGGAAGAGACCCAGGGAAGAGATGATGGCTCTCCAAAAAAAAATTAAAATCTGAACAGAAGGATAATCAATGGATGCCTAAGTGGAAATTTCATGAAGACAGAGAGAGCTTCCTTTTCTGGACCAAAGCTGCCCTGAGGTGCCAGGGAGGTTTTGGGGTGTAACCAGCCATAGCTTTGTCCTCAACCCTGAAAAGGTTATAGCAATAATAATCGTGTTTAAAGTTGGTATTTTTTGAGAGGTTGCGCTTTCCAAAGACCACTTTAGGCACAGGTATTAACTCGTCCTTAGAGCAATCCTATTATTATTGCTCTCACTTTACAGTTAAGGGAACTGAGACAGGGAGAGGCTAAGGAACTAGCCCAGGGTTAGGGTTAGGAAGTGGTGGAGACTATTTCTGCACCCACTACACTATTTTGAAGATGTTCCAGGGAAAATTGGATGACATTTGGCAAGGACTTTGGAAAGTCATCTCCTGCATGAAGTGAACAGTTGAATAAAAGACCTCCAAAGAAACTTCCAATCCTGGTGTTTTAGGAGTCTAGGATTCTGAGAAAGGGGCTCCAGTAGAGGAATGCTTCACCACAGTGTCTTTTTACCCAAGCACTCTCCTCCCTGCCTTCTTCCTACCTGCCTTTCGTTCAGGCACACAGTGTTCTTGGGTGGACTTACAGGGGTTGATCTAGAAATGAGGGGTTATGAATTCCCATTTATTCTACAGCTAATACTGTGCTAGGCACTACTGTACCCACATAAGGCATCATGTGTATATACTCCTCCTAACACCTCTGAAGTGGGTACATGCCCTCATTTTACAGACAAGGAGACTAAGACATAAGAGAGGGCCCTGGCCTTAGCTCGTCAGTGACAGAGCCAGGATCGGGAACATGGGTCTGTTTCCAGAAGCCTTTGCTCTTTCAGCAAAACCACAGAATGCCTAGGAAGGTGGCTGCAGAAAAGAGCTGTCTCTTCCCTGTTCTTCTCCAGTGGGGTCTGAGAGCCCAGTGGAGCTAAAGGCAAGGAACGGAGTTTTTAAATTCTTTGTTCAGGCTGCTGCAAAAGGCAGGTACCTTCCACACCCTCAGCCCCTATATCAGCTAAGCCCACAATCAGATGAACTTATCCCTGGATGTTTCAACATACTATGACCTATCAGAAGGCATGCGGTGGGATAAACCATGTGTCTTCTCCAACTTTAATTGATCAACAAACCTGGAAAATCACAAGAGTCTGTCCAGACAGTCCAACAACAAATAAAAGGAAGATCAAGATGTGCATTAAACATTTAAAATCGGGACCTAGCCCAGCCCTCCCGAACTGTTCTTCTCTTCAGGTGGGATTAATAGAGCATTTGCTGAGCCGTCAGCTCCCCTTGCCACTGAGTGAGAACCACTTCCCTGCAAGGCCCAGGGAGCAGGCACCTCTCCAGCATCCTAGCTCTGGTTCCTGCCACAGCAGGGACAGATGCTGTTTCCTTTACTTCCCTTATAATGATATCATTTACCTTGTGGGTTCCTTTGGCTGGTTTTTGTTTTATATGCTACAGGAGTTCTGAATTAGCCTCTCTCCTCTACCATCTGCTGATGAGAATGACGACATTTGTGAAAAGCAGCTACAGAGCCTCTTTTCCCTCTTTACTTAAAACCAATGAGAAGGAGATCTGGGACCTGGGCTCCAGACCAGACTCACTGCTTCTCCACCATGGGGCACCAGGGCCAACTAGCATCTGGGATTTTACTATTAGATAAGAAAAGATACCACAGTTCTGAGGCCAACTCCACTCACTGGCTCCAGCTCCTGAGTCCCCTCTCCGGCTGAGCTCTGTCTGATAAGGCCATGGCCACCCCATTCCCCCTTTCAAATGTCTGCAGAGCAAGGGGCCTGGCACCATAAGCTTGGCATTTTCCCAAGGACAGTGAGGGTGGCGGCCTGGATGGTATTGACAGGCCCAATATTTTAGCCATGTTTTCCAGATTGTGTTTTTCAGAATATTCATTAACAGATGTTCAGTTTAAGTGTCCCTTGATCAAATAAAATTAAACAATTCCACTCATAGTTGTTTACCCAAGGGAAATGAAAATACACAGCCACACAAGCACTTGTACACAAATACTCATAGTGGTTTTATTCTTGATCACCTAAAACTGGAAACCACTCAGACTTGGGGAGTGGATTCACAGTGACACATCCGTGCAGTGAAATACTACTTGGCAATAAAAAGGAAGAAACTATTGATAAACACAACACAGCTCAACCTCAGAAAACATCATGCTAAGGAAAGAAACCAGAGACACAAAAGACAACTTACTGGATGACTCCAATTGTTGTGAAATTCTAGAAAAGGCTCAACTCTAGTTATAGAAGACACAGATCAGTGGCTGCCAGGGGTTGCACGTTGAGGAAGAGAATTGACTATGAAGGGTCATGAGGGAGTTTTTGAGCTGATAGAAATGTCCTAGACCTCAACTGTCATGTTGGTTACCTGAGTGTGTACATCAAAACTGATTAGACTGCACCATTAAAATGAGCAAGTTTTATTGTATGTAAACCATACCTCAATAAGACTTATTTCTTAAAAATCCAACAGGTTAAAACTCACAGGACCTCCTAGAGCCTTTAATATGACATTACGCATTTTATTTATTTAATTATTCATTTATATTTATTTTGAGACAGAGTCTCACTCTATTGCCCAGGCTGGAGTGCAGTGGCATGAGATTGGCTCACTGCAACCTCCACCTCCCAGGTTCAAGCGATTCTCATGCTTCAGCCTCCCAAGTAGGTGGGACTACAGGCATCTACCACATCCAGCTAGTTTTTGTATTTTTAGTAGAGACAGGGTTTCTCCATGTTGGCCAGGATTGTCTCGAACTCCTGACTTCAAGTGATCTGCCTGCTTCAGCCTCCCAAAGTGCTGGGATTACAGGCATGAGCCACCATGCTTGGCCAACATTGTGCATTTTAAATCTTTGAGGAGGAGCTATAACATCCAAGATTTCCCAAATTCACTTGACAAAGAATTTAATAAAAGAATTTTAGAAAACACCTGTTACACTCTTGGGGAAACAAGTAAAAACATGCATTAGAGAATTGCCAATTTGGATAAAGCAATGCCCTCTTCATTGTTTCCTTTAAAATTCAAGTAGCCTTAATACAGGAGCACATTCAGCCTGACACCTTCATAGGAACTTGTTTAGGAGGCAATTTCTTGCGGATCGGAGGTCCAGGTGTTAGCAGGAGCACACTGGGTGAGGAAGAGGGTACTGGGAAGGGAAGGGGGAGCCAGAACCTGACTGGGCTCCCTGCAAGCTGTGGTTACCCATCCTGAGAGGCAGTCCATCAGATGCCAGGGAAATGAGTCAGAGATGAGTATTGTCCCTGCCCTCCAGGAGCTCAAAGCCTCACTTACTCTTGTCAGGAGCCGTTCGGTCCCAGGATTCCATTGCCCATGCTGTTGTCCATGATTTTTCTCTCTGGCTTCTCATTGCCTCTTCCTAGGAGAAAGGAATGATTCTCTGGCTCTTGGGTCCTGTACACTCCTGCAGACCTCCAGCCAAAGTGGTCACCAGCTCTAACTGGCAGGCTGTCCCCAGGCTCACTGATCACCAGAAGGGATCCAGCACTGGCCTGGGGAGTTGTGGTGGGTGGCAGCAAAGGAAGACAGTCTTCTACCTCATTTCTTCTCAAACCATATCCAAATCCAAATTCTCCCTACTGCTGGAGAGGCCTGCCCTGTGGCTCTGAGTCATGAGAAAACCAGACATAAGCGAGCATCACAGGGACAGCTGGAAGGAACATGCCAGCTTTATCAAGTGGACAAAGCCCTGTCCAGCCAGCTCTGCTCCTGCTGCCGCCTGTCTCCCTCCTCCCTCTCTCATGTCTCCCTGACATGGCCCGCTGGCCCCTGTCCAGAAACAGCTGTCTCCAGGGAGGCAGAAGGCACCTCCAAGATTGGGACCGCTAAACTGTCTAATTCCAGAAACTGAGCTCTTAATTGCTGCACTATACTCTTAAGTTCCATCCTCCCCCTCACTGAGGAAGGAGGCAGACCCAGGAGTATAAGAGACTCTCCTGACCTCTTTCTATATTCCATGCACCTTGCCATCATCCAGCCACAAAAGATCCCTAAGCTTCCGAGGCTTAGAAACAAAAGTACACAGGAGACTGGGCCAGAAGCAGTAACACTGACTGCCCTCCATCTCTAGCTCCCCTGATTTCTCAAGGGATGTGGTTAGAGAGGGCAAACAGAGCCCCAGGACATTCTCTGAAACACACCAGGTTGAAGGGAACTTTGTCCGGCTGCCCATCACTTTCTACACCTGCCTCTGGGTGAGAGATTGGGCCCACCTCCCTCTATGGGAGCCCACACAGTCACACTCACTTCCCTCGGCTCTGTGGCTGCCAGGCCTTGGACCACGACCTAGGCCCACAGTGAGATGTATCCATCCCAGACCTCACACATGAGCCGGGAACAAAAAGAATCAGGAATGGCAGAGGGTTTGGCGGCAGGAGCAGCCTCTAGTTTCCAGGGTGGCGGTGCCTCCAGGGTTAGCGAGGAGAAACTATGGTGTCCTGCGCTCAGCAGTACACAGTGATGTCCTCACCAGCCTGGTTCTGTGACATTGGCCGCAACTGACCTCCTAGTTTTCCTAGATCCTGGTAGCTTTCTGAGACTGGTTCTAGAGCCTCCTTACAATTCTTTCTCTAATATGCTTTAAATCAATTTCATTGCTACTGAGAATGCTGACTCCCATCACATGCAATACCCTTTGCCTCTAAATTAGCAGTTGTCAAAGTTTTTGGTCTCAAGACCCCTTTACACTCTTGTTTTTTTGAGACATAATCTGGCTGTGTTGCCCAAGCTGGAGTGCAGTGGCGCAATCTCACTGCAACCTCCATCTCCTGGTTTCAAGTGATCCTCCTGCCTCAGCCTCCTGAGTAGCTGGGATTACAGGCACCCACCATCACGACTGGCTAATTTTTGGTTTTTTAGTAGAGACGGTGTTTCACCATGTTGGCCAGGCTAGTTTCAAACTCCTGACCTCAGGTGATCCACCTGCCTTGGCCTCCCAAAGTGCTGGGATCACAGCCATGAGCTACTGTGCCCAGCCCCCTTTACACTCTTAAAAATTAAGAACCTCAAAGAATTTTGTGTGGATTATATCTATTGATATTTACCATATTTGAAATTAAAACCAAAGCATTTAAAAAAGACACTAATTCATTAAAAACAATAAATGTATTGTACCTTAACATAAACGTGTAACATGTTAATATAAATTAGGTGTTTTTTTAAAAAATAACTATATTTTCAAAAATTTAAAAAACTAGTGAATTGAGCGGCATTGTTTTGCTTATTTGCAAATCTCTATATTGGCTGGCTTAATAGAAGTCAATTGGAGTCATATGTCTGCTTCTCCATTCAATCTGTTTTGATTTCACACATTGTGTAGACTTTGGATAACTCCACTGTTCACTCATGACAGAGATTTTAAAAAGACAAGTGTTTTAGCTTTATGATAAAAATAACCCATGTGAGTTTCCAGAACACACTTTAAGAATCACTACTTGAAACCTTCCAAACTAATTTAAAGGACTGACAAGCCTGCTAAAGATCAGGGCTAAGCTTGTTGAGGAGTCAAATGGCCATGGCACTTTACTGCTGATGAGAAAGTGGGAATACCAGCATCAAGCAGAAGCAATCACACCCCATCCCAACCAGTTAGTTCCAGGAGGACAGCGCACCAATTCTGTTTTGTTCACTGCTCTATCCGCAGAGCCTGGAACCCCTGGTAGGCACTCAATAAGTATGTGTCGAACAAATCGTTGAAATAAATGCATCAATGTATATGTGTGTGTGTGTGTGTGTGTGTGTGTGTGTGTGTGCGCGCGCGCGCGCGCGCGCGCGCATATATAAAGATTCTATCAAAAAAAATTTAATAGAAAGATAAAAGGAAAGTACAGAGACCTTGAGTGAAAAACCACATCCTGGAACACCCAGCCTCCAGAATAGCAACCAGACAGGCGGCACCTTCACAGCCATTGCTGTACCTTGCTCATCTGTTACCCTTGCGACCCTCAGCTGCTCCCCCTTTGTTGGGTAAATGATCACAGAGTGAAGAAATGGCTTATTCTTCAAGCACCGCTCCTGTCACTTGTGACTATCAAGTGGTTGTAATCCTCAAAGCTATAGAATTTGTGAAGAGGCCAAGAAATTATCTAGTTATTTCCAATTTCTTTCTTCACCACAGAACCATTATTTCAAATGGAACCCTTACACCACCCACTGCAGGAGAAAGTGAGGTCTTGCCCCAGATGAGGCAGGAAGGGAAGACCAGAGCTGGATGGAATCCGCCTCCTCCTCATCTTCCCCCTCTCCCCACTAGGCTCAGCCCCATCCCAGGAGCCACTAGCAGCCACAGCCCACCCCAGACACATCCAGGAGGCACACATCCGTGGCAGCCCCTGCTTCCAGGTGGGCTAAGGCTCAACCTCCTTCCCATCCCCAGACTCTGTAAGATACCCGTTGTGTCCTTAAACATTTCCTATTTGTTGCTTAAGCCAATTTGAGAAGAGTTTTGTCACTTGCAGCCAAAGTGGCCTTAATCTAGTTACTGGGCTCTCCCAGGTCCCCTAAGCTCAGCACTCACCCAGATGAGCCCTGCTGGGAACCTGTGAGCTGAGGATGGAGGAAAAGACAACAATAACAACCCATGACCTCTAGCTGACCAGCATGTTCCAGCCTATAGGTCAGGGGTCTTTCACACTAGATGAAATCAAAGTTAACCCCCTTACCTTTCTTCCAGCAAATGAGAGATGGAGAGAATTTTTAAAAAGAACACTTTCATTTTTGGCAAGATCTAAATGCAATTATAGCTCAGTAGATCCACGAGAAAATTGACAAGAGCCAATCCTTTGCACAAGGTGTGCTCTGATTTCATGCCGTCAAATTATTTTTTAAAGGGCATTAATATCACAAGCTGATGACTTTTAGCCCTGAGCAAATGATGCATTTTAATGTTTCTTTACACATAGCTCTCAGCCCAAGTGAAGCTGTCTTCGGCAAAGCATTAGCAAACATTTACATTTCAAAACTCAACAGAAGGGTTATTGTTAGATATTTCTTTTCATTTTTTTCATATATGCCCCGACAGATAAATCATATTTCACATGTTAAGTGGTGTGTAGCATTCCGTTTCTAACCCCTGGCAGATCATTAGAAGATAGTGGCACCTACTTTTCAGGCCTAAAATCTAAAGATTGATTTTGAAAGGGAGGAAGAAATACAATGGCATCATCGAACACTGTTACTTTCGTGGCAGGCAGGCTGTTTTTGAAATGATAGTGTGTTTTCAGGTTTCTTTATTCCTCTGCACAAGGGAGGGTGCCAGACATTTGGTGCCTCGTGCTATGTGAGGGTCAGAGCAGGATCATCAGAGCAAACAAAGCCCAGTGGTTAATGTTTTGTTTTCCAGGTGGAGCCTAAGCCAAAATGAGCAAAACTAGGGATGAATGAGGATTAGGATCAATAGGGAGTAGGGGCTCATTTTTCATTTTATAAACTCAAATGGATTCAGAGTTGCAGAAATCAAGGTCTTGAGCATGCAGTCAGGAGCTGCTGCATTGTAAGTCATCTTACAGTACAGTCTAGACTCTGGAGCAAAGTTGTCAAACGTATCCTAGTGTAATGGTTTGAGCATGCAAATTCTGCAGTTGGAAAGGTATGGGTTCAGTGAGACCTTGTAGAAGCCACTGCACCTCTGTAAACTTCCATTTTTCTATCTGTAAAATGGGAATAACATGTTTACCTGTTACTTTGGCTTACTGTTAAAATCCAAGGTGATAATCCATGTGATGCGGTTGGCATGGCCCCTGGCTCATTTTACCTACACAATAAGAACTGTGGGCTCTTGTCATCCTTCCTTTGTAAAAGAAGCTTCCCGTCCAGGCCACTCCACTATCTTCATTGCTTGTGTTTACTTCTCTCCCCAGATCGACTGTGCACCCTCCTGCAAACCTTGCAAGCCCTTCCAAGAAGAATTTGAGCTAATCCTTTGGAGAAGAGAAACAATAATAACAGTTCTAAAACAGGATTGGAGTCATGGGTTGTATAATTCTATACCTTTACTAAAACTCGCTGAATCGTACATGCACAGTGGAGGAATTTTATGGGTATGTGAAGTATATCTCACTAAAAATAAAAGAATAACCGAAAAGGGAAAGTTGCAAAGATTCGAAGAGATTAGTTGATAAAAATTAACAAATGGGTTGAAATCCCCCATTCTTGACTGCTCCTCTCATATCTTTTCTTTTTTTTTTTTTTTTTTTGAGACAGAGTCTCACTCTGTAGCCCAGGCTGGAGTGCAGTGGCACAACCTCAGCTCACTGCAAGCTCCACCTCCCAGGCTAATTTTTTTTTTTTTTAGTAGAAACGGGGTTTCACCGTGTTAGCCAGGATGGTCTCAATCTCCTGACCTCGTGATCCACCCACCTCGGCTCCCAAAGTGCTGGGATTGCAGGCGTTAGCCACGCACCCAGCCCATATCTTTTATGCAAAGGCCACCTGACATGTCTGCTTATCTCCCTTAACCCTTCTGCTCTGTGTCCCTTAGATGGGACAGCCCATTGAGACTCGTAAAGCAGGAGACCCACCACGTCTCCCTCAACAGAGGAAATCTGCTTCCTGCTCTGGCTCACCTTTCCCTCCCCAGGTGACATTGATGAGAAGGAACTCAGTGGACATGGATGAGCTGGGGAGTTCCATGAAACTCAGACTTGGGTCTTGTTACTGAGTTGGGGGAGAACCATGAGGAACACAAGGTCCATTTTACCCGATGTTTGTGTGACCTGCCCACTTATCTCCCACACACTCATTCCTCCAAAATATTTATCCACCTTGCTTCTTCTTTGGGTGCACAATGGGCCCCAGTTAGCAGTAATGGAGATGACTTTCTCTTGAAAAAATGCCATTTGCTGTGATGTTTGCTGCTCCCATTCTTTTGAGAGCAGTAGACATCTAGATGTGGCTGCAAGATGGCTCTTTGACATCCCCAAGTCATCTTTCAGATGCAGAGTGTCTCTGCTCCCTCTTCAGTCTCCATCACTGACCCACTGAGGTGGGCGCAAACCAGCTTGTATCAAGGTGACCATAAATGGAAAGAGAAGACAGCCCTCCTAGGTATTTGCAGAGGACACACCAACCTTCTCACCTTTCTAGAAGCTGCCCATGGCTCTACTCTCCACTCTGGAACCCCACTACAGGTCCTCTCCCTTGCATTCAGATTGTACCCTGGACTCCAATTCCCACTTCCCACAGCTTTGCTCCTTGCTTGTGTCCTACTGAGTGTTCTCAGGATAAACAAGGTGGTTTCTTGCTGGGGTTTTTTTTAACAGCCCCATCAGCAAAGTTAACACAAGGCAAAGGAAAATCACCAGCCCAACATTGCAAACAGAAAGAGCCTAGGAAACTTCTCCCAGATTCTGTCTGTCTAAAGTTTCCTTCCCTGGGTGACTTCCTGATGAATGGACACCTATCTCCTATAGACCTCTCTCTGATCATCCTCTTCTCCCTCCAGCCAGGGCCCTCTTCCCAAAAAACCCCCTCTCCTCCTAATTGTTAGCCCATAATGAGATTAAGTGTCTAAGGAGTTTCTGGCCTCTGTGCCCTCTAACTAGGGCTTTTCTGCCTTTGTTGATACCTCCAGCTCCATGCCTGCATCCCCATTACCCAGAATCCTCTGACTGGGAGGCATGGCAACCATCTCTGGAATCCCAGGGGCCAGTCCTGCACCCCTGCTGTATTAGTCCATTTTCATGCTGCTGATAAAGACATACCTGAGACTGGGTATTTATAAAGAAAAACAGGTTTAATGGACTCACAGTTCCACATGGCTAGGGAGGCCTGACAATCACGGCAGAAAGGGAAAGGAATGTTTTACATGGTGGCAGGCAAGCAGAGAATGAGAACCAAGTGAAAGGGGTTTCCCCTTATAAAACCATCAGATCTCGTGAGATTTATTCACTACCACGAGAACAGTATGGGGGAAACTGCCCCCATGATGCAATTATCTCTCACCGGGTCCCTCCCACAACACAAGGGAATTATGGGAGCTACAATTCAAGATGAGATTTGGGTGAGGACACAGCCAAACCATATCACCTGCTTTCTCCAAACTGATGACAGCCCCATCTGATGTTCAGGTGTCCAAAACAGCTCCTACCCTTGTTGAGAGTGTGCCCATTAACCCATCACCCAGGTGGCACCAAGGAGTACCTGTCTGTGTTCTCAGCAGGCTGGAGGAGGCCCTCCAGTCACCCTCCCCTGAGGGGTCAGTTCCAGATTCCAGGAGACAAGCAGTGAGCACAGTGAGCAGTTTTCCTTCAGCCTCTCATCATATCAGCTCTCCTCCAGAACAGCTTAGGAACAAAACCCAGGGTGATCTGAGCATGCCCTACCAGTCTCCCTCATGCCTTCCACTTCCAGCCAGCCATGGACCAGCTCACTCATAGCCCTCTGCCTCCCTCTCGGGTCTCCCCTTCTGGGGAGCTGCTCTCTGTTCCTGCAGCTGCCTCAGCAACTCCTGGAGAGTGGTTTGTAGCCAGCACCTACAATCGCTCAAGACGGGTCTGCCCTGAAGGCCCATCCTCACAGCAGGTGCAGGGGAGGCTGACTCACCCATAACTCCCGCTAATTGAGCCTCTGCACTCCCCTGGTTTCATTGGGTTCTGAGTAATTATGAAAGGAAGACCTCAAGCCCTTGCTGTGGAGTCTCCATTGGCTGGTGAGTTGTGAATGGGGAGGGTCTTATTGATCAGGTTCTTATTGGAGCCCTGATTTCTCCTTTGACTGAAGGATCTGTCTCAGGAATGGCAAATATAGGATTCAAAGGCTGCCTCTCACCCCTCCAGTGCCTGAAACAGACATCACTCATGGATCTCAGCACATTCTCCTAGCTCAGTATTCTTTCCTGCACTGCACTCCTGGCAGCCGCTATGACGGTGGCTGGCACTCAGTGGGTGACCTCACTGGCCTCCCTGCCTGGGTGTGAGGTGCTCTACCATATGCTGCCTGGGATCTGCACATATGAAGGCATGATTTTTTTTCTTCCCTCAGATAATCTATTATTTAGTTGGGAAAAAAAACAAGATCTGTTGGGTTAAAATGATTTTTTTTAAAGAACTAGACATTTGGGTTGACTAATGCTTTTTTTTTCTTGAGGGAAGGAAGGCTAAAGTATAGTGGTGTAACCAGGGATGACCAATACTTAATGAATGCCTGTATGAGGCAGGATAAGACGTAGATTTTTCCCTAATGGTAATCAGTTAAGAATGTGGGAGACACCTTGGAAACAGCGACTGAATCACACAGACCCAGTTTAAATTTCAGCTCTACTACTTTGGAGCCACGTTACCTCCTCTTTCCTAAGTCTCAGCTTCCCTGTCTATGAAATGGGAGCAACAATATCTGAAACATAGGGCTGATGTGAGTATTAAATGAAAAAAAAAAATGAAAGTGCCAAATTCCTACCTGTAGCCCTGGCCTCTCCCCTGAGCTCTGACTTGTAAATCCAGCTGCCCGCCAGGCCTCCCCAGGTGGGAGCCTGCAGCATCACACACTTGCCATGGCCGAAAGAGATGCCAGTTCCCTTCTGAGCCTGGTCCTCCCACAACCCTTCTCCTCTCATTCAGTCTCACCACCATCCACACCCCAAACCTGAGGGTCTCTTGATTCCCCCCTTTCTCACTCACATTGCCGGTATCAGTCCACTAGTAGCCCTGCCAGTCCCAACTCCAGTGATGTCCTAAGTCCATTTGCTTCGTTCCATCTCCACCAAGGCCACTCTAGGCTCTCTGGACTTTGCAATGGCCCCTCCCTCTACTGCACCCACACCTGTGCTCCATGGCCTGTTCCTCACAGAGCATCCCAAGGTAAGACAGGTCACACTACCCGCGGGCTTGGACTCCTCATGGTACTTGGAATAAAACCCAGACCCCCTTCCGTGACCTCCACAGTCCTACCGAGGTCCTACTAAGCCTCAGCCTACCTTCCATACTTGACGTCCTGCCACACACTCCGTGAAGGACTGATTAAACAAATGCCTGCTTAATATGCATTAGTCTCCATCTTCCTTTGCTTTCTCGAAGAAAAATGAAAACATTCATATGGCACCTCAGGGTCCTGATAGGGATCTGAAGTTTACCCCACCTTGCGACACTTCCCCACCCCCCTGATCAATGGAAAAATTAGGGTCATCGCCACCACTGCTAGTCACAGTTTTCTACCTGGGGCTTAAGCTTTGTCTTCCAACATCGTCCGTTCTTCTAAGTTCACACTGTTTTCTTTTCATTGTGCACCTATGTGCCACCACACCGCAGAAAAAGCAGGCAAAGCAAGACCTGCGGAAGTAATGAAAACTCTTTGGTGCCCCCTTGTGGTCATGTCTGGTTAGCCGGCGGAGACGGGACTGTAGGCTGCTCTGGCGTCTCTGCAGAGCGGAGCCTGAAACTGGAATAAGAAGTCTTTCCAGGTGCCAATCTTAGAGATGTACATCCTCCACCCCCAGGAAGAGGCATCCAGGTAGAAATGCTTGACAGTCAACTTCTCTAAGTCTCAGATTCCTGATTGTTAAAATGAGTATAATGATTCCTTCCCAGCCATCCGAGGAAGGGTATTGTGAAGCTATACCATGAGATCTGTACTTTTTCTGTTGCTTTAAAAAAAAAAAAAGTGTATTCCAGTACTCAATCTTCACAAATTCTACAATGTTTCTCCTGCCTCTGCACCCCTGTCTGTTCCTACGAACTTTCTGTAATCCCCAAATGAGTCAGGCAGGATGGGAGTGAGGACGTGCTTGAGATAATGTGTCTGACAAAGAGGTGCCATATGCTGCTCGGCGTCATACGAAAATGTACCAGAGAAAATGTCAGCGGCAAGACTCGGCAAGTGGTGAGGCAGAAAGTGGGGGTGCTGCCATCTCCTCCCCCCTCACACCGCGCCGGGAAGCTCGAGAGCAGACACTGGCTTCTGGCATTGACAAAGGAATGGGAGGCCGGGTGAAAAGTCAAGTATCTGTGATTACGAAAATTAACCCTAATCTCCTGAGTTTCCAACTCTTTTAGAATTCCTATCTGGAAGACATTCACCTTTGCACCCAAGCCTACCGAAGTGTTTGTACCAAAGAGGTACTTAATAAAGAGGCAATGTATGAATGAATGAGTTAATAAATGAGTGCATAAACCTGATTTCAAGGAAAGGTTGGCGACGTCTACAGCCTCCCACTCTGAAGCTGCTTGCTTGCTTTCTATTTCTTTTTCTCTTTTTCTTTTTTTATTTTTGGAGTCTCTGTCACCCAGTCTGGAGTGCAGTGGCATGATCTCAGCTCACTGCAACTTCCGGCTCCAGGGTTCAAGCAATTCTCCTGCCTTAACCTCCCAAGAAGCTGGGATTACAGGCGCTTGCCACCGCACCTGGCTAATTTTTGTATTTTTAATAGAGATGGGGTTTCACCATGTTGGCCAGGCGGGCCTCGAACTCCTGACCTGAAGTGATCTGCCTGCCTTGGCCTCCCAAAGTTCTGGGATTACAGGCGTGAGCTACTGCACCTGGCCCTGAAGCTGCTTACTTTCTAGCCCTACCCAAGCCCAAGGACACTGTATCTGTCTCCTGTAAGGCTCAGCTTTTTCTACATGTCTTATTTTGAGTACAGTAAAAAAAGGATCATGGCTGATTTTGTCATAAATGCCTGGATCCTTTAAATCCCTCTCTCTGCACAGCTAATTTTGCATTGTCTGCTATCACATGGTTTTAATCTGATTAAAGAAAATCTGCCTAACAGTAACAGTGAAAATGGACAACTTTTTCTTCCAAATAAGTAGTTCTTAACTCTGGCCGACCATTACAATGGGCTGGAAAGCTTGTACACACATAAACACACACACACACACATACACACACACACACACACACACACCTCAACAGTCAGGCCCCATCCCAGACCTATTAAATTGAAATCTCTATGGCTCAGGACCCGGGCATCGGCATTTTTGAAATCTCCTTAGCTTATTCTAATGTGCATCCAGCGTTAAAAACCCCTTCCAAGAATGCGCTGGCCTTTGCCCAGAGAGCACAGACTCACCAATTATAAATGAAACAAAAGCAAGATTTTATGTTGCCTCCTAGGCACCCTCAGGCCCAAGCAAAGAAAAAAAGGAAGATTCTCAAGCCCAGGAGTGATAAAGAGTTCGGTGTTCACTCCTTCTTGGATATCTTGCTTGTTAATGGCCAAGAAGGGGAGGGGACCCCAAAAAGCTGGATCTGCCTTGACCAGGTTAAACAGAGAGAGCAATTTGGGAGCAGGTTCCAGCAGATATGATGGCGTCAGCATAGGCTTCAGTGTGGTCGTGACAGTGCAGTCTGGCTTGCGTCATGGCGATGGGGAAGGGAGGGTGGGTGTGGGGGCACTAACTGGGTGGAAAGTGGGCTTTCAATGCAAATAGCCAGACATTCAGGGGATGCTGCCTGTGCATAAGGAACCCACTGTTCATTTACAATTATGCTTTCAAAAGCCACTCATATATTTCACACGCGGCACATAAACCTAAATTCAATCTGCTACATTGTAATTTCTTGCTTTTAATTTAAGGCCTCGGGGCTTTAGCTAATTTAAGGGACAATCTGGTGATGAAGAGGAGACCATCTTTTTACAAAAAACATCATTAGCATAAGGCACTGCTCCCCAAATTTAGAGCCTAGTGGTGACTTTCCAAATCTTACCTGTACTTGAAGAGCCTTCTAAGCTCTGCACCTTAACCACATAAAATAAAGTCCATCTACCAGGTAGCAAATCATGGCAATGTGCATCTCTTATTTTCCACCAAACCGTTTGTTCATTTAAAGTCTCTGCACTCTTAAACATTAGATGGCAGCCTTTGAAATTGCAGAATAAACATGAGCACGATTCGTCCCTTTACTGGGCTCAAACAGTGATCTGAGAGGCGTCCTGGTGGTGCTCCGAGAGAACAGCAGTCCTCACTTCATCAACAAGCCCCAAGCTGAGATCAGAAGTCCCACCCCAGGCTCGGGTACCAATTGCTTGTCACTGACAGACAGGAGTATCGACAGACCGGTCCTTTGTGTCTGATGGAAACATGAGGGAGACAGGCTCGGGGAAGTGAAGGCACTGGCTCAAAGGGAGAGAACGCTGACTGGAGTTTCTTGGGATTGCATCAGCCAGATCCAAGCAAGTGTTCTGAGCCTGAGTGTCCCACACAGGGCAAGGCCTTCAGACAAACTTTTGACCATAGCGAAAAGTAAGTTACAGTCACTGACACTGATTTTCTGAGAGCTCATCACTGGGATCTACTGCACAATAGCCTGGACTTTCAAAAAGCATCACTTCCCTTTGTCTCGCCCTCAACTCCCTATCCTCACCTACTTCCCCCTCTGTCCTTCATAAGTGCCTGCCACATAGAGGACACTCAATAAACATTTGTAGCAAAGCTCCCAAATCGCAAATAAGCAACCCTCCATTAGAAAGCTAACCCAGGCAGGGCGCGGTGGCTCACACCTGTAATCCCAGCACTTTGGGAGGCCAAGGAGGGCAGATTGCTTGAAACCAGGAGTTCAAGACCAGCCTGGGCAACATGTCAAGACTCTGTCTCTTCAAAAAATACAAAAATTAGTCAGGCATGGTGGTGCACACCGACTACTCAGTAGACTGAGGTGGGAGGATCATTTGAGCCCAGGAGGTCAAAGCCACAGTGAGTTGTGATGGTGCCACTGCACTCCAGCCTGGGAGACAGAGACTCTGTTTTAAAATAAAAAAAGAAAAGAAATCTAACCCATAAAACAAGAGAGAAAGAAATCCAGCATACATTCTGTTCTTTTATGGGAAGATTTTTTGTCCAGATCGCTTTTACTCACTGTAAGCACTCAATCTTAAACAATCATAAACTCCCTAAAGAGTGAAGAAAACAGGCGTTGCTGAAGCACTGTCTGCACATGGCTGAGTGGCCCTGAGGCCCCAGAGTGGGGAGCAGAAGTCTTGGCACCGCCCTTGTGATTAAACGGTTCAGTGAGTGAAAGCCTCCTATGTGTAAGTCCTGGTAATTCTTCCACTTCCTTCTTCTATCAAAGAATGGGATTTAGTGAAGAAATCTCTAAGACAGGAAGACAAAGATGAACAGGAGGTGGTCTCTACTTTGGAAGAACTAACGTGGAGATGGAAAAGATGGGTGTTTGTTTATTTGCTCAATAAAGCACCTACCGAATATCTGCTGTGTGCCAGGCACAAAACAGACACGGTCTCTACCACATCAAATTTAGAATTTATGGAAACACAAAGGAATCCACTCATCTCACAGACAACTGTGAAACTGCTTCTGAGGCAAATGCGAAAAGGGAGATGTACCCGGTTAGAAGCACCCATGACAGGCAGATGGAGCCAGGTAAGAAGTGTCCATGACACAGAGCTGGGGCCCAGTGAGAGGTGCCCATGACACGGACATGGGGCCTGGCCAGGCTCTCAGCAGAACCCCAGGCAAAGGACATTTGAACAAAGGTCTAAAGGATGAAATGGAGAGAATGTGGTGAGAGGGGTTGAGACAGTGTTCCAGGCAGGGGGAACCATCTACACCGGAGCTTGGGGCACTATGCAGGGGCCGCCAGTGAGGCAAGGAAAGCTGGTGAGACCCTGGACCCCGAAGGCCCTCACAAGTCTTGTAAAAGTAGTTGGGGATTCTCTCCTAAGGGAATAATGTTAGGTTTTTATTGGTGGAAAGGTGCAGAAGTGGGGATTGGAGGTAACCTAATCAGAACTGTTTTTAGAAAAGATGACTCTGCTGCTTGGAGAGTGGATGGGAAGAGGCCACAATGATGTGGGCCAGCCAGGACAGGGGTTCCATTTATGTAACCATTAAGTGGAGTTGGGAGCTGGCCTTTTAGGTAATCACTGAAGATGAAAATCACACGTAATTAACATTATCCTCAAAAATTCCTTAGCCATTAAAAGTCAGTAAAGTGACATCTCCAGTAGGCCCAGCCCAGCCAGCATTGGAATTGATCACCGATTCTTTGACGGAGCCCCCGATTAAGGTAGCTGTGTTTGGGGTCGAGGTTGTAAGATATAGATTAGATGAGCTAGCTAGCTAATGGTTCAACACTTGGTTCTCACCCAGCTTGGAGAGATGATCCCCCGCCTGGAAGGCTGTGGGAACCAAGCCTGAGCAAGGAACAGCAGATTCACACCTTTGATTTCACATTCACTGCAGGGTACATTCTCTGTGAGTGCATTAATCGGCTTGGGCTGTCATCACAAAATGCCAGGACTGGGTGGCTTACACAACAGAAATCTCTTCTCTCACCATTCTGGAAGCCTAAGACAAAGGTGTCAGCAGGGTTTGTTTCTCCTAAGGCCTCTCTCCTTGGCTTGCAGACGGCTGCCCTCTCACTGTGTGCTCACCTGGTCATTTGTCTGTCCACAAGCATCCTTGGTATCTCTTTGTGTGTCCAAATATCCTCTTCTTATAAGGGCACCTGTCAGTGTGGATTAGAGCTCACCCTAAGGACCTCATTTTAACTGAATTGCCTCTTTAAAGGCCCTGCCTCCAAATAGAGTCACATTCTAAGATACTGAGGTTAGGGTTTCAACTTACAAATTTTGGGGAGATAGGCAAAAATCTCTCTCTCCCCCTTTCCCCTTCCCTCTCCCTCTTCTCTCTCTCCAGTAGGTAGCGTAGCATTGCATTGCTGAAAGGTCAATGCACACACCAAAAATATGGGCTGTTTCAAGGCACAAGGCCCATGCCGACTAGATGGCAGGTATGGTAAATGGCTCACATTCAGAGGACAGTGAGTACACAGAGAACCAAGAAGGCCGACTGGTAGGCACAACGGCAGGTGTGACTTCTGAGGGCACATGTGAGAAAGGTGTAGACCTCCTACCAGAGTGGACAGTGCATAGAGGAGCAGAAATTATTGAGTCCCTGGGATGTGCCCAGGTGTGTGTGTGCTCAGAAGCTAGAGCTACTGATAGCAGCAGAGTGTTCATACCGTGGAAGCAGGAGACAGATTGGCTGGAGGCAAAGTTGGATTGGGTCAGTCCTTAGAAGGCCTCCAATGCTAGAGCAGGGAGCATGGGCTTCACCATGTAGATATTGTTAATACATTCAGAACATTAGAGTCTAGGGATGGCACAGTGAGGGAGGAGAGGGGGACTGCTTAATACAAGCAGTCAATCAGAGATATCAGAAGGTTGCAAATAGCTGTAGACTTCAGGGTGACATAAGACTTCCTGCAATGTTCTGCTCAAAGTCAAGGTCAGAAATAGCTATTATGATCTCAGTCTGAATACCCTGCCCCAAAACACCAGCACTGTCACATGACTCACCACCAGCTTCAAGCCACTAATCAAAGTACAAAAAAACTGACCTCATGCTGACAAAAATCAATTTCTGCTTTGCCCTTTGCTTTTTACAAATGATCTAGATTTTTCAAGTGCAGTAGAAGAAATAAGGTAACTTTCCCAATAAGATTATTCCATGCAAGAAACAGTCTCCTTTTCAATAAATAGTTTTAAACCATTCTCCCTGGTTTCTGAATCACACTACTCTCTGAAGATATATAAATATCAGGTAACACTTTTATTTCCTGGGAGTGGGGTGCTTTGGTTTAATAAGGAGGAGAGAGGCAGGGTGATAGACTTCTAGAGATGAAGCAAGATCTATTAGATCATCTTGGCCATTTCACTAGGCCTGCCTGAGATTGCTCCCAGCTGCATTGGCATATTCACTGCTGCTCAGGCTAGTCCAGTTTTAAATGATTTAAGGGTAATATATTAAGGACTCATGACTGGCTATAAAGAGGTGCTTCTTCCTGAGACACCAGCAAGAGTTTCACTGTAATTGTAGATGGATGCTCATCCTACCAGAGGTCGGAAGGCACCTTGCTGTCCTTCAGGCCATACCACATCAGGGCCACAGAAGTCATGACCATCTGGACAGTGGTCAGCATCCAAGGAAAAGTAATGCCATGTGCATTTATCAAAACCTGAAAGCAACCATGGGCTTTGCTGCTGAATAAAGACCTGCTTTCTTAGTGTAACAGCACTCAGTACATACATTGTCATTCTGTTTTGTTTTAAGCCTGATTTGTATACTAGATGGGATGCAGACCTCAAGCAGCTGGGCCTGGTGTTAGGGTAGCAGGGTGGAGTAGGACAGACATAGTCACCTTCTCCTCTTCCCTATCAAGCGTGCATATTGCCCCCTGTGAGTCCTGGGAGCGATCCATCACAAGCCTGGGTTCTCCAGAACTAGGAAGATCCTAAGTTTCACACCACCCCACCAACTCCACCTTGGGCCACAGGATAAAAATGCGGTGAGTACATTTTAACCATTTGAAAGCCTTGGTGGTATGACCCAGGGTTAGAAATAGAACAGGCAAAAAGAAACAGGGTTACTCAACTAAGGAACTAAAGGCCATCAATAGTCTCTACACAAACCTTGGAATTATAATAATCACTAGATTTAGCAAGCACTTATTACACACGAGACACATACACAATCTCTCCTTTATTGGTAGCATCCTAGGGTAATTGCTTTTATTCTTATTTTACAGGTAGAAAAACTGAGGTTTAGGGCAGTTAATTTATCCACCCTTATTTTCATAGCCCTCTCCCTGACCCACTCAAGTAGCAGTGCTTCAGCCACTCTTAGACTTGCTGTCACTACTCTTCATTTGGATCACTGTGGCAGTGGCATCCCATGATATACGCAGATAGGAAGACCTGGACTCTGCTGTGGGATTTATCTGCTACAGGAGAAGTTAAAAGTCACATCTCCCACTAACGTCAATAAGGCCTTCTTTATAGTAAGAACAGGAGAAATTCTTTCCAGCCTCAGTACCTGATATAGCTGCATGTCTATTGAGCAATTAGTTTCTTTTTTATCTTCAGAATTACAAAAACCTAAAACTGATGAGATTTTCCTTTTTGCGTTAGCAGCTAGGAAAGTTAGGGATAAATTTCTATCCCACTTTTAGCAAAGTGTGCAAGACATTCTGCCATGCAATTGCCATGTAACAAAAATAGAAAACTGGTTTTTCTTTTTACTTTTATTACTTCTCTCCTCCTACCCCTACTTTCCTCACTTAAAATATTTTTTCTCTTATTGGCATAATATGCATTTTTATAAGTCACAACAAGTAATTTTTGAAATGAGATGAGATACAAATGTTTTAAAAAATAAAAATATTTAGAGAGTGGTCACAAAGGTGTGTATGCGTTATGAAATGCAGAAATTCATACAGCTACACACTTATGAATTATATACCTTTATGAATGCATGTTATACTTCAATTTAAACATTTATTAAAAAGCAAAACTGATGGAGTAGGTATCTCTAAGAGCTCATCCCTCTACAGAAATATAAAAAAAATCAAGGAAAAACCATCAGAGTTATTTTGTTAGAATGTTGAAAAACACTCCAAACTTTATAGCAATCAGGTAAATGTGGAATAAAGAGAAAGGCAATTTTAAAGTTGCAGAAAGCCTTTGTGATTTTTTTTTTTTGAGACGGAGCCTCACTCTGTTGCCCAGGCTGAAGGGTTCAAGCGATTCTCTTGCCTCAGCCTCCCGAGTAGTGGGAATACAGGCACATACCACCACACCTGGCTAATTTTTGTATTTTTAGTAGAGACAGGGTTTTGCCATGTTGGCCATACTGGTCTCAAACTCCTGACCTCAGGTGATGTGCCTGCCTCAGCCTCCCAAAGTGCTAGGATTACAGGCATGAGCCACCGCACCCAGCCAGCTTCGTGACTTTTTACTTGTGCTTGCTCCACCCTCTCCCCAGCTTGGCAGCGATCTTGAAGACATTAGTTCTGTGTTCCCGGTATGGGGCCCTAGTCCCTGGTTCTGAGGGAGGAGAGCAGACCTTACTCACAAAGAACTGTGTTTGTCTCTTCTATCCTGTCTCGGAGCTACATGAAGGACTGAAGCAAGGTGCTTGTCTTTGTTTAGCCTAATTTGGAACTCACTCAGGGTGGAAAAGACAGTGATCATTTATTGGAAATATTGTAAGACAGATGAAGAACCTGCAGCCACCTGGGGCAAAATATTTCAGTTGATGCATACAACAGAGTGCCTAAAGCCTGGAAAGAAAAGCTGGGGAGAGCATTTCTCTGGGAAATTAGGACATTCAAAAGCTCCATGCGTATTGGGTATTTAAGAAAACCACACACGTTCCCAGAGTAAAACTCATGCTCAGAAAAAGCCTGAGAAGACCCTAAGTTTGTACTTCTGGCCAATCTCTTAAGATCAGTGCAGGCAAGTACTTAAGGCTAATGTAAAATTTTAAATGGCCTGACTAAGCATTGAAGGAATGTCCTAGTACAGAAACAATCTGCCAAGAATAGGAGAGATATTTTTTATTTTTTATTTCTTTGCTTTTCTCTTCTCTCCCGCTCCCTGTCTCTCCCTCATGCCCTTTCTCTCCTTCTCTCTTGCCCCTCCCTTCATGCCTTTTGGCTCCTGGCATTCAAGGAAATCTTCATCAAAACACTAGCTCAATGCAAGCAAGGAACAAAGACTTCAGAGACCATGCATGACAAAGAATACAAACTTTACAAAAATAGTTTAGAAAAATCACTGAACAAATAGATAAAGCCTACAACAAGCAATAAAAACAAATTCTAAGGAGAACTAGATTGTGATTTCCATAATTACCAGATTACAGTATTCAAATTGTCCAGTTTTAACTAAAAATTATGAGACATTTAAGGAAACAAGTATGGCCCACTTACAGAAGAAATGAGCAGCAACTTTCCCTGAGGCAAAGACATTGAACGTATTAGACAAAGACTTTAAAGCAACTGTGTTAAATATGCTCAAAGAGCTAAAGGAATTAACAGACAAAGAGCTAAAGGAAACTAGGAGAACAATACATGAAAGAGAAATCAATAGAGACAGAAATTATAAAAAGGAACCAAAAAGAAATTCTGGAGCTGAAAAGTGCAATAATTAAAACAAAAAACATACTAGAAGTTTTCAATAGCAGGTTTCAGCAAGCAAAAGGAAGAATTAGCAAGCTTGAAGACAGATCATTTGAAATTATCTAGTTTAAAAAGCAAGAAAAAATTGGAAAAAAAATTAACAGAGCCTAAGAGAAACATTCAAGTGCAACAATATACACAAAATAGAAATTCCAGGAGAAAAGAGAAAAAAAGGCAGCTGAAAGTATATTTAAGGAAATAACATCCCAAAACATTCCAAAATCGGTAAAAAGACAAAAATCTACATGTTTAAGAAGCACAGTGAATCAAAGAAGGATAAATGCAAAGAGATTCCCACTAAGATACACTATAATCAAATTGCCAAAGACAAAGAGAGAATCTTAAAAGCAGAAAGAGAAAAGTGACTCATCATGTACAATATATCCTCAGTAGAATTAACAGCTAATTTCTTATTAGAAGCTAGGGAGATCAGAAGGGAAAGAAATAACTTTTTTTTAATGCTGAAAGGAAAAAAAAAATCCCCTATCAACCAAGAATTCTATATCCAGAAAAGAAAAATTAAGGCATTCTCTGAAAACCAAAATCTGAGAGGGTTTGTTGCTAGCAGAGTTGCCCTTTAAGAAATGATGAAGGTAGATCTTGAGGCTTAAATGAAAGCGCACTAGACAGTAACTCAAAGCAATATGAAAAGGTAAGGAACTCCAGAAAAGTTAACTAGAAAGTAAATATAAAAGCCAATATACTGGATTTTGGTTTATAACTCCTCTTTTTATTTCCCACATAATTTAAAAGACAAATGCATAAAACAATAATTATAAATCTACATTATTGAACACTCCAAATGAATGTAATGAATAAAAAATGTATTTAGTGACAACAACAACATAAGGTGGGGACAGAGATGCTTAGAAGCAGAGATTTTGTATTCTATTGAAGCTAAGTTGATATCAATTTTAACTATACTGTTACTATATTTTTATAAGTGTATAATGTTAATCATAATTCTCTGATAATCACTAAGAAAATATCTTTTTAAAAATACACAAAAGGAAATGTGAAGGGGATCAAAATGTTACAGTGTAAAGAATCAATTAAACACAAAAGAAGACAGTAATAAAGAAAATGAGGAACCACAAAGACATAAGACATACAGAAAAATAGCAAATTGGCAGAAGTAGGTCCTCCCTTGTAATTAATTACTTTAAATATAAATGGATTAAATTCTATAATCAAAAGGCAGAGATTGACCAAATAGATTTTTTTAAAAAATCCAACTATATGCTGTCTACAAGTGACTCACTTTAGATTCAAAGACACAAATAGCTTGAAAGTGAAAGGATGGAAAAATAATATTTTAAGCAAATAGTAACCAAAAGAAAGTTAAGGAGGTTATACTAATATCTAACAAAATAGACTTTAAGTCAAAAACTATTACAAGAGACAAAGAAGGACATTATATATTGACAAAGGAGTCAATGCGTCAAGAATATGTAGCAATTATAAACATATACACACCAAACAACAGAGCTCCAAAATACATGACCAAGCATTGACAGAATGAGAAGAAAAAATAGACAATCCTACAATAATAGTAGGAGACATCAATATACCATTTTCAGTAGTGAATGGAACAGCTAGACATAAAATCAATAAGAAAATAGGGGGCTTAAACAAAACTACAAAGAGCTCGACTGAATAGACACAGATAGAACACTTCCCTCAACAACAGCAAAATGTATCATCTTCTCAAGTGCACATAGAAAATTCTCAAGTATAGACCACATGTTACGCCACAAAACAAGTCTCAATAAATTTATAAGGATTGAAATCATACAAAATATTGTTTCTAACCACAATGAAATGATGCTAGAATAACAGAAAGAAACCTGGAAAATTCACAAATACGTGGAAAACAACATACTCTTAACCAATAGGCCAAAGAAGAAATAACAAGAGAAATTAGAAAACACTTAGAGTTAAATTAAAATGGAAAGACAACTTACCCAAACTTACAGGATATAGTTAAGCAGTGCTCAACAGGAAATTTATAGCTGTAAGTGTTTACATTAAAAAAGAAACATCTCAAATCAATAACCTAAATTTACATCTTAAGTAACTAGAAAAAGAAGGCAATACTAAACCCCAAACCAGAAAGAAGTAAATAAAGATTAAAGTTAAGATAAATAACATAGAGAATAGAAAAATTAGAGAGAATCAGCAAAACCAAAAATTGGTTTTTGAAAACATCAACAAAATTGACAATCTTTCAGCTAGACCAACTAAAAAGAAAGAAGAGAAGACCCAAATAACTGAAAATAGAAAGTAAAGACATTACCACAGACCTCATGGAAATAAAAAAAAATACTATGAACAATTTGATACCAAAAAATTAGATAAACTTAACATAAAGTACAAATTCTTAGAAACACACAAATTGACAAAACTGACTCCAGAAGAAATAGAATCTAATCAGACCTATAAAAAGTAAAAATTGTAAAAATTGAATCAGTAATTTTAAAGGAATAAATAAAACAAAACTCCCAAGAAGAAAAATTCAGGACCAGATGGGCTTTGCTTGTCAATTCAATCAAACATTTAAAAAAGAATTAACAGCAATCTTTCTCAAACATCTATAGAAAATACAAGAGGAGAGACCACTTTCTAACTCATTCTATGAGGATAGCATTACCCTTATACCAAAGTCAGAAAGACACCACAAGAAAACTATAGGCTAATAACTCTTATGAACATAGATGCAAAAATCTTTAAGATACTATCAAACTGAATCAAATAGCATATTTAAATAATTATAAAAATTCCATGACCAAATGGGATTTATCCCAGGAATGCAAAGGTGATTCAACATAAGAAAATCAATCAATGTAATACACATTAATAGAACAACAACAAAAAAACTGAACCACTTAGTCATCCTAACTGATGCAGAAAAAGTAGTTGACAAAATCTAACATTTTTTGATTTTTAAGAAAATACTCACAGAAAAGTAGGAATAGAAAGAACTTCCTCACATAATAAAGGGCATTTATGAGAAAACCACAGCTAACATCATACTCCATTACGAAAAACTGAAATCTTTACTCCTAAGATCAAGAACAATACAAAGACTCCTACTTTTACTACTGTTATTCGATATTGTACTGGAAGTTCTATACAAAGCAATTATAAAAGAAATAAAGCATAACCATCAATAGCATTTCTATACACTAACAATGAACTTTCCAAGAAATAAATCAAGAGGGCAATCCCCTTTATAATAGTTACAAAATAACATATAATACCTAAGAAAAAATTTAACCAAAGAAGTGAATTACTCACTGAAAACTATAAAACATTGATGAAAGAAATTGAAGAAAACACAAATAAATGGAAAGATATCCTATGTTCATGGATTGGAAGAATTAATATTGTTAAAATGTTCATACTGTAATACCCAAAGCAATCTACAGATTCAGTGCAGTTCATATCAAAATACCAATGACATTCTTCACAGGAATAGAAAAAAAAAGTCCTAAAATGTATATGGAACCACAAAACAGCCTGAATAACCAAAGCAATGTTGAGCACAATAAACAAAGCTGGAGGCATCACACTACCTGATTTCAAAATATACTACAAAGCTATAGTAGTCAAAACAGCATAGTACTAGTGTAAAAACCGACAAATAGATAATTGAAGCAGAATTAGATAATCCAGAAATAAATCCACATATGTATGGTCAATTAATTTTTGACAAAGTTGCCAAGAACACACAGTGGGGAAACGACGGGCCTTTCAATAAGTGGTGTTGTCACAAGAGCATAGCCACATGCAGAAGAATGAAATTAGATCCTATCTTATACCATATATAAAAACTAACTCAAAATGGATTAAGACTTAATCATAAGACTTGAAACTGTAAGACTACTAGATGAAAACATAGAGGTAGAATTTCATGACATCAGCATGGGCAATTATATTTTACACATGACCCTAAAAGCACAGGCAACAAAAGCAAAAATAGACAAGACTACATCAAACTAAAAAGTTTCTGCACAGCTAAGGAAATAATAAACAGAGTGATGAGACAACCCACGAATTGGAAGAATGTATTTGCAAACCATACACCTGATAAGGAATTGATATCCCAAACATATAAAAAACTCAAACAACTCTATAGTAAGAGAACCAGTGACTGATTTTAAAGTGAGCCAAAGGACCTAAATAGACATTTCTCAAAATAAGACATATGAATGGTCAACAGGTATATGAAAAAATGTTCAACTTCAGTAATCATTAGATGTCTCAGTCTGTTCCTACTGCTGTAACAGAATACCTTAGACTGAATAATTTATAAACAACAGAAATGTATGGCTCACAGTTCATAAGACTGGAAAGTCCAAAATCCAGGTGCCAGCAAATTCTGTGTCTGATGAAGACTTGTTCTGTGCTTCAAAAATGGCTGTGTGCTCACATGAAGAAAGGGATAAGGGCGGTCCTTTGATTCTCTTTTATGAGGTCATTAATCCCATTCATGAGGGTGAAGCCCTCATGACTTACTCATTTCCCAAAAAACCCACTTCTTAATACTATCACAGTCGGTTTTAGATTCTAACATATAAATGTTGAGGCACACATGAACATTCAGACCATAGCATCAGCAAAATACAAATTAAAACCACAATGAGATATCACCTCATACCTGTTAGAATGATTATATCAAAAAGATAAAAGATAACAAGTGCTGGCAAGGATGCGGAGAAAAGAAAACCTCTGTATACTGCTGGTAAGAATGTACATTAGTACAGATATTATGGAAAATAGTATGGAGATTCCTCAAAAAATTAAAAATAGAATTACTCTAGAATCCAACCACTCCACCGCCAGGTATATAGCCAAAGGAAATAAAATCAGTATGTTGAAGAGGTATCTGTACTCCTATGTTCACTGCAGCATTATTCACAACAGCCAAGATATGGAATTAACCTACATGTTCATCAAGGGATACATAAAATGTGGTATATATATACATGATGGAATACTATTCAGCCTTTAAAAAGAAAAAAATCCTGTCATTTGTGATGACATGAATGAATCTGGAGGATATTATGTTAAGTGAAATAAGCCAGGCACAGAAAGACAAATACGGCATAATCTCACTTACACGTAGAATATAAAAAAGTTAAACTCATAGAAGCAAAGAGTAGAATGGTAGCTACCAGGTGCTGTGGGGTAGGGATTGAGGAGATGTTGGTCAAAACATACAAAATGTCAGTTAGATGGGAGAAATAAGTTCAAGAGATTTATTGTACAACATGGTGACCATAATGAATAACAATGTACCCTTGAAACTTCCCAAGAGAGTAAATTTTAGGTGTTCTTACCACAAAAAAATAAGTTTGTGTAGTACTGCATACACTAATTAGCTCAATTGAGCCATTCCACCTTGCATACATATTTTTACATGTCATGTTGTACACGATAAATACATATAATTTTTATTTGTCAATTAAAATAAATAGATAAATTTGAATCTTTAAAAAAAGTATCCAAATTGGAAAAGAAGAAGTAAACCTAGTTCTATTCACAGGTGACATTATCTTACATATAAGAAATCTCAGAGAATCCACAAAATAAACTAGTAGAGCTAATAAACCAATTCAACAATTTCGAAGTATAAGATACAAAAATCAGTTGTGCTTTGATACACCAGCAATAAACAATCTGAAAAGTGAATTAAGAAAAACAATTTCATTTACAATAGCATGAAAAGAATAAAATACCTACAAATAAATCTAACCAGGACGAATAACTTGTATGCTGAAAACCACAAAACATTGTTGAAAGACCTAAATAAGTGTTAAGATACCTCATGTTCATGAGCTGGAAAACTTACTATTGTTAAGATGGCAATACTACTCGAAGTGATCTACAAATGCAATCCTTATCGAAATTCTAGCAGCTTTTTTACAGAAATGAAAATGCCAGCCAGGCACAGTAGCTTATTGTATGATTCCATTTATACGAAATATCTAGAATAGGTAAATCCATAGAAACAGAAAGCACATTGGTGGTTGCCAAGGGCTAGGGGAGGGAGGAATAGGGAGTAACTACTTTCTTTACTTTACTTTCATAGGGTATGAGGCAACTGTTTTAGACGTAGGTAGAGGTAGGCGGTGTTTACACAACATTGTGAATGTACTAAATGCCAGTGAATTGTTCACTTTAAATGGTTAATTTTATGTCGTGTGAATTTCATCTCAATTAAAAAGAAAGAATACACCAGAAAAGCCACTTAAAAAAAAAAAAAGAAGTTTGTTAAAAAACAAAGTTACCTGGAAATAGAAATCAAATCTCAATCATCCTTACAGACCCTTGCTCCCATGACCTTTAGCACAGGATGACACATAAAGACAGAAAATGAATAGTGTTTGCCTGGATGGATGAATAACCTACCCAAAATGATCTACAAATGCAATCCTTATCCAAATTCTAACAGCCTTTTTTACAGAAATGAAAATGTCAGCTGGGTATGGTGGCTCACGCCTGTAATCCTGACACTTTGGGAGGCCAAGGCAAGCGGATTGCCTGAGTTCAGGAATTTGAGAACAGCCTGGGCAACATGGTGAAACCCTGTCTCTACTAAAAATACAAAAAAAAAAAAAAAAAAAAAAAATAGCTGGCCATGGTGGCACGCCTGTAGTCCCAGCTACTCGGGAGGCTGAGGCATGAGAATTGCTTGAAACTGGGAGGCAGAGGTTGCAGTGAGCTGAGATCATAACACCACACTCCAGCAGCCTGGGCGACAGAGTGAGACTCCATCTCAAAGAGAAGAAAAAGCCAATCCTCAAACTCATATGAAATTTTCCAGGGTCCTTGAATAGCCAAAACGATATTGAAAAACAAGAGCAAAGTTGGTATACTCACATTTTCCAATTTCAAAACTTGCTACAAAAGTACACTCATCAAAATAGTATGGAACTTGTATAAGGAAAGACATACTTGCCAGTGGAATAGAATTGAGAATCCAGAAATAAACCCATACATCTAAAGAAAAGCTACATATAAATTTGAGGGATTTAGAAATCCTAGAAGATCTTCCTCATCTTTCATTCGCCCCTATTGTTTCTTTAAATGCTTCCTTAGATTTTCTTTTTCCAACTAGAAAAGCAATACTCATTACTTCCTACAAGCCAATAGCAGACAAGTAGACAAAGAATTCCCACCAACTGCCCACTCCACTCCCAATGCCCCACCGCTGCACTCTCACGACTGAGGTTCCGATATTAACAGATTAACAGTCTGGTGTGTATCTTTTCCCTCTTTTCTTCATACTTATTCAAATATCCTCCAAATGATGTGTGCAATCCACCTCGTGGTTACTATCCCACAATTAGTCTTCCTAAGGTGAATTACTCCCATGTGTTTTTACTCTTTCACATTCTCCCCTGAGATGCTAGGGGCCAGAAGGAATGATTAAGAGGCATTTTCCCAGGTCAAAGGAATGACATTTGAACTGCTATATGCATTGTCTAATTACAAAGAGTAGGAGTTTGATTTGAAACTTAAAATGAGAAAGCTCAAGTGGGTGAGACATTTGGCAACACCCATACTCCCACCCCTAATGTATGCTATGTGTTATTTTGTAACCATCCCCATTCATCAGCAGAGACCATCTGCCTCCCAGCAGGGATTTTATCAGAAAGCATTTCAACTTTTACCAGTTCAAAGATGGAATTTCATCAGTTCAAAGATGGAATTTCATCACCTTCAAATATTTACTTAATTTATGTACTTATTTTGTTTACTGTCTGCCTCCTTCACTAACATATTACCTCCAAGGGCCAGATATTTTAGTCTATTCCTTCACTCACAGGTGCCCAACCCTTGAATGTGCCTGGTACACAGTGGGTGGTCAAAAATACTTGTTGAATGAAATTCTACAAGATCTTTTCTTTTAGGCTTTTAGAAAAGGCTGGGGTAGAAATCTGGAACATTTTTTCTCTCTCCTCTCCTTCCTGGTTTCTCATGAAGATGACAGCTAATTAAGAGTGATGGGGAGTTGATTGACCAACAAGGCTCTGGCTTGCCTGGGTCTCCCAGCTTCTCATCTTGTTGGATCGCTGGTGGAGTTGAGAGATAAGACCCTCCATGAGCATCACCCCTTGAGAATCACTAAGCCCCTCCACACAGCATCACCAGGTCCTTAGACCATCCTTTGGGAGACATAAGAAAGGGTCATTCCATTTTACAGGAAGGCATTGGGGAGCCCTCTGTGTGACATGAGGGAGCTGAGATCAGAATTCACATCTTCAACTGCTTGCTCAAGACTGTCTCCATGGCCAGAGAGAAGCACCATTTCTCCCTCATGAGGTTGCATTTTAAAACCCTAATTTTCTACCTCAGCAGGCAGTTTTCCCCAAGCTATTTTAGGAACAATAGAATACAAAAGCAGAGGCTCGAGTTTTCTTCAAAAAATGTTGGTTGATCAGCCGTTTTGTTGAATGTCCCTCTATTTGGGTTTGTCTGATGTTTTCTCATGACTGAACTGAAGTTATGCATTTTTGGGGAAAAATACCACAGCTGTGAAGTTGTATTCTCAGTGCAATAGTCTTTAAAAGTGTCATGGTCATAAAAGACAAGAAAAGACTAAGGAATTGTTAGAGACTGCAGGAGATGGAGAAATAACAACTAAATATAATATGGGACCCTGGATAGGGTGCTGGAACCGAGAAAGAATATTAATACTGTTAGTGGGAATGTAAATTAGTTCAGCCACTATGAAAAGCAGTTTGCAGATTTCTCAAAGAACTAAGAGCAGGACTACCATTTGACCCAGCAATGCCATCACTGGGTATGTACCCAAAGGAAAATAAATAGTCCTACTAAAATGTCACTTGCACCCGTATCTTCATCATAGCACTATTCACAATAGCTAAGACATGGAATTGACCCAGGTGCCTTTATCCAACAGTGGGTTGGATAAAGAAAATGTGGGACATATATACCATGGAATACTACACAGCTATAAAAAAAGAATGAAATTATGTCTTTTGCACCAACATGGATGCAGCTAGAGGTCATCATGCTAAGCGAACTAGCACAGAAACAGAAAACCAAATACTGCATGTTCTCACTTACAAGTGGGAGTTAAATATTGGGTACACATGGACATAAGACAGGAACAATAGACACTGAGGGATACAAAAAGGGGGAAGGAAGGAGGGGGGCAAGGATTGAAAAACTGCTTTATCAGGTTCTATGATCAGTACCTGGATAAAAAATTCATTTGTACTCCAAACTTGAGCATCACACAATATACCTTTGTAACAAACCTGCACATGTACCACTGATTCTAAAATAAAAGTTGGGGAATAAAAAAAGAAAGAACATTAGTAAAAAAAACAACATTCAAAGTCTATAGTTTAGTTAACAGTATTATACCAATGTTAATTTCTTAGTTGTGATAATTGTTCTACAACTATGAAAGTTGTTGATTTTAAAAAAAAAACTACAAGAGTACAGGAAAACTCTACTATTTTTGTAATTTTTTCTGTAAGTCTAAAATTAGTTTAAAATTAAAGGTTAAAAAAATGATGCTGTGTTTTCCTTGTTCTCCCCGCCTCTATTTACCTGGAAAGGGAGAGAGGAAAAGACACAGAATCTTTCTAGCTCCTTTAGAGTTACAAAGATAGAAGCAACCAACCCTAAAGCAAAGTGGATCTGGACTGCTCCAAGTAGCTTTAGGGGCTCAGAGCCAGATGACCAGCAGAGAGTGAGCTCTTCTTGGAATTCCAAGATGCTCCATCTTGAATAGTTGGCTGAAATTCACGTTCCCATGGATTTAGTTGTATCCTGATATAGGAACATGGACAGTTGGTCTCATTGGTCAAACTCCCCATGCACATGGGGAGCCCTTGCTCTCCTGTCTGTCTGCATAGCCAATCACTCATCCTCTCTGCATGCAGGGGCCCTACTAGGCACACAGTTCTTAGTGTTTCAGAAGACTTATTCCTCCTTCCTGTCCCAACCCTAACACTGCCGAACTTAAGCTTGACATTTTCTGCCGTCATCCCAGATGGCAGTGGTGTACTCTGTGTACCACGTGTGTGTGTGCACACGTGTGTGCATGCATGCACCAATACAAGTAATTTTCTACTTAGACTGTTTAATTTTTATATCAACAAGCCATATTCAAGCTAATGTTTTGGTGATATTTGTTAAGTTGAAATCAAGTTAATTGTGGGTAGCAAAAAGCAAGGGACTTCCAACAAACTCCTATCTCCCACATCTCATTCATTCAGTAAATACGTGTTGAAAACTTCTGTGTGTCAGGCAATGTGGAGCAATGCAAATGATTTATTTCCAATCCTGCCTTCTATGGCACAGAGTAGGTGAACCCTCTTTGATGCCATTCCATGACCCATCAAGGCATCTAGTTTTACTCTCAGCCCACAGGATTACTGTGCACCCACAGATACACGGAGAGCAAAGGTTAGGATCGATGTCAGAGAGACTTTAAAGGAATGAACAAAAACATGTGGTTATTAATTGGATATTCCAGATAAGGTGTCTGGGAGGAGAATAGGAAAGAATCATGGAGTCCATCCTCTGGTCCTGCTTTTAAATACCTGAGTTCAGATTCCAGCAGGAACCCCAGATCTGACACCAAGGAGGCCTTTTCACCAACCAAACTCAGTTCCTGTTTCTTCCTGTAACAGATTAAATCTTGTACCCATCCATAGGTACAGATTAAAAATAGCAATGATTTGGGTCCAACCTGACATGTAACTTTTTTTTATTTCTGTAGGGGAGAAGAATGAGGAACACATCAGCTTAGAGACAGACCCATGGACCCAGAGAAAGCTGTCAGATCTCACCCCACTTTTGTGATATAACCATGGTGCTTCAGAGGCCATGGACCACTCCTTCATCCCCACTCCTCCACTGTCCCCCAGACCGTTTGGCCGTTTGGGTTGCAGAGCTGGGACAGTGATGATCTACAGTACTCAAAACCACTTTCCCTGGGAGCCAAGACGAGCTATTTTTCATTTAGTCCCTTAAATATCTCTGTGTATGAGTGGGACACAGCCAGCTACCTTGTTGCCCAACACGTCAGAGAAGTGGGACTGTCCCACATTTGCTCTGCTCATATTTTTAATTGCTTAATAATAGTGAGTGGGCTTCCCTCCTCCCCTCCAGCATAGCAGCGTGGGGGACTTTGACATTCAGGGCTTGATGTGTGGGCAGCAAACACAGATGAGGCTGGGAAAATGTCAGCCTCCTACAGCTTCTCTCCCAGTGAATCATCATACCATATGACAGGGCACACCTCGTATCAGGAGCACCGGGCTGGCAGTCCAGGGAGCTCAGTTTCAGCCCCAGCTCCACTACTAAATTAACTGTGTGACGTAGAGCAAGTGGCCCACCCTGTGGGAGCCTCAAGCTCCTACTGCTTTGAAACATTTAAATGGCAATGAGAATTGGCAAGCAGAATATTTATGGAATAGAGATCATGGGCACAGGCTCAGGATCCAGACCTCCTGGAGCCACTCCTGAATCCACTGCTTGCCAGTAGCAGGAACTCAGGAGAGTTACTTAATCTGTCTATGCCATGATACTCTCAACTGCAAAGCAAGCATAATAGTACCTACACAACACAGTTGTTGGAAGGACTTAGAACTGTGCATAGCATGTTGTATGCATTCAATACATGTTTGTTGTTATTATTATTCCAATTCTAGCCATCTAATTGACTATATTTTCAAAGAGGAATAAAACATGAAAATTTCCCCCAGATACAGACTTATGGGGAAGATGAATACATGCATAAAATATTGGGGAGAGGAAAGTGGGGGCTGCCTGTGATGCACTGTGTAACAGAAGTGAGTGATGATACCATGTGTTCAGCATGTGCCAGAGGATGTGCAAAGGGCTCTGCCTGCGTTCTCCATGGAATCATTACAGCCGCTCATGAGGCTGATCCCACTTTATAAAGTGGGAAGCAGTCTCAGAGAATCTGCCTTCAATCTCATAGCTTCTAAGTGGCAGAGACAGGATTCAAACCCGGGACTTAAGTTGTTGCTCTTAACTCCATGTCACTGAAGGATTAGGTGGGATTTGAAAATACGTCACAAAGGAAATGGCAGCCTAAGCCTCCTTGGTTTTTTCTTATTTGTTGAAAAGGGAGGATTTCTAGGGCAGCTCCCATCAATGCTTATTTCTTAGCAATATAGGTAAGTTATTGAACCTCTCTGAGGCTGGGTGTCTTCATTTCTGAATAACAAGAGTGCCCACCAACAGAGCTGATGGGAGTAGACGAGCTTGTAGATGTAAACCCTTTTTGTTTGCTTGTTTGTTTGTTTGTTTCTGAGACGGAGTCTCACTCTGTCACCCAGGCTGGAGTGCAGTGGTGCAATCTCAGCTCACAGCAAGCTCCACCTCTCGGGTTCACGCCATTCTCCTGCCTCAGCCTCCCGAGTAGCTGGGACTACAGGTACCCACCACCACGCCTGGCTACTTTTTTGTATTTTTAGTTGAGACAGGGTTTCACCGTGTTAGCCAGGATGGTCTCAATCTCCTGATCTCATGATCCACCCGCCTTGGCCTCCCAAAGTGCTGGGATTACAGGGGTGAGCCACTGCGCCCATGTAGATGTAAACTCTTAATGTCGTGCCTGGTGTTTGGCAAGCACTTGTCAGATGTTAGCTTGTATCATCATCTCGTCATCATCATTGCTGTCACTCTTTCTTCATCATCATCATCCTCATCATCATCTATACTCAGTTTCCTTTCAGCTGATGGTCAGGACCACCTATCAGTAAATAGGTGATGGAACTTCCATTTTCAAAAGGGCTGTCAATATCCCTTCCAAACCACCTCCTAGTAGGTGCTTGAAATGTGACAATGAAACATTTATTCCTTAGGTTAAGCATTTGTCTTATGCCTGGGGTCTCCTTGTAAATATAACAGCCACCAGGAGGAATGAAGAACACATGATGCAATACTCAACCACATTTATTTAGTCATTTGAGAGAGGCCATGCCCTAGGCAAGGAATTAAGAAGATGACGCAGAGGCAGAGGAAGGTAGCAGAAACGCCACTCCAAATGCGGACTGGAGAGTAGGGAGAAGATACAGCTGAGCGCGGTCTCCTTCATAGTTCCTCCAAGGACTACTCTGTCTCTGTCTGCTGAGAGGCTGGGCCCCAGCTTTTGGGCAGGGGTTGTATATGAGCTGGGATCTCATTAGCATGGGCCACCAGAGTGCAGAGAGGTGAGTGATGGCTCCCCTAGAACGGAGGTGTGTTTGATGTAGGTTTGTCAACCTCACCATCCTTCACCAGCACCTGCAGCCAAGATTCATATCCTCTGTCAGAGGCTCATCCAACACCCCAAGCTGGCCTCCACCAGGGTCTAATTTTTATACCCTCTCTGAGAACAGCAAGCAATCTTTCAGGTCCTGAAAATGGGAAGACACACCATAATGCTCCATTTTTCCTGGGAATTTCTTAGAGGTTGGAGGCAGGATAAACTAAGAAGAGGGAAACAGAGAGGAGGATTTAGAAGGGATGCATTAACTACAGTCTTTTACCTATTTTCTACCATTGTTGCTCATGCCATCACTCCCCCCAGCCCCATGCCAGGTTTCTAGGCAATATCACCTTGAATAATGGTATATTATTTAGTATCAGTTCAGGATACTACTCTGTCACAAGAGAAAATGCTCACCAAGAGAAAATGATGCCATGACATGCAAGATGAGATTCATATGAGGAATAAAATTCTTACATCAAGATGAAACTATTTGAATGGTTTAGTTGGAAGGTCTGTATTGCCTCTCCTTCATTTTGTGTCACCTGTGTTGCCATGTTTATATTCAATTTGTTCAGTCCCGGTTACATGCTGGGCAGATTGCTGAGGGCTGGGAGACACTCAATGCAGAGTATGGCTGAGTTCCTTCTCTAGGAGCTCATAGTCTTGAGCCTGTGACTATAAGCCTACCAAGGATAGGAACTAGGTCGTGGGTTCCACAGTGGCTGGTATACAGCTTCTCAAGAACTGTCTTTTCAGTGCTAAATTTCGGAAGCATCTTTCATACAAAAATGATGTGGAAACTAACAGGAGTGAAGTTTTTTTATTCTTTTCCCTTATCTAATCCATTCTGAAGGGAAAGGTGTTTTCCCCATTTTTCATTAAGCTTGGACAACAGTAAAGATCAATAGAAATTGGCACCATGCCCTTAGTCAGTATCACCATTCATTGTGTGGAACTAGCAAAAAGGATTCTGGGCCAGAGGCTACAAGTTCATGCTGGCTCTCTCCTAGGTCGCTGTGTGATTGTGAGGCCCCTGGGCCTCTCTGATCCTGGTGCCATGTAAAGCTGGCTCCTCTACCTGACAGATCAGGACCCGAGAGGCAGCAAGAGCTCCATGAGGCTTTAAAATCAGGGTTCTGAGCTGGGGTCTGTGGGTTCAGCTCTCAAAGCCTACAACTGAGGAAACAAAATGGTGGCCCCCAGACAGGGGTTTTGGCCCACATAGGGTTTTAAAGAAAATTGAATTCATTCCAACTTTTAAAAATTAGGATACTATATACATTTTAAAATCTAGATGTCAAGCTCCCTTTGAAAACTATCAGAAAATCTGACAATGCTGGATCAGAAGCTGAACATGAAAACAGTCTTTCGCCATTGAAGATTGGCTGCATTCTTTAGACTGGGCCTGTGCTCTCTGGTCACCACAGTTCCTACCATAACCAGCTTTCCTCATTTAGCCAGCTCTCTGGAGCCTGTAGGCATCTGGCTGGTTAATAAACCTGACCAGGTTAACCAGTGGTCCAAGGCAGCGTGTGCCCGACACTGCCATGAGATTTACAGGTATAGGCACAAGATGGAACCCAAGAATCCAGAGGAAAGAGAGCTCCAGGGCATTGGGAAGGAAGCTGTTCAGGAAGTGAGTGAGAAATGTGTGTAGTCCTACCGTGGGTGCATGAGTAAACCTTTCTGGCTAGAGTGGGAGTTTGTGCAGGTGAACTGGGGGGACAAGGCTGAGAATGGTAAGTTGAGCTCAGACTGTGGGAAGAAGGGCCCTCAATGCCAGGTAATATTGTCCTCTGCTTTCATGCCAGAAACTCCAGATGTAATGTGGGGTTTAGGGACTAAGGCTGCCAAGCTCATCCCTGCACACACTTCCACCCTCACCTTCATAACAGGAGTTGGAGTGAAGATCTAGGCCTCAGGAAATACAAGGCTAAGTACAAAGTTCTGAAAGCCACCCTCAGCCTTCACAAAGTCCTCATCATGCAGGTTTCCTAAAGCAGCCAGAGGCATCCTACAAAGACCCAATGGCAGCAGGGGACAAACACCCAGGGCGAATTCTCTCAAGGAAAAGAATGGGAGAAAGAAAGATGGGAAAAACCTTCCTTTCAGCTTCATTAGAGCTCTTGCTTAACTGAGCTAAAAATAAAACTAATTGCTTTTGCTATTCTAATGTGAAAAATCAGTTTTTAAAGGATCAAGATTCTCTCCCTGGCTGGAGAAATCATTGAATCTGTAATAGACTGACTGCCAATGAATTATGAATGTCATAATCAAGCCTTCTTGGAAGGCCAAAGTCTTGGTTACAAATGGACACTATAATTAGAAATATACTGAAGCTGCCTAAAGCAGACCCCTCTCCCTACCCTTTGTCTTTTTTTTTAGGAGGGAAGAGACATAGACTGCTCTTCATCAGGTATCTGGCTTGTTCTTGAACAATGCCCTGTTCTCACCATTTGAGGAGACATTACAAGTCAGCATAGGAATAGCCATCCCTTCTCTCCTTCTCCCTTTAAAAAGCCCCACCAAACTCCCCCAGCTGTGATCAGGAGAATGGTTCAATTCTCTTCATCTATTACCTGGAATTCTATACACTAAAGATATACTTGGACAACAAGCAGCCTCTTTTTAAATCCAAGAGGACTAGGGTAGGGGCAGGTGTCAGTTGTCCACACCTTAATGGGAATCAGTTTGATCCAACCTTTTTGTCTGAACTAGCTGAGCTCTACAGAACTGGAAGCTGGAGGGCAGGAGGTGTGCATTTCAAAAAAGCAGATGAGAAGAGAAGGGCCATATTGAAGATTGAGAATCAAGGGAACATAAATGTGAACAGGGCTGCTGCCCTGCTCCAAGCCCTCAACCAGGAAGGAGAGGAGATCCCCGCACCCCCAACACAAAATCTAGACAATGTGAAAAAACCAATCTAGATTGACAGAGCCAATAACATCCCTCCAAGAAATTATCATGCTCAAAAAGAGGTTGCCTTACCTATTTTTTTTTTTAAGGTGAAGCCATTTTGAGCAAAAAATGGCTGGGGGTTGCTGTCCTTCCTCAAACCTTCTACCTTTAACTTGGTCCCTAGAGATAGAATCAGTTCTAGCCAGAAAACTCTTTCAGCAGGAGCTACTTCCAAGTGCTTATCTTATCTCAGCCATGGAAGTGTCCAGTTTGGGGAAGGGAGTCAGGGCTCTGCTTCTCTCTGAGCCCTATGAATTGAAAAATGAAGCAAGCAACTCAGTGCCTCACCACTTGCTAAGTGTGTCTGGACGGGCCTAATGACTGGTTCCCATCCCCAAGTGCACATTAGATTCACCTGGGAGATTTTTAAATGTTAATGCCTGGTCGTTCCCCAGACCAATTGAATGTAATATCTAGGGGTGGCTTCAAGCATTACTATTCATTAAAACTTTCTAGTAATTCTAAAGCACAGACATGGTTGAGAACCACTGAGCTAATCACTCCCTTCCAGCGCCTGTTCTCAATCTTCCTGCCTCTCCTCTCATTTCCCAGACCTAGACCAAGGGGCTTTTCTAGCATGAGAGGTTCTGGAGGCACTCTTCATCTCTCAGGGCAGGTGCCAGGTTTTGGGGCATCTCTATACAGTGCCAAGGATGGCTCCCTGCCAACCCCCCAATTATTCCATTAGAAAAGAGCTTAAGGTATATTTTGTCCAGAGTAGCAAATAGGATTCATCCTCCAAGCCAACTCTGTTGGGCCAGAAGTGGGTCCTCAGGGTACTGTATTGAGAAATCCTTCACAACAGGTCATGTCCAAGCTCAGTGGGAAAAAATACCATGCTCAATTATCAATGCTAGATCAGGGAGAAGAAGAGGGAAATGATGATACAGAAGCCTAGCATTTGTCAATCCTAAAAAAATTTCCTCATCTGGACTATGAGAAAAAAAGACCCAGAGAAAGGACATGATGTGCCCGTTAACCAGTTCAATAAATCCAAAAGTTAGCTTAGAAGATTTGATTTGTGTTTAATACTACAGAACCTTGCCACTCAAAGTGAGGTCCACAGACCAACAGGGTCAGCATCTGCTGGAATATTGTTAGAAATTCAGAACCTCGGACTCCACACAAGACTTATTGAATCCAAGTCTGCATTTTAACAAGTTCCCCAGGTGATTCGTTTTTACAATGACTTTGAAAAGTGCTGCTAGAAAGTAGACAGAAGATGGGAATAGCAGTAAGCTCTGCCACAATCCAAATGAAGAATACATGGGGGGAAATCAAGCAAAGAACAATGCTAAGGCATGTAAGAGACAGAAACGTCTGCCGCCAGAAAGTAGAGAGATCCACATACGTGCAAAAGCACAGAAGGCTTTGGAAATCAGGAGGCCTATGGGTCAGGTCCTAGCAGACTGGTAGAATGGGCAGAAAGTCACCTGCCACTCTCCGGCAGCTTTCTCTCACCCCAAGAGCCGGCTGTCTCTCACTCTCTGCCCTGACACAGCTCTGGACATCAATCCATTGCTTCTGCTGTGAGTCTTCTTTCCCCAGCAGGCCTGTAAGCTCTTCGAGGCCAGAAATGGCATCTTCTCCCTGTCCTGATTCCTGTACCTATCCACACAGGATGAGGCTTGTAAGGACCACTCAAAACATTTTTGAATACATGAGTGATTGATGTGATGAATGATTTCAGCAAGAAATGACTGAAGCCAGGGCAGTAAGAACACAGAGGCCAGCTCCATTCCGCCCCTCTCCGTCAAGCTGCCACTCCAACTTGACCCAGTGGAATTTAGGCTGGTACCAAAATGATCAGAATATGACTTTTTAAAAATGAACACTTAACCTAAAATCCCAAACCTCCCTCAGCTCTGGCTTGGCTGCTAATCAGCTGGGGTCCCTTTATCCTGGAAGGAAACTCTCTGGGCTCTGGCCCACATGAATAGCTGAACCCCAGAGGGAGAGAAATGGATGATGAGGCTTGGGGAAAGGGTGTGGAGGCCGCCTAAAATGCTATGGGACAGGGGTAACACGCCCTCTGGAGGGTCAGCTCTCCTTTAGTGAAGATGTTCCTTCTGATAGTACAGAATTCAAAGGCCCAAAGGATTCAAAAGGTCCAGCAAGTTCTGTAGACCCTACCCACTCCCAGCCCATTCCACAAAGTCAGTGTATGTGAAAATACTTTAAAGAGATGTGCAATGCAAAGTATCATTACTGTATGAAGGAAAGCCTCAAATAGAATATTATAGTCATCGGTATTTTCCATACATTTATTTATTCACACAGTCCTGCATTTGTGAACTTTGCAGAAAAAGAGAGTGCAGGCTCTGGGGTGACAGTGCCTGTGTTTGAATCCTGACCCTGGCACTTTTTAGTTGTATGACCTTGAGCAAGTTATTTAATTTCTCCATGCCTCACGATATTCATTAATAAAACGGAGATAATAGTAGTACCGCTTCTCTCACAGAAGTGCTCTGGGAATTAAATGAGCGAATGTATATATGAGTGTGTGGTTTAGTTCCTAGACACATTACATATTCAATAAATGTCAGCAATTACCCACCTTACCTTCATGGCCCATGCACTGCACATCTCTCCCCCATGCCCACACAATTAATGTTGCCACTAGTTGCCCAGATTCTCCATGAATACCACCAGGCCTGGTACAAAGCAGCATTTCATGCTGCAAAGAAATCAGTGCCCTCTGGCATTTGACTCTTTACAATTATTATTCTCTTGGGGCACATTCTCAGCAAACCGGAAAAAAGTACTTGATAATCTAATTTATGTGGAAGTGTTATAGACTTATAAATGTCTATATTCCTTTTGAGGTACAGAATATTTGGTCTTTAAAAAGGAACCTAAAGCTAGCAATGCCTCAACAAAAAGAGATTAAGGCACCAGCAATGGAATTTCAGGAAGAGTTATAGATCAGGCAGTTAGGTGTTTTTAAATTGAATAAGGAGAGAATCCTGAGTGCCCAACTCCATGGACAATCCTCTTTCTAATTCAATACAAGAAGGCAAGAAGATTCTAGAAAGAATTTCAAGGTAGGTGGATGATCTAGTTGGTTCACTGTTCCTGAAATTGGAGTCATTCTTTGTAAGGTAAGAGTATACAGGTACATCTGTATCTCTGTCATCCCCATCCTACAACTGAAGACTGCAGGGACTCCCTCTGCCCTGAACATCAAGGTCCCCATTGGACTAAGGAACCTCGAACTCATCCTTCCTGAGCACTCTTCAGGCACAAACCTGCAGAAATCTCCACCATTTTCCCACCTCTATCCAAGGAAAACATCCTCCAACCAGGTGCAGCGAAACATGGTGCTAACAGCAGGAAGGCTTAACAGAGTTGTGCCTCGTTCTCTAGAGCTGATCATGTATGTACAGGAAACCTAAGAGGCCAGAGAAAATGGTACAGGAATGGTTGCATGTCTATCCCTACCTCTAAGCAGCATCTCAGGCCCCATGCAAGGGTATTTCAGGCATCCAGAGAGAAGAGCTGGAACTTTGTTTTCTAGCTCTTCCTACCCACTTGGCTTCCAGAAGCTTTGGTATAACTTTCCTACCTTCATCATGTCATATAACTTCACATGCATGCAACACACACAACCAAGACAATCATAGTAGACACAACAAGTGCACAGCATGGGGCAGTAGCAGAAGTTCTCACCCCTGAATGGTGTAGATTTCACCTTTGCAGTAAAAAGGTATGAGCAAGCTGGGTGTGGTGGTGCATGCCTGTAGTCCCAGCTACTCAGGAGGCTGAGGCAAAAGGATCACCTGAGCCCGCGAGTCCGAGGCTGCAGTGAGTTATGATCATGCCACTGCCCTCCAGCCTGAGCAACAGAGCAAGACCCTGTCTCCTAAAAAAAAAAAAAGGATCAAAAAAGGACCAGCTGGCCAACTCCCTCTTTTTGCAGAGAACTACACTGAGTTTTAGCAAAAGGGCATTTCTTGCCCTAGGTCAGAGAGAGAGGCTGTAACTGAGTCAGGACTAGAACTCAATTCCTTTTTACTACCTTCTGCTAAGAGCTCCCCTCTACTGGGTGACTTCACACAGGTAATTTCTGGTGGTGGTTGACAGCAGATATCCAAAATATAGAAAAGACTACAGTTGGAGGGTTCTTCCCATCTTGACTTTATCCTGAGCCTCTGGAACAATGAAGTCTTGGTTATGTGCAGGATCCCAGCCTGCTTTGGTACTGCTACCAATATGATTCCTGCTATAGTGCAACCTCTGCTCCCTTCTCTGACAATGGGGCTGGCCCTCTTGGCTGTATATTCTCCCCAAAATCAAAGACTTGTTTGCCATTTAGAGATGTCGTCTCCCAGTTGAGGAGGCTTTATCCCAATATCAATAATGCTACTAGAAATCTCCGGCCAGAACAGGGCTGGCAGTTCAAACTTCACTGATGTAGTGTTGTATCTACCAGCAGAGAAGTGGAGATTCACGTAACAGGGGCAACTAGATCTCTAGGCCCTCAGCCAAGAAACATCCTCAATAGCAGCCGGAAGCCTCTAGGTCTCCCCAAGCTTAAACATTTATCCCTCTACATGTTCTACAAAAATGCAAGACTGATCAGTGAAAAAATCAGAAATATAGAAAGAAAAAGAATGGATTCTCATATTAAAATATTGTCTGACTGATATCCTTTATCAGTATCATCTCCATTCTTGATGAATGTGTCACTTCTGTGTACTGCTCATTTTCTTTTCTATCAAACAGGAGTGTCTTATTCTCAGGCAGGTGGGGCCAAGAGGATAAACTAGAAGAAACTGTTACTATTCAATCTTTAAATGCTACCTACGAAACAAAATGAGAGATTCTTTTTAGACTTCAGGGATATGAGATATAAGAACTAAGCTGGGCACAATGGCTCACACCTGTAATCCTAGCACTGGGAGGCTGAGGTGGGAGGGTTTCTTGAGCCTAGGAGTTCAAGAACCACCCTTGGCAACATGGCAAAACCCTGTCTCTACAAAAAATACAAAATTAGCTGGGCTTGGTGGCACATGCTTGTGATCCCGGCTACTCGGGAGGCTGAGGGAGGAGGATCACTTGAACCTAGAAGGCTGAGGCTGCAGAGATCCAAGATCATGCCACTGCATTCCAGCCTGGGTGGCAGAGTGAGACCCTGTCTCAAAAAAAAAAGATATAATAAGCTATCATTTACAAAAGCTGGAATTTCACTTGGTAGCTGGCCATCAAGGAAGGAGATAGAATGACATGAAAAAGCTAAGAGTAATGATGAAAGAAATTTTACAAAAAGAAAGATGTAAGTTTGGATTCCAGTTCCTCCACTTACTTGCTGTGTATCCTTGGAGTAGGTTTTTTAACTGTATGGTACTTAGTCTTTCCTTTCAAAATAGATTCATAACATGTGACTCATAGGAATGTTCTTAAGATTAAATGGGCCACTGAGTGTCAAGTTCCTGGAATACAGTAGACATGCAGTAAATGGAAACCAATTATAAAATGACTTTTCAGGGTTTTTTTAAGGTTTTCAATTTCCCCAAATCAAGAGTTAGCATGTTTTGCTGCAGTGACTTTCATATCTTTTTAAGGAGCAAAATCTTTTCTTCAAAATAAACCAAACATAAAATTGGAACTTTTATGGTCCCATCATCCTCTTTCCTCTTGAAGGGTCCTCTGAGATGCTGCCCCTGTACCAGAGGAAATTATTGGTAGAAGATGAGCCAGTTACATGGAAATGTGTAGATATGGATTCTAATACCTGTTATGCCATGAACTCCCAGAGACAAGACACTTCCCTTCCCTGAGTCTCAGCTCTCTCCTTGTTAAAATGAAGTTTTGGGCATGTGGTCACTAAGGATGCTCTGACTTTTAGAACTCAAGGAATACTCTGGTTACTGGGTGTGATTAATGGTTTTAATGTCTTTGACCCATCCCTACTGCAAACTATTATGCCGAATAAATATGTATTGGTACTCTATGAGATAGCTATATCTCCATCACTAGGGTACACCTACCTCTATTAAGTGAAGCAATATAATCACATGTTGCCTTATTCCACACCTGAGCACTTGCATGTGCCAGAATATAACATGCAACCATCATACTGAGAGTAGGCCACGGGTTCCGGGAATGAGGCTATGGCTTTGGTCTTAGCGTGTGGGCAGGAAGCAAAAAGTGACATATCCACCTTCATCTAAGACCTTAAAATATCTCCCAAAATGAGAAGTCAGAGGCTGGAGTTTTTTGATTTTTAAGACCACATTATTTCTCTTCAAAAGGGAATACCCTTAATCTCAGGGCCACCTATTGTGAAAGAAGATGAATACTTTTCTATTACTTTGGGGCTTTAGTTAGTGCCCAGAGAGGGTACTGTCTAAGGAACAAGTTGTCTTATGTTGAGTGACTGTCAGGAATTTGGGCAGGAGGCTTGGAAAGGCAAATTCTTGGGGAGGTGAACAAATAGGGCAAGACGGTGGTAAAGGGTCTAGGCTCAGGCAGGCCTTACAGAGTCCAAAGGGTCAAGTGTAGATCTGGGCAAGATGACTACCCAAATGAAGCCAAAGATCTTGTCATTCCAGCAAAAGCTATCTGGCAGCATCTGAAGGAAGGGTAGAATGACGCTTAATGAGAGATTGAAATCAAAGCTGTAATTATGAAAATACAGCCAAGGCAGGCAGGGCTGCATGGGGTACAAGAGACCTGAACTTCTTCTGGCTCCTACTTTCTCATAAATGATAGCAGAACACAAGTGAAAACACATTTTAGAGGCCCTTGGAAACAATTAAATGCCTAACGAACATAAGACGCTACTTACTAAGGTATTAGAATCTGAGAATCCAGGCCTGAGGTCAGCACCAAGGATAGCTGCCAGCTGGGCTAATGGTTTTCCAGCTCTCAAGCTCTTAAGAGTCTTCCAGGATAGGGCTTATCCCTAAAATAACTCTTAGGATTTAAAGGACCCTAATTCATCAGGGTAGGTCCAGATTGCCTGTAAAGGATACCAACAGGTATGTCATGTGGCAGCACAATGTTTTCCCAGGAAATGAGTAGCTCAACTGTGGAGCTTACCTAGTGGAATTCAGGGAGTTAATTCCTCAGTGTCTTCTTGGAGCTGAGGAAGGACCTTGAAACACATCAACAGAAGAAGATCTAGAGTAGGGGGTCAGCAAAATATTTCTGTAAAGGCCAGATAGTAAGTATTTTAGGCTTTGCAGGGCATACACTGTCATTGCAAATACTCAACTCTGTCATTATAACACAGAAGCATCCATAGCCAATGCTTTAAAATGGGTGTTGCTGTGGTCCAATAAACTATTTTTAAAAAAAACACAGCAAATGGTGGGATGAATATTACCCTGCAGTAAGCTGCAGGCTGTAGCTTACTGACCCCTCATCTAGAGGGTCCGTTGCAGATCATCTTAGGCAGAACTGCTAAATACCTAATACATGACCCAATATTGTTGTACAATAAGGGGCGTTTAAGAAGTATGAACCATCCTCTATCCTCCTGAACCTCAATTTTGGCCTTCATTAGAGATATCCTTTTGGGAAATCTCAGGTAGTCCCAGCAAACAAGTGGCAAATGTGGAAAAAAATCCAAAAAGGGCCAAAAAAGTGTTAAACAGTTATAAAGGGTTAATGGGAAAGAGGATCATGGACACATGGAGTTTTTAGAGTTGGCCTTGTAGAAGACATAGTGCTTCAACTGGTAGAAGTATTTTCATAATAATTAATAAGAGTAGACCACTGAGAACTGGATAAAAAAGAAAAACCATGGTGCTACAGAGGCAACTTAAATCAGATACAAAAAGGAGAGGCTCCACATCAATTAGGCACTTCCTGCTAGGACCAGAACAGGGAGATTTGTCTATGTTCTTGCATTTAATCCTCACCACTCCCCTCCAATGGAATATTACTTCTATTCAAACATGAGGGAGCTGAGGACCACAGGGACAAAGTCACTTGCCCAGGACCATGCAGCTAGTGATCTGGGAAATCAAGATAAAATGGAAAAGAATTTAATATCAGAGCCCAGGCTCCTCTCACCCCCACTCTCCAATTGTCTTCAGACCCACAGGCCTGAGCCACTTGTTCCTAAGAGACTCAAGTCCAGAGAGATTCGGGCACCTCTCTCCTCCAACACGCCTGCATTTCAACTGAGGCTACTCTGGCCACTCTCTCTAGTGTCTTCTCCCTGCAGCTACTCACATTGGGAACCACTAGGAGCCACTCTCCTACCTTGAGGACTCTTTCTCTTCCTTACATGCAAGAGGCTCATGACCCTGATAGAGTGCGCTGAACAAGGCAAGGCCCAGCAAAAGTGAGATCCCTAAGGGCAGTAAGCTTAGCACAGAGGAGGCTATCTGAGGACCTGGGGGCTCCCAGAGTTATTTCCCCCTAACCCCACTTTCCCCGCTCAACTCAAAGAGGGTTTGAATGGCAGCTGCACACCGCACATGAAATCCATTCCTCAGCACTGCCAAGGGGGGTGGAGGTGTTTTAAAGTAAAGCTATAATATGCCTGCAATAAAAGTTTATCAGCTTTTATATAGGTTCCCAATAATGAGAGGAGATATTTCAGCAGCTCAGATAGTGCCGTGACAGGAAACGCAATTCCTGGCACCACCTCTTTAAGGTGAGAATCTGCCTCCCCCACATGTTTCATAACTGGGAGTTTTTCCCATTTAAAGAGGACTGCATCAAATTGTGTGTCCCTTTCATTCTTTAACATGATTTTAATGATTCCTGGAGTCTTCTAAATGTAAAGCGTTTAGAAAATTAACTTTATATTGAGGTGGGTGGTGAATTTTTATGTCCCCAAACCTTGGAAAAGTCAAGAGTTATAGCAACAGAGAAGCAAAGAGGTAACAAATTTTGGAGCACTAGAGTTCAGGGCTGGGGGCCGGAGGATGTAAAGGTGTGTCTTCCAGTTGTACATCTTGGGAAATAAGTTGAGGCTGGATCATAGTGCTGCTACTTTAGACAAGGACTTTAAGGGGTCATGTCCCCAAAAGGTGGTCAGAAACTGAAGAAAAAGTATGGAGAAGAATCTCCCAGGATGACAGGGAAGGAGGTACAACTGAGGAGTCAGAGAGGGAGTGATTGACCACCTGGAAGCAGAGGGAATGCCCTCATGGATGCTGGTGAGGGACAAGGAAAGGATGGAGGCCAAGGAAACGGGACAGTGTGTGGGAAGCCAGAACAAAGGCACATGAACCCACTGTTGGACCAGAAGGAGAGAAGCCTGCTCTCCCAAACACCCAGATAGCGAGGACTCTTTCTCCTACAGAGAGACTGATTGCAGCCTGTGCTGAGATGGCCCTTGTGATCTGATACAGACCCGTGGGGCCCTATGATATTCACCGTCTAATGGGCATCATGTCAAAGCTTGTTAACAGAAACATGCTGGATTTCAAACTTGTAATCATTTGGACATAGACAAGACTCAAGTTGACATATGAGCTTTCAGAGAAAATAGAGTTTGTTACACAAATCAAGAGTGTGAAAGAATTAGGGGCAAGAGGCATAATTAACCTACTTGGGGAAAACCAACTGACTTTAAGAACTTTGAGTGACATTAGCTCCTCTCTATTTAAATCCAGACTGTGTCACTTACAATTGATTGCTGTCTAAGCTTGGCATACGTCCATCAGACCCTCTGCCTCATAACACTTCATTAGTCACTAATTGGCGTTGCTGCACATGCCTAAAATGTCAATAGTAACTCTCCCTTTCTTTCAAGGTCCACCTGAAATCATACTTCTTCCATAAGGCTGTCTAGGACTTCTCAGCCCACATAACATTCCCTAAAATATCCACTGTGTAGGCCACTTATGTGCCACTTATGGGCTACCTTGAACAATGAGCCCTCCTGTCCCATGCCCACATCTTATACCCCTAACTGGCCTAACTGTACTTGGAAACCAAAAGTGACTCTTATTTAAGGTAGTTTATACCTGTTCCATCACCAAGAACTCTATGTTGGCTCAATGAAAGAGACATGTGATTTTCTAGCAAACTCTTTACGTATGAATACTATGAAATTGCAGGAAGCAATTGAGAAGAGTGAACTGGAGCTATATATATATTGAATGATTGACCTAGAAACATATCCATTTCACTTTTAGTGGAAAAAAAAGTTGATTGTTATGCACATTATGTGGTTCTGCTTTTGAAGAAAAAATACTTTCCGAATATTTTATAGACAATAATATGTTTGGCTAAGCAGAGAAAAGGAAAGAAGGATATATATACCAAACTGTTCATGCTTGTTTTCTTGGATTGGGGGAATGGGGTTGGGGATGCAGAAAGGAGCTAGCGTTTCCTTTGTATGTCTGTTTGCTGTTTGCTTGTTAAATGAAAGAGCATCGCTGTTTACTTTTAGGATAAGTCAGTAAGCCTCAGAAATAGTGCAAAGTCAAGCTCTGTCAACCTTTGCAGTAACCCAAAAGCATTGCCTCTTCCCCATGGGGCTGAACGCCAAGCTTAGGGTGGGGAGGGTGATATGGTTTGAATGTGTGTCCCTTCCAAATCTCATGTTGAATTGTGATCCCCAGTGTCCATGGTGGGACCTGGTGGGAGGTGTTTCAGTAATGGGGGCAGATCCTTCATGAATGGTTTGGTGCTCTCCCTACTGTAATGAGTGAGTTCTGGTTCTAGTAGTTTGCATGAGATCTGATTGTTAGAGTCTGGGACCTCCTTCCTCCCTGTCTTGCTCTCTCTCTTGCTATGTGACACATGAGTTAAAGCTTTGCCTTCCACCATGAGTAAAATCTTCCTGAGGCCTCACCAGAAGTGAGCAGATGCTGGTGCCATGCTTCTTGTACAGCCTGCAGAATCATAAGCCAAATAAACCTTTTTTCTTTATAAATTACCCAGCTTCAGGCATTCCTCTACAGCAGCATGAAATAGACTAGCACAGAGGAGGTTTGTCATTCATCTGTTCTTCCTGCCACCCCAAGTAGCATCCACACAGTCTCCCTGGAGCTTTGAAAGGGGTCTGCATAAATCCACACCCAACTACATTCCCACCAGTATGGTTTGGATCTGTGTCCACATTCAAATCTCTTGCTTAATTGTAATCCCCAGTGTCGGAGTTGGGGCCTGGTGGGAAGTGACTAAATCAAGGGGGAAGATTTCCCCTTTGATGCTGCTCTCATGATAGTACGTGAGTGCTTACGAGATCTGCTTGTTTAAAAGTGTATGGCACCTCCCTGTTCTCTCTTTCTCCTGCTCTGGCCATGTAAGATGTGCCTGCTTCCTCTTCACCTTCCATCATGATTGTAAGTTTCCTGAGGTCTCCCCAGAAGCAGAAGTCACCATGCTTCCTGTACAGCCTGCAGAACCACGAGCCAATTAAACATCTTTTCTTCATAAATTACTCAGTCTCAGGTATTTATTTATAACAATGCAAGAACGGACTAATACACCTACCTTTCAGGTTCCGGTCCCATCACTTGTTTTTCCTTGAAGTAACCACAAGTGACTCTCTGTTTCCTACATCCCATACAGCCCTCTCTGAAACAGGGAGTTAGCACTAGAGAGCTGGTTATTATCTGTTTTTCCTTCTAAATCCACTCTTCATCCTCTTCCACCCTGCTTGATATGCTCAGAGGGCTGGCATCCATGGACTGCATCAATAAGGCTCCCTCGCTGGGTAAGGTTCAGCCAACAGGAGGATCCAACAGATAAAAGGCTTGGAGGAGAGAAAGGTCAGGGTCTTCCTCCCCCTAGTTTTCTCCCAGCCCAGCCACAGGTTGGCAATAGCTGTGTTACTCTACTGCAACCCACAGATGGTGCTGGGAAGCCCTTCTGAGCTTGAGCTTTCTTGTGGTGTGGTGAGTGCTTCATGTCTTGGTGCGGAGCATATGAAATAAGAGTTTCCTTCTGTTACTAATCTGGAGGTGCCTCACCATCCCTTGCTTGTTCCCTTATACTTCCCTACATGCTGGTGAACTGTTCTCTTATTAAACTCTCCTCCCTTTTGAGTGTGCCACCTGCTTCCTACCTGGCCCCTGGGCAGCTTCCCCATTCTCTGTAGCCAGCAAAGGGCCCTGGGCCCTCCAACAGAGAGCAAGAGCTGTCTTCTAACACTACCTCTGCTGCCAGGAGTCTCTCCCCGGCAGAGACCTGCATACCTGGAAACACCTCTCTCTGGCAAGCTTTCCAGCTTTAACCCAGGGAGACTTTTAACAGGCACAGCAATGCTTCTTGTTTCTTTCATCCACTAGCCGAGTAGAGGTGGTAAACAAGCCCAGCTTACCCCCTTGCAGTTCATTTGAACAATGGAATCAAGGCAAGATGAAGGAGATGGAAATCTCCATGCCCCCTCATGGGCTAGAAACAATCAGAGGGATGCTGTGAAGCCAGCCACTGTAGCCAAATATCTCCCATAGCAAATCTCTGCTACGGTGCCTCTCTCCCAGCAGGTGTCAATCAGACAAGGAATAGGGAAAGAACAGATGCAAACAAGCCAACTAAAAATACATCCGTTGCAGACTTCATTAATGTGCAGGAACATTCTCAGTCCCTGGGGCAATGATGGGACCTCAAGATCTCAAGGGGCAGAAGAGGAATGGCAACTAAAGTAAGACCCAATATAAAAAACAACATCAATAATGACAAAAATACATATCCAATAGGAAAAAAACAACCGTTCATGCTCAAATCCTACGGACTATTGACATCTAATTATTAATCAACCTGAGCAAGAATGAACTATGGCCTCAGAATCAGCTTCCTTCCACCATCGAGAGCCCATCATTAAATCTATGTATGTCATTAATCCCATAAACTCCTGGAGTTGTGGAAAAGGGGCCTCATCTCAGGCCTGCTCCTAGACGCAGCAGGAGGCTCCAGCCAAGTGGGGCCTGAAGAGTAGAGTGGTAACAGACAAATTAATCATCACCCCACCACACCCCAGGCAGCAAGAAAGTGAGGGTGCTATAGACCCAGGTTTAGAGCATCTCAGAGGGCAAAGGATCAGTTTTCACCTCCATGAAGGCATGTGTTACCTTCGTATTGGTGAGAACACTGCTTGTATATTGCAGAAGTCCAGCTTAAACTGGCTTAAGCAGAGAAGGGAACTGATGAGCTCATTTACTGAAAATTTCAGAGGTAGTTCAGAATTGGCTGGATCTAGGTACTCAATGATGTCACCAGGAATCTCCAGCCCTCTGCCTCTGAGATCTGCTTTCCTTGGTGGTGACTTGATTCTTCCCGTTCGTGGGTGGCCCCCAGTGGCTCCTGCTGACACCTACTATTAAACAACTCCAAAGGAAAGTACGTGTGGCTTTCCAGAGAGTCCCCACCCAAGTCTCAGATTTGAGTTTCAATGGCATGCTTTGTGTTTCCCACCATCTGTAATGCATTTCTGTGGCCAGGAGAATGAAATGCTCTGCTTGGCCAGGTTGGGGTCATATGCTCATCCCTGTGTCTTGGAGCTAGAGTAGTCTGGCACATAGAAGGAACTCACTAAATGTATGTTGAACGAATGAATGAAAGGCCTGGAGGTGTGAAAGTTCACAGCACATTGGGGACAGCGAGTTGGCTACTGTGGGTGAAAGAATGGGGTTGGAAAGCCAAGAATGAACATACAGTGTCTGATATGGCGGCCACAGGCAAGGCACTTTGCAGGCTACAAGGCACTTTGCCAGGATGCCAAGCTACGAGACATGCAGAGGACCCCGGTATGGGTTATCTGCCTTCTGGAGTTAATAGGAGTCATGGGACAATCGTGTAAATGCTATGTCACAAAGAAAATGTGATGAGCCTTACAGGAGCAGAGAGGATGTCATCCTACTCTGGAAGGGAGTAGTGGGTCAGAGGCCTTTTAGTAGAGGAGTCAGTGAATCTATTTGGAGTTGGTGGGCAGGAATAGTTTGGACAGGTGAAAACAAAGATGAACTCTTTAGGCAGAAGGGGTGCCCAAGGAGATGGGGCAGGCAGAAAAAAGAGGTCCAGGGAGGACAGGCCCATAATGGGGGCCATAGGAAGTAGGGGTACAAGTGGGGTCGGTAGCCTCCCAAAGGAAGGCTGAGGCTTCTGAGCCAAGGATTTAGACCCTTATTCGGTTGGCCGTGAGGTGTTGCTGTCTCTTCTATTTATTTATTTATTTATTTATTTATTTATTTATTTATTTATTTATTGAGATGAGGTCTCACTCTGTTGCCCAGGCTGGAGTGCAGTGGCATGCTCTCGGCTCACTACAACCTCTGCCTCTCAGGTTCAAGCGATTCTCCTACCTTAGCCTCCTGAGTAGCTGGGATTACAGGTGCTCACCCCTATGCCCAGCTAACTTTTTATATTTTTGGTAGAGATGGGGTTTAACCATGTTGGCCAGGCTGGTCTCAAACTCCTGACCTCAAGTGATCTGCCCACCTCAGCCTCCCAAAGTGCTGGGATTACAGGCGTGAGCCACCGCACCCCACCTGCTGTCTATTCTTAAGCAGTACATCTCAGTCACTATCCTATAAATAGTGCTCACTTTTTCTTGGGCATATCAATTGAAATTCACATTTTTCAGAAATCAACAAGGTCTCTCCTTCTGACAGGCTGCCTTCCAGTCTGTTGTCCTAGGAGTGGGTGATTCCTCTCTGAAGGGTGACATCTTCAGGCTGTAAATCTCCCTCCCTGACTTCCAGCCATTTCCAGCAACAACAGCATAGCTCATCTTAAGGAGCCAGGTTTCTCAGCATGCATATAAACTCAACTTTAAACTGATTATTGAAATCTACAAGCTGTTAATCCAGTGGCTGCCAGCAAAGCCTCATTCTTTCTACTGTTTAATCTTCGCTAACAATGACACAATTCGTATGTTCTCTCAGCTGCTCTCAACAACCTCCCATGCCTTCCCGAGACCTCTCCTGCAGTCACTCCACAAAACAAATATGTTCACATACTCCATACCCCCTTCATCTTGCTCTTTTTTCTATCTCTATCTCTAACTGAGGCTTATCTGAAAATATCTGAAATTACTGGTCAAAGCTAGTAAGGAAATCACTTGACTGGGGTTAATTCTGTGCAAGGGAAATGTGTGGATCTTCAAGGACTTTTATCAGGGTTTGCCCACCTTCTGGGGGCGTGGCCCCATAGGCCAGGAAAACTGCTTGGTTTGATGAGTGACCGTGTCTGCCCATCTCTATTGGGCCCCTCATCAGGGATGAGCCTTGTCAAGGGCTTCTTTGGGGTAGCCTAGGAGCATCCCATCGAGCTGGTGTTGCCCCATCTCCCTCAATAAGCAGCTTCACTGCTGGGCTGGGGCTTACAGATGCCAGGGCCAGGCACTCACCTGGCTGAGTCAGAGCTGCACCCCTGTCCCCTTGCCAGACGAACCACCAGCACAGACCAGGGGAGACCAGGACTCCACATCACTGTAGTCATTGTCTTTCTATCTGCCACTTATTCACAGTCAACCATGAGGCTGAAATGGCATCTGAGATCTTACCCAGGCTGGTCCCATTCACCTCTCCAGGCTTCTCTGCCTTCCATCTTGTCACATACCCTTGCATCCAGCCAAACTGAACTGCCCCCTATTCCCCTAAATATCCCCTACCCTTTCTTTGCCCCTCTGACACTCCCATCAAACCACTCACCCTCCGGAGCTCACATGAGAATTATTTCTCTGAACTCCTGGGGCACTGTTTGTACACTTGTAAACACTCAACCTGTTCTATTTTGTATTACAAGAGCAAAGCATAGAGTCGAGAGCTTTGCTGTGTGACCCTGGGAAGTGACTTAACCTCTCTGTGACTTGATTTCTTAATTCATAAAGTAGGAATAATATTTCTTCCTCAAAGAGTTGTTGAGGAAAATAAACAGGCCAATATCTTAAAGGGTGCATGGCAAGATCTGGCGAATAGGGGCTGTTCAAAAATTACCATTAGTATTATAACTGTTAGGGTGGTTGTTACTGCAATTACATTTTCCTCCTACTATGCTGTGAGTTCCTTCAGGACAGGACAATGTCTTGTTCATATGTGAATCCCTCTCATTGCCCAATACATTGTGGCATATGGCACGTGCTTATTAGTTGATAAATGAATGAACAATCGAGGAAAAGAACAAACTGCATAGTCTTGTACTCTTGTATTAATTAATATTTTAATTGCTTTCCCTATTGGCCCCTCCTTAAACACACACACACACACACACACACACACACACACACACACACAGAGGCTGGGCACATCAGACATTTTAGTTATAGAGAGGGGGCAGGAATAAGCCTTCTTGGAGGCTGGGAAAGGCTGCTTTCCTGGGTATCATGTACCCTCGCTGCACAGAGCACTAAAGCAGGTTCTTCTCATCAATGCATTTATTTCACTCATTTTTCAGTCAACAAACCTTTGCTTAGCACTTATTCTGTGCTAGGCCCTGGGCTAAGTGACAAGCCCAGGTAGGCATAGTTCTGCCCCTGTAGACCTTGAATCTCGTAGAGAAGACAGGTTTTCATGAATATTAACTCAATTGACTGTAAAATTAAAACAGTGATATAGGCCATGAGGATTGCATTTAATAGGAAGGGCTGTGAAGACAGAGCTCTTGCATGATTTTCCAGAGCCCGGACTCTAGACAGGGCTGAAGACTCCCCCATGCCTATCCTTCTGGGTTAAGGTATTGCCCTACACAGGCCTCTGGAAGGAAAAGACATTAAGTAACCACTGACACCAGTGTTACTAATATCTAGGCACCTTTTTCACCTTCTTCCTGGTTAGAGAGGGTTGAGGGGAAGGGGAAGAAGGTCCAGGGGACCTAGAAATAAAGTTATCACATGGAATAGAATGGGGAGAACTGGCCAAGAAATGGGAGCTGAACCCAGAGGTAAGTCTCCTTCTGGGAGTGGGGTAAGTGTGGGCACCTTGTTTCTTCCTTTATCAAATTTGATCCTTATTTCCTCAACACTGGGGCTGTCTTCACTCAGACAGTGCCCAGAATTAATTCTTAGCCAATTTCAAAACATTATGAGGTGACATCTGCTTACACCACTTGATCAAGCCATGGCCTATGGATCATTGCAGACTGATGATATCCAGAGCCCTGTGCCTGACCCTGGGTGAGAGGGAGGGGCATGACATGGAAGAGGTATTCTTGACTTAAGAGAGCCTCTACCTCATGGGAGAGACAGAATTAATGTCCACGAACCTCCCAGATGACAAATTACAGCCAAGTGCATGTGCCAGTTGTCTTAAGAAAGTTTCCCAGAAACTGACACATGAACCTCTGCTTACATCTCATCTTCCAGATATAAATGCATCCACTTTGATTGGGTCAGCTGGGCTAGTGCAGGCAGTGGGTGGGAATGGTCCCAGAAGGCTTCATAAAACTCCTAGACTGGGCACACACGTATATGTGTGTGCATGCGTGAGGGTGTGTGTATGTCTCTAGACTGGCCTTTGGCAAGTGCCAAGTCGCACATTTGCCCCTGCTTCCTTTTGAGGGCCCTCTCCCCACCTTTCCTCAGCACCACCTTCTCCTCACCTTGCTTCCTCTGCTACCCACCCACAACACACATAAGAACCTGTGGCACCTCCTGCCCCAGAGAGAGCCAACTCATTTATGTTATTTTTTTAACTGATAAAAATCATATCTATGCATTCTGTACAACATGATGTTTTGAAATAGGTCCACACTGTGGAAGGGCTAAATCAAGTTAATAAACATATGCATGACTCCAATACTGATCCTTTTTTTGTAGTGAGAATATTTAAAATCTACCGTTTTAGTAGTTTTCAAGTGTACATTACATTGTTATTAGCTGCAGTCACCACGATGTACAATAGGTCTCTTGAACATATCCTTCTTCCTGTCTCACTGAAATTTTGTGTCCTTTGACCATTATCTCCCTAATCCTCCCATCCCAGCCTTACTGCATGATCTTCCTTATATGTGGGATCTAAAAAAGTCAAATTCATGGAAACAGAGAGATAGCCAAGTTGTGATGATAAAAGGCAGGACCCCTTAGCAGGAGCATTTGCCTCTGCATTTTGAAAAGGGGCAATACTTAATCCCTAGGACTCGGTCTCCAAGGGGGAGTGAGGGGGTGGGAGGACAGGTTTTCTAACAGCTTTTAAAAGTCTCCTCTAAGTCATGCACAGTGCTGGGCAAATCACGTGCATTAT